>NC_000016.10:32268973-32584180 GCF_000001405.40 Homo sapiens
TTTTATCATGGGTCAGATCTGGTGGAGCTCAACCATAAAGTCCCACCTCCGTGGCTGCCTATCTCTCTCAGAGGCTTTGGCCCCAGCTAAACTGCAGGGAGAAAGCAAGGCCTGCTTACCCGCAGGATTGGGACATGTCTATCCTGTAGGCATGCCTGTCCACCAGCCTCTTACATGGCCCCTGCCTGGCTTCCTGGGAGAAGCATGTATACATTGTAGTTTCTGCTACCCAACCTGGATGCTTGGCTCCACCTGAATGCATTCTGGCGGCCCAGAAATCCCTCAGATCCCTCACCACACTTGGAACCTGGCCCTAAGCATCAGGAAGAGGGAGTCATAAGCAAGTCGTGGCACTCCAGTGCTGTGGCCTGTGGTTCAGGAGTGCCAAGCTGGGATCTGTGCTGGGCAGTTGAATGGGGGAGGAACCCACACTCTTCAGAAACTGAGAGGCCAGATTCACACAGGTTCACAGGCTGGCGTGGGCCCTAGGCACACCTCCTTCCACAGGGCTGTTATGGTAAAGATGCAGGGTATTTTTCTAGAAGACATCTCCCTGAGGGAGCCCCACAGCTTGAAACACCTAACAACAATGACAATAATGATAATGATAGTAATAGGCCGGGCGCGGTGGCTCACGCCTGTAATCCCAGCACTTTGGGAGGAGGAGGCGGGCGGATCACGAGGTCAGGAGATCGAGACCATCCTGGATAACACGGTGAAACCCCGTCTCTACTAAAAATACAAAAAAATAGTCGGGTGTGGTGGCGGGCGCCTGTAGTCCCAGCTAGCCGGGAGGCTGAGGCAGGAGAATGGCATCAACCGAGGAGGCGGAGCTTGCAGTGAGCCGAGATCCTGCCACTGCACTCCAGTCTCTGGGCGACAGAGCGAGACTCCGTCTCAAAAAAAAAAAAAAAAAAAAGGAGATAATGATAGTAATAATAATGGGCATAGTGCCAGTGATTGGAAGTGAGTCTCTCAAGACTCATGAACAGACCTGTACCACAGAACATAGTTGCAAATAAAGAAGATACACAAAGGAACTGCATGGTAAAGAACCTATCTACATCCCACTGCTCTCAAGTGCTATCTACTGGATCGCAGTAGAGATTACACCACCAAAAATCACTTTACTAATTCTTCCCCTGTGAAACCAAGAGCAAGAATTCAACAACAAAGACACTGTACAGAGTCCTAGTCCTCTGAAAACCTTCAAAAAAAGAAAGCCAATAGACTATACTCAATTTATGCCCCAATTAGAGGTATACCAGTTCTCTCAGATGAGAAAGAATTGGCTCAAAATCTCTGGCAATGCAAAAAGCCAGAGTGTCTCCTTCAAGAGAGCCCACTAGTGCCCCAGTGATGGTTTTTAACAGTCTGAATTGTCTAAAATGACAGACATGGAAAAAAGAGCAGGGAAACTCATTTAAATTGAGAAGAAAGTTGAAACTTAACCCAAGGAAGCCAAGCAATCCGGTTAAATGATTCAAAACCTGAAAGATAAAATAGCAATCTTAAAAAATATCTAAACTAAAAAATTCTTGAGCTGAAAGATTTACTGTGAGGATTTTATAATAAAATCAGAAGTATTTCCAGCAGAATAGACTAAACTGAGAAAAGAATCTCAGAGCTCACTGTTTTATTGAATCAACATAGTCAGACAAAAATAAAGATAAAAGAATTAAGAAAAATCAACATCCCCATTGAGAAATATGAGATTACTTAGAGAACAAATCTACAATTTATCAACATTTCTGAGAGAGAAGGAAAGAGAATAGGCAAGTTGGAAAATATGTATGAAGATATAGTTCATGAAAGTACCTCTAATCTCACTAGCGAGGTTGCCATTCAAATCCAAGAGAACCCCAGTCAGCCCCTAGTCAGATACAATAATATATGACAGTCTGTATTAGTCAGTTCTCACATTGCTATAAAGAAATACTTGACACTGGGTAATTTATAATGAAAAGAAGTTTGGTTGGCTCACAGTTCTGCAGGCTGCAGCGGAAGCATGCAGCATCAGCTTGGCTTATGGGGAGCCCTCAGGAAACTAACAACCATGGCAGAAGGAAGAGGGGGGCAAGTCATCTTACATGGAAGAACAGGAGCAACACAGAGAGCGAGGAGGTGCTACCCATTCTTAAACAGCCAGATCTCATGAGAACGTTATCGCGAGACAGCACAAGGGGCTGGTGTTAAACCATTCACAAGGATCTATCCCCATTATCCAATCACCTCTCAGCAGGCCCCACCTCCAACATTGAAGATTACAGTTCCACATGTGATTGGGGCAGAATCACAGATCCAAACCATATTGCTATTTCCATGTCACATAGTCATCAGATTCACCAAAGTCAGTGCAAAAAAAAATTTAAGATCAGTTAGAGAGAAAGGGCAGGTTACTCACAGAGTGAATTCCATCAGACTAGCAGCAGACCTCTCAGCAGACTCCTTGCAACCAGAAGAGGTTAGGGGCCTATCTGCAGAGTTTTTAAAGGAAAAAAAAATTAACCAATAATTTTATATCCCTCTAAACTAAGCTTCATAGGTGAAAGAGGAAAAAAAAATTCCTTTGACAAGCAAATGCTGACGTGATACATTTAAACTAGACCAGCCTTACAAGAGGTCTTTAAGGTAGTGCTAAACATGGATTCAAGTGAATGATATCTGCTACCAAAAAAGCTCACTTAAGCACATAGCCCACAGGCACTATAAAGCAATAATGCAATCAACTCTACATAACAACCAGCTAACAACATGATGGTGAATTCAAAATCACACATATCAATACTCACCTAACATGTAAGTAAGCTAAACACCACAGTTAAAAGACACAAAGTGGCATCCTGGATAAAAAGACAGTACCCATCCATCTGTTGCTTTCAAGACACACCCTTTGCCTCAGAGTAAAAGGGTGGAGCGTATTCTACCATGCAAACGAAACAAAAACAAGCAGCAGTCACTATTCTTATATTAGATAAAACAAATTTAAACCAAAAAAAAAAAACACTAAGAGGGACAAGAAGAGCATTTTGATAAAGGGTGCAATCTAACAAGAAGCCTTAACTATCTTAAATATATATGTGATTACCACTGGAGCATCCAAATTCATAAAATGACTTCTTCTTTGCCTACCAATGAAAAGAAGAATAACAAGGGCATATTGATAAAGGATAAAATCCTGTGAGAAGCCTTAAATATCTTAAATATATATACACTTAATATTGGAGCACCCAGATTTACAAAATGACTTTTTCTTTCCCCACAAAAAGGCTTAGACAACATCACAATAGTAGTAAGAGTCTTCAACACCCTACTTACAGCATTAGACATATCACTGAGGCCAAAAAAAAAAAAAAAAAAAACTAACAGGAAAACTCTGGAGTTAAACTCCACACTTGACCAATTGGACCTAATAGACATCTATTGAAAACTCCATCGAACAACCACAGAATGTACATTTTTCTCATCTGCACAAAAAAAAATTCTAAGATCAACCACGTGCTCAGTGATAAATAAAGCCTGAATAGATTAAGGAAAAATGAAATCTCACCAAGCACACTGTTGGAGCACAGTACAATAAAAAATACAAATGCATACCAAGATCTCTCAAAACTACAGAAATACATGAAAATTAAACAACTTACTCCTGAATAAATCCTTTGTAAACATCAAAGTAAGGCAGAAATATAAAAATTACTTGAAATTGATAGAAATAGGAACACAACTTACCAAAATTTCTAAGATGCAGCCAAAGCAGTGTTAAGAGAAAACTTTATAGCCCTAAATGCCTTTATCAAGAAGTTAGAAATGTCTCAAATTAACGATGTAACTTTGCACCTAAAGGAACTTGAAAAAAAGAACCAACCAACCCCAAAGCTAGCATGAGAGAAGACATAACAGCAATTAGAGAAGAATTTAATGAAGTTGAGATGCAAAAATGTATACAACAGTCCAAGAAAACAAAAAATTGGTTCTTCAAAAAAAATTGATAAGCTCCTAGCCAAATTAACAAATATAAAAAAGAAAGAGAAGATCCAAATAAGCACAATAAAAATGACAGGTTATATTAGAATGGATCAGATAGAGATACAAAAGATCCTCAGCGAGTACTATGAACAGCTCTGCACGCAAATTAGAAAATCTGGAGAAAATGAATAAATTCCAGGAAGCACACAGTCTCCCAAGATGGAATCAGAAAGAGATCAAAACTCTAAGTAGACTAATATCAACTTCTGACATTGAGTCAGTACTAAAGAACCTACCAACAACAACAACAACAACAAAAAGGCCTGAAACAGGTAGATTGGCTGCTGAGTTTTACCAGACATACTAAGAAGAAATGATATCAATCCTACTAAAATTATTTCAAAATATCGAGGCGGTGGGGCTCCTTCCTAACTCATTCTTTGAAACCAGCAGTAGCATGATATGAAAATCTGGCAGAGACACTGTGAAAAAACAAAACTTCAGACCAAGATCCCTCATGAACAGAAAATGTAAAAATCCTCAACAAAATACTAGCAAACCAAATTCAGCACCACATCAGAAAGGTAATACACCATGGTCAAGTAGGCTTTATTCCTGGGATGCAAGCTGGTTCAACATATGCAAACCAATAAATGTGATTCACCAGCTAAATAGAATCAAAAGTAAAAACCATATGATTTTCTAAACAGATACACAAAGGTCTTCTTAATAAAATCCAACACTACTTCATGGTAAAAATCCTCAATAGACTAGGCATCCAAGGAACATACCTTAAAATAATAAGAGTCATCTATGGGAAACCCACAGTCAACATCATACTCAAAAGGTTAAAAACTTAAAACTATTTCTATGAGAACTGAAACAAGACAAGGATGCTCACTCACAGCACTCCTATTCAGCTTAGTACTGGAAGTCCTATGCAGAGCAATCAGGCAAGAGAAAGAAAAAGTAACGAAACAGGAAAAGAAGTCAAACTATCTCTCTTCGCTGAAAATATGATCCTATGCCTAGAAAATCCTAGAGATTCTGCCAGAAGGCTCCTAGAATTAATAACTTTAGTATAGTCTCAGGATACAAAATCAGTGTAAACAGTACTGATTATGGTGAAATAAGTAGCATTTCCATACACCAACAATGTCCAGGCCAAGAGTGAAATCAAGAACACAATTCCACTTAAAATAGCCACAAAAAAGAGAAATACCTAGGAATACAGATAACCAAGGAAATGAAAGATCTCTTCAAGGAGAACTACAAAACACTGCTGAAAGTCACACACCTACAACCATATGATATTTGACAAGGCTGGCAAGAACAAGCAATGGGGAAAGGACTCCCTAGTCAATACATTCTGGGATAACTGGCTTGCCATAGGCAGAAGATTGAACCTAGACCTTTACCTTGCAACATGCCCCAAAATTAAATTTAAATGGATTAAAAATTTAAGTGTAAGACCTCAAACTATAAAAATTCTGGAAGATAACCTAGGAAATACTTTTTTGACATCAGCCTTGGCAAGTCGTTTTTGGCTAAGTCCCCAAAAGCAATTGCAACCAAAACAAAAATAGACAAGTAGGACTTAATTTGACTAAATAGCTTCTGCACAGCAAAATAAACTATCAACAGGGGAAAGAGGCATCCTCCAGAATGGGAGGAGATATTCACAAACTATGAGTCTAACAAAAGCCTAATATCCAGACTCTATAGGGAACTCAAATCAACAAGCCAAAAAAAAAAAACCATTAAAAAATAAAAAATGGGCAAATGAGATGAACAGATATGCCTGAACAGAAGATATACAAGTGGCCAACAAACATGAAAAATTGCTCAGCATCAGTAATTATCAGATAAATGCAAATCAGAACCACAATGAGGTACCATCTCATGTTAGTCAGAATGGCTATTACTAAAAAGTCAATAAATAACATGTTGGCAAGGCTGTGCAGAAAAGGAAACACTTTACGTCACTGGCAGGATTGTAAATTAGTTCAGCAATCGTGGAGAGCAGTCTCGAGATTTCTGAAAGAACTTAAAACAGAACTACCAATTTACCCAGCAATCCTACAACTGGGTATATACCCAAAAGAAAATAAATCATTCTACCAAAAAGACATATGCACTTGAATGCATCACTGTGCTATTCACAATAGCAAAGATGTGGGATCAATCCAGATGCCCATCAATGGTATATTGGATAAAGAAAACCTGGTATGTATACACCATGGAATACTACACAGCTGTGAAATATAATGAAATCATGTCCTTGGTATGAACATAGGTGGAACCAGAGGCCATAATTTCAAGCAAATTAATGCAGAAACAGAAAGCCAAATACTGCATGTTCTTACTTATAAGAGCTAAACATTGAGCATATATGGACATAAATATGGGAACAGTAAACACGGTGGACTACTAAAGTGTGCAGAGGGGAGGGCAAGTTAATATACTACATATTGGTTGCTGTGCTCACTACCTATGTGCTCCAAACCTGAGCATTATACAATATTCCTACATAACAAATCTGTGCCTGTAACCCCTGAATCTAAAATAAAAGTTGAAATTTTTTAAAAAGTCTTTTCACCTATGAACAGAAGATACTGTTCCATTTATTTGTACCTTTGATTTCTTACAGCAGCATTTTGAAAGTTTTTATTGTACAAATAGTTTGTCATCCTGGTTAAATTGATTCCAGAGCATTTTATTCTTTTTAATACTGTTGTTCATGGTATTGTTTTCTTAATTTCCTTTTCAGATTAATCATTATTGGTGTGCATCAATGCAACTGAGTTTTGTAAGTTAATTTTGTATCCTGCAACATTACTTAATTTGTTTAAACTGTTTTGAGGTGTTTTTCTGTTTGTACAATCTTCAGAATTGTGTGCATACATGATTACTGTGAACAGAGATATTTCTATTTTATTCTTTTTAACATATGCATTTTTGTCTTTATTTTATTTTTGTTATTGCTTAAGCTAAAGTTTTATATACTCTGTTGAGTGGAAGTGGTAAAAAAGAGGAACTATTTTTAGTTCCTGATATTAAGGGAAAACATTTTTTGTATTTCACTGTTGATTATGTTGTGTGTTTGTACCATGAATGAGTAATATCTTGTAGAATGCTTTTTCTGTGTAAATTGAGATATTGTGGTGTTTAACAGTACTAATGCGGTATATTATGATTATTTGTTTATTTATTTATTATTTATTTATTTTTAGAGACAGGATATTATGATGTTGTTTAGACTGCTCTTGAACTCCTGGACTGAAGTGAACCTATCACCTTAGCATCCTGGGTAACTGGGATTACAGGCACAAGCCACTGTGCCTGGCTACATTTATTGATATTTATATGTTAAAGCATCTTTGCACTTCAGTAATAACTCTCAATTAGTCTTGGTAGATAACCCTCTTATTATTCTGCTAAATATATTTTGCTAATATTTATTTTATAGTTTTTATATTATTTATAAAGAACATTTTTCTTCAACTTTCTTTTCTTGTAGTGCTTTTGTTCATTTTTTATGTCACTGTAATTTTGGCCTACCTCATAGAATAAATTTGGAAGTGTTTCTGCATCTTCAGGTTTTTGCAAGAGTTTGAGGATAATTGGTAATTAATTCTTAAAATGTTTGATAGATTCAGCAGCATAACAGTTTTGTACTTTTTTTTTCTGGAGGGGTGATTTTTGCATCAATCTGCAACTATAGGTCTGTTCAGATTTTCTATTTGTTCATGACTCAGTGTCAGTACATTGTGTATTTCTACATATACATGTGTCGACTTTATCAACATTATTCAATTTCCTTGTGGTCTCTTAGAGACTTATTTAACAAGATCTGAGGCATACAGTTCTTTCAGTTGTATTCTGCTACCATGTATTTATTCTGCTGTTGATGTAGTGGTTATGTGAGAGCTTAGGCAAAGCACTCTATTGACTTATGCATTAGCCTCATTAAAACAAATCAAAACAAAACAGTGTATCCCTAGGCTGTGAATTTCATGAGGACTTCTCACTCTTTACCTCTCTTAACTGGATCAAGAAGGTTAGAGGGGGATGGAATTGGGCATTTCTCTTACTCCAGGAAGTCTGGCTCTGGTAAAATCTCAGTTGGTTAGGCTTTTGATACATAGTTTATATTGAAGATAGGAATGTTAAAAAGAAAATTTTCTGGGAATAGTTAAAAATGGCTACATTTCCCTTCCTCCTACTGGAATCAAGAAGCATTTTTTCTATCATCTTCCCTGTAAAAGCCATGTCATGTTTCTGAAAGTAAAGTTCATAAATTTGTATACCCTGAAAATGTTAATTCTCAAACTTTTAGCCATTCATCAACAATGGTTTGTTTTCTTACAACTGTATTTGTTCCCATAGGGGTTTCTTGTGGTTTACTAACCAAGTAAGTTATAATTCTCTGGATGTGTGTGTCCTTCTGTCCAATTTGGGATGGTGATTTGCCCTGTGAACTTATTTTTCTGATACATGTTAGGAGAATTGCTGGCCTATGTTTCCCTTTTTACTTTCGCTGATGCGAATGTCACCTTCTACGTCCTTACTTGCCAGGCTGACCAAAAGGAACTATCTTCATTTTTTGATGGTTGTCTCTATTTTTAATCCTAAACCGTGTGTGTGTGTGTGTGTGTGTGTGTGTGTGTGTGTGTGTATAAAATAATACAGTAAGAGGAAACCTGGGTGGTCCCTTTTCTGGTACCAGCAGCAGATTGAAACCATTCAAACCCCTGTCCATGGGAATAAATTCTCACCCTAGCATGCCACCTACCCTCAATAAAAATCCAGGCCTGGCTCCTTTTCTTGCACATTCAAGCCATGTCAGATCACCTTGAAAGGCCTTCCTACTTACCTCACAAATGTAATTTATGTGAGTAGTAATTTCTTACCCTCTTAAAGCCACATCTTTGCAAGTGACTAACAATTGGTGCCATGAGCAGACTGTTCAGACATTGCCCACCAACCTGAGGATCTGTCTTCTCTTGCTAAGTTGCTCTGCTGCTTAATGTCTGGCATGTACTTTGACCTGCTGCTTCCGGAGGAGTTAGTGCTTTGAGCTGTGCCGCTCTGTTTATTGTTCTGCCAAATTTGTGAACTAAAAACTCAGACTTCCACATTACAGGGGGAAATGACACAAATCGTGGGGTTTGATTCAAACATAATAAATCTTTAAATTTTTATCATGCAATATAGTCACAAACGAATGAATAAAACATTTATCATAAGTTTTAGTGATAATAATGAAAACATTCTTAGAATCATCAAGATTTATTACATATATTTATAATATATATAATTAATATATAATATATAAATATATTTTATTATATATATTTATAATATATAATATATTATATAATATAAATATATATAATAAAATATATATTATATATATTAATTATATTTATATATATAATTATATATATAAATATATATATTTATAATATTTTATATATATATATTTTTTGCCCCCGCCGCCGCATATTTTTGCCCCCGACGCCGAGGCTTTTTGCGGCTTTTTGCCCCCGCCGCCGCCCCTTTTTGCCGCCGCAGATTTTTGCTCCCGCCACCGCGGCTTCTTGCCCCCGCCGCCGCGGCTTTTTGCGGCTTTTTGCCCCTGCGGCATTTTGCTCCCGCCGCCGCCGGTTTTTGCCGCCGTGGCTTTTTGCCCCCGCCACCGAGGCTTTTTGTCCCCGCCGCCCCAGCTTTTTGCCCCCGCCGCCGCCGCTTTTTGCCACCGCTGCCGCGGCTCTGAGGGCGGGAGCAGCACACTCGGCTGCCGGCTCTACCGGCGTCCTTGTTCAGGCGGCGCCGGGGGGCGCTCCTGGTCCAGCTCTCCCGGCTCGGGGGTTCCTTGCCTAGGCGCCCGCGCCCCGGGCTCCCCGCCTTGGCCGCTGCGGCCTGCATAGAGCGGCGCTGCGCGTAGCGGCCAGGGGAGAGAAGAAGGAGGGCGGTGGCGGGGGTGATGTGGCGGCCTCTTTGGGAGGCGCAGGGGCCGCAGCCAGCCAGACGCTGCAGCAGTGTGGGCAGCTCCAGAAGCTTGTGGGCAGCTCCAGAAGCTTATCCGCATCTCCATTGGCAGCCTGCGCCGGTTGCGCAACAAGTGCGCTGTGTCCAAGGACCTCACCCAGCAGGAGATACGGACCCTGGAGGTAAGGGGGTCGTGGACCCAGGCTGGGCTCGAGGAGCGGCCCAGACACCTCCCTCCGTGCCCAAGTTCACTCCTGGCCGAGTTGCATCCTTGAGCCCCAGTCGCCCCGTTGGAGGCTTCCCCTCCCTCCTGCACTCGCTGATGCGGCAGCCGGAGGACCCGGGACCAGCCCTCACCTTGGGCAGGATCTGTGGGGCGGGTGCGTCGTGGGAACTGGCAGGGAGGCTTGAGGGGCCCATGGGCGAGGTGGGCTGCGAGCGGACATCCCCTTACCCCCTGAATTTCCATCTGGTCCAGCCCTCTCATCTTGTGGGTGAGGAAACCGAAGGCCTGAGGGAGAACTGACTTGCCTGGAACCCCTGTTAAGGAGAATTAACAAAGTGTGGTTATTAAAGGAGCACTGAGTTGGGAGTGAGACCTGGAGGCCCACACCCTTGGTTAAGACATAATACCACCTTGAGTCTGGCCTGTTGACTGAGGGTGAGCCACTCCATCCTCATCTGATTGTGGGGTCTTGACCTCAAGGGGTTGCCTGAAGGAAGAAGCACATGGGTTTGCTTTCCTAGCTCTGTCCAGTACCTTAGGGACCCTGAGGACTGGAGAGATTCTTGGAGAGCCATCTGGTGTATATCATGGGTGGGCCTTTTTTGAAGGTCAGTCTGCCCAGTGGGCTGGCTCAGCCCCAATGAACTGTCTTGAATCTTTGGAGTTGTCTGGGTACTTTTAAGGGCTTCTCATCCTTGCACCAAAAGATCCCCTGGAAATTAGGTGGGAAAACCTTAACTTTTGTGGGGCCTTGTGTTTGTCTTAAAAGTTCATGCACATGGCCAGATGTGGTGGCTCACACCTGTTATCCTGTCCTGGATCCCTTGAGTCAAGGAGTTTGAGACTAACCTGGACAATATAGTGAGACCCTGTCTCTACAAAAAATAAAATATTAGCCAGGGGTGGTTGTGCACATCTGTAGTCCCAGCTACTACTGTGGCTGAGGTGGGAGGAGCACTTGAGCCTGCACTGAGCTGTGATCTCACCAGTGTACTCCAGCCTGGGCCACAGAGCAAGACCCTGACTCAAAAAAAAAAAACCAACAAGAAAAATACTTGAAGATTTTTGCATTCTGTCCCACTACCCATTGGTTGTCATGTGAAGATAATGTCAGAAATTCTTTACAATTGCTTCCAGAAGGAGTAGCCTTTTGATCTAGTGCACAGGTGTCTTTTGGCTTCTCAGGGTCACATTGGAAGAAGAATGCTCCTGGGCCACATATAAAATACACTAATGCTAACGATAGCTGATGAGCTTAAAAAAAAAAAAAGGTTTGTGCATAATTTTCATGATACCCACCACCACAGATAGGTGGAAAAGTCCTTGTAGTCAAAGGGTTGGACGCGGCTGACCTAGTGTCTTGTCATCCGTTTTGGCTTCCTCCCTGATTCCAGAATGCAGGTATAGATGTAGAGACGTGCTCTCAGGACAGCTGTTGAGATAAAAAATTCTTTGTCATTTATTCCCAAGCACAGCTGTTTGTCATTTGCATTGAAAAAGTCTCCATTCAAACTGCTGTCACATATAAAATCTATTTATGTAAGTCTGTATTTTTCTGTAGTCTTGGCCTTTTGGGCAGTAGTGTGTTTTAACCGAGCAAACTGTCCTTCCAAATAATGAAGTCGAAGTCAGCCTACCTGCTTGCCATTTTTCTTCCCCTTCCATTTTTCTAACTTCAGGATAATTGTAAGAATGAATTAAACTTTATGTTGAAGGCCGGGCACAGTGTCTCAGGCCTGTAATCCCAGCACTTTGGGAGGCGGAGAGGGATGTATCACTTGAGCTCAGGAGTTGAAGACCAGCCTGGGCAACATACTGAGACTCCGTCTTGTATAATTAAATTAAAATGTTTAAAAAGAAGAGAAAAAGACCTGTGTTTAAATTTTAAAAAAGGGGAAATTGTAATGCAAAATGTGGACTATGCCAGCTATGATTGGGAAAAATAATTTTTCCTACAGCATTATCTGTAGACTTGTATTAGCAGCATACTGGTCATAAGCGTTTTGCTTTCCTCAAACATGATGAGGTAAGCTACTTTAAAGTGTGGTAGGGCTGTCTTCCACGTGGCTCCTGGTGGTGTTGAGTCCCAATTTAGCCAATTAATTTGGGTTTAGTTTTGATGTGGATAAGGGAGACCAGCTTCATTCATGGTGCACACACAGTTTTGCCAATAAGGGAAAAAAAAAGCAACCTGAATGTTCCTACTCATTAGATGCTATCTGGAGAGCTCCTACCCCACCCCCACCAAGGCCCAGACCCTTAAAAAGACTCAGTGCAGCCTTTCTGTATCTCATACTGTATTCTGCAAGATGCTCCTGTGAAAGAAAGTTGTGCTGCATCAGCCGTCTCCCTCCTGAAGATCCCTGCGGATGAGGATTTGTGTTTTAAAGGTTCTGAGAAGTCCTGCAATGACAGTCCTCAAACTTATTTGTCCAGGGGATCTTTTCTTCCACTGAACGTAGTTGGGGAGACACGGCCTTAAGCCTTGAGCAGAGAAAGAGACAAGAAGCTGTTGGCTCACTTACAACCAAGTGTTGTGTTTATGTGTTAGGTTTTCATGAAAGTGAGGTGCTGTTTGAGGTTCTAAATCAAATTGGGTGGTTGAGGAGAGCCTGGTATCCCTGTAGACTTAGCCAGCCATGAGAGGTTGCCTTTTGTTGAAGGAGGTATTTTACAAAGGGAAGTAGGATGTCTCCTGGGCATCACATTAGCACTTAAATATATGTATCACTGAAATGAAATGAAATGATGAAATGAAATGATGAAATGGTGAAATGAAATAATGAAATGAAAGGAAATGATGAAATGAAGAAATGAACTGATGAAATGAAATGATAAAATGATGAAATGAAATGAAATGATGAGATGAATTGAAATGGTGAAATGATGAAATTAAATGATGAAATGATGAAATGATGAAATGAAATGATGAAATGATGAAATGATGAAATGAAATGATGAAATGATGAAATGGAATGATGAAATGATGAAATGGTGAAATGAGATGAGGAAATGAAATGACGAAGTGAAATGATGAAATGAAATGAAATGATAAAATGATGAAATGAAATGAAAAGATGAAATGATGAAGAAATATGAAATGATGAAATGAAATGAGGAAATGAAGTGAAATGATGAAATGATGAAATAATAAAATGAAATGAAATGATGAATTGATGAAATGAAATGATGAAATGAAATGATGAGATGAAAAGATGAAATGAAATGATTAAATGAAATGATGAGATGGAAAGATGAAACGAAATGATGAGATGAAATGATGAGATGAAATGATGAAGTGAGGAGATGAAGTGAAATGATGAAATGAAATGATGAAATGATGAAGTGAAATGATGACATGAAATGATGAAATGAAATAATGAAAGGATGAAATGATGAGATGAAATGATGAAAGGAAATGAAATGAAATGATGAAATGAGGAAATGAAATGAAATGATGAAGTGAAATGATGAAATAATGAAACTAAATGAAAAGATGAAATGATGAAATGAAATGATGAAATGATATGAAATGATGAAATAAAGTGAAATGATGAAATGATGAAATGAAATTAAAAGAAATGATAAAATGAAATGATGAAATTATATGAAATAATGAAATGATGAAGTGAAGTGAAATGATGAAATGATGAAATGATGAAATAATGAAATGAAATGAAATGATAAATTGATGAATTGATAAAATGAAATGAAATGAAATGACGAGATGAAAAGATGAAATGAAATGATGAAATGAAATGACGAGATGAAAAGATGAAATGATGAGATGAAATGAAATGACTAGATGAAATCATGAGATGAAATGGTGTAATGATGAGATGAAGTGAAATGATGAGATGAAATGAAATCATGAGATGAAATGATGAAATGATGAAATGAATGAAATGAAATGAGATGAAATGATGAGATGAAATGATGAAATGAAAGGAAATGATGAAATGATGAAACAAAATGAAATGAAGAAATGAAATGATGAAAGGAAATGATAAAATGATGAAATGAGATGAAATGTAATGGTGAAATGAGGAAATGAAATGAAATGATGAAATGAAATGATGAGATGAAATGAAATGAAATGATGAAATGGTGAAATGGAATGATGAAATGATGAAATGATGAAGTGATGAAATGGTGCAATGAAATGAGGAAATGAAATGAAGAAATGAAATGATGAAGTGAAATGATGAAATGAAATGAAATGATGAAATGATGAAATGAAATGAAAAGATGAAATGAAGAAATGATACGAAATGATGAAATGAAATGAAGTGAAATGAAATGATGAAATGATGAAATGAAATGATGAGATGAAAAGATAAAATGAAATAAAATGATTAAGTGAGATGACGAGATGAAAAGATGAAATGAAATGATATGAAATGAAATGATGAGATGAAATGAAATCATGAGATAAAATGATGAAATGATGAGATGAAGTGAAATGATGAAATGAAATGATGAGATGAAATGATGAGATGAAATAATGAAATGAAAGAATGAAATGAAAGGATGAAATGATGAGATGAAATGAAAGGATGAAATGAAATGATGAAATGAGGAAATGAAATGATGAAACGAAATGATGAAGTGGAATGATGAAATTATGAAATGAAATTAAAAGATGAAATGATGAAATGATATGAAATGAAATGAAATGATGAAATGAAGTGAAATGATGAAATTAAATGATGAAATGAAATGATGAAATAAATGAACTGAAATGATGATGAAATGAAATGATGAAATGAAATGACGAGATGAAAAGACAAAATGAAATGAAATGATGAAATGACGAGATGAAAACATGAAATGATGGGATGTAATGAAATGATGAGATGAAATCATGAGATGAAATGATGAGATGAAGTGAAATGATGAGATGAAATGAAATCATGAGATGAAATGAAATGATGAAATGCAATGATGAAATGAATGAAATGAAATGATGAAATGATGAAATGACATGAAAAGATGAAATGATGAAATGAAATGATATGAAATGATGAAATAAAGTGAAATGATGAAATGAAATTAAAAGAAATGATAAAATGAAATGATGAAATTATATGAAATGATGAAATGAAGTGAAATGACGAAATGATGAAATAAATGAAATGATGAAATGATGAATTGATGAAATGATGAAATGAAGTGAAATGACGAGATGAAAAGATGAAACGGTGAAATGAAATGAAGAGATGAAAAGTTGAAATGAAATGATGAGATGAAATGAAATGACTAGATGAAATCATGAGATGAAATGGTGTAATGATGAGATGAAGTGAAATGAGATGAAATGAAATCATGAGATGAAATGATGAAATGAATGAAATGAAATGAGATGAAATGATGAGATGAAATGATGATGAGATGAAATGATGAAACGAAATGATGAGATGAAATGATGAGATGAAATGATGAAATGAAATGATGAAATGAAAGGAAATGATGAAATGATGAAACGAAATGAAGAAATGAATAAATGAAATGATGAAATGAAATGATAAAATGAAATGATGAGATGAAATGTAATGGTGAAATGAGGAAATGAAATGATGAAATGAAATGATGAGATGAAATGAAATGATGAAATGATGAAATGGAATGATGAAATGAAATGATGAAATGATGAAGTGATGAAATGGTGCAATGAAATGAGGAAATGAAATGAAGAAATGAAGTGAAATCATGAAATGAAATGAAATGATGAAAAGATGAAATGATGAAATGAAATGATATAAAATGATGAAATGAAATGATGAGATGAAGTGAAATGATGAAATGATGAAATAATGAAATGAAATGATGAAATGAATCGATGAAATGAAATGATGAAATGATGAGATGAAAAGATAAAATGAAATAAAATGATTAAATGAAATGATGAGATGAAAAGATGAAATGATGAGATGAAATGAAATCATGAGATGAAATGAAACCATGAGATAAAATGATGAAATGATGAGATGAAGTGAAATGATGAAATGAAATGATGAGATGAAATGATGAAATGAAAGAATGAAATGAAAGGATGAAATGATGAGATGAAATGAAAGGATGAAATGAAATGAAATGATGAAATGAAATGAAATGAAATGATGAAGTGGAATGATGAAGTGGAATGATGAAATTATGGCCTGGCTGGCTGGCTGGCATGGCTGGCTGGATGGCTTTGGCTGGGTGGCTTGGCTGGCTTGGCTGGCTTGGTTGGCTGGCAGGCTTGGCTGGCTGGCTGGCTTGGCTGGCTTGGTTGGCTGTGTGGCTTGGCTGGCTTGGCTGGCTGGCTGGCTTTGGCTGGGTGGCTTGGCTGGCTTGGCTGGCTTGGTTGGCTGGCAGGCTTGGCTGGCTGGCTGGCTTGGCTGGCTTGGTTGGCTGTGTGGCTTGGCTGGCTTGGCTGGCTGGCTGGCTGGGGTGGCTCTGTGGCTTGGCTGGCTGGGCTGCCTGGGTGGCTTGGCTGGCTTGGCTGGCTGGCTGGCTGGGTGGCTTGGATGGCTTGGCTCGCTGGGTGGCTTGGCTGGCTTGGGTGGCTCTGTGGCTTGGCTGGCTGGGCTGCCTGGGTGGCTTGGCTGGCTGGCTGGCTTCGCTGGCTGGGTGGCTGGCTGGTTTGTCTGGCTGGGTGGCTTGGCTGGCTTGGCCGGCTGCGTGGCTTGGGTGGCTTGGGTGGCTTGGATGGCTTGGCTGGCTTGGCTGGCTATGTGGCTTGGCTGGCTTGGCGGCTTGGGTGGCTTGGCTCGCTTTGGTGGCTTTGCTGGCTGGCTTGGCTGGCTTGGCTGGCTTGCCTGGCTGGCTGGCTTGGCTGGCTTGGCCGGCTTGGCTGCCTGGCTGGTTTGGCTGGCTTGCTTGGCTGCCTGGCTGGCTGGCTTGGCTGACTGTGTGGCTTGGCTGACTGTGTGGCTTGGCTGTCTTGGCTGTCTTGGCTGGCTGGCTTGTCTGGCTGGCTGGCTGTCTTGGCTGGCTTGGCTGGGTGGCTTGGCTGGCTGGGTCGCTTGGCTGGCTTGGCTGGCTGGCTGGCTTGGCTGGCTTGGCTGGCTGGCTGGCTTTGACTGGGTGGCTTGGCTGGCTTGCCTGGCTGGGTTGGTTGGCTGGCTTGGATGGCTTGGCCGGCTGGGTGGCTTGGCTGGCTTGGCTGGCTGGGCCGGCCTAGCTGGCTTGGCTGGCTGGCTGGCTTGTTTGTCTTGGCTTGGCTTGGCGTGTGCGGCAGCCGAGGCTGGGGCTGTGACTTCTACAGAGGTTGGTGCGACGGGGGGCATCCCTGCCCTCCCAGGGTCTGCCTGTGGGTCATGGGGAACATGGTTCGAGGCCCCTCCTGTAGCCACACAGCAGTGTGTTGCTGCGTGAGTGGTCTTGTCTGCAGGCTTTAGACTCAGCCGGGTCGTTTGTGCCACGTGGGGTCTGCGCCGCCCCAGGGGCCGCATCTCTTTCAGCCACAGGATGTGCATCTTAGGGTTGCAGCAGATGGGGCTCCTGTGCCATGTGGGGTCCAACCCCTTGGCCTGAGCAAGGCGGCCAGTGGGCATTGTGCTGGTGACGACCTCCGGCCTCTGTTCCTTCCCTGGCTCTGAGTCATAAAGGCCTCCCAGTCCCACCTGGGAGCCGTGTCTCCTCTAGGAACTGCTGGGCATGGCTGGGTCCGGTCTGCCTCATTCCTGCATCTGATGCCCAGCAGTTCTTCCCCAACTCCCCCATTCTCTATCTCCCCCTTCTCCTCCATCTCCTCCATCTCCCCCGTCCCCTCCGTCTTGCCCGTCTCCATTTCCTCCAACTCCCCCTTCTCCATGTCATGGCTGTCTAGGCTCCATCCCTCCGCAGGCTCGGTCCCCCCTTGTTCTGGGCAGGGCTCTGGGTGCCGGTCTGGTGCCAGTGCTGGGAGCCTGTGGTGCCCGTCACCCCTGCTCCACCTTGAGGAGCTGTGTCCTGTCCCACGAGGAGGTGCCCCGGGACCTCAGGGCTGCAAGCCATGGCTGGGTCCGGCTCTGCCTCATTCCTGTATCTGATGCCCCCCAGTTCTCCCCCATTTCCCCCTTCTCCATCTCCTCTGTGTCTCCCGTCTCATGGCTGTCCAAGCCCCATCCTCCACCCAGGCTGGGTCCCCTCATTCTGGGAAGCCCATCTTGCCATGCCCATCCCTGCCGCCCCTCAGGACAGCGCTCTGGATGCCGGTCTGGTGCCAGTGCTGGGAGCCTGTGGTGCCCGTCACCCCTGCTGCACCTTGAGGAGCTGTGTCCTGTCCCACAAGGAGGTGCCCGGGGACCTCAGGGCCATGGCTGGCATCGTTGCTGTGGAGTGGCTGTCACCTTTCATGGTCATCCTGCAACAGAGCTCCTGCTGCTTCTGGGTGAACCTGGGGCTGCCCCCGTGAACACTCTTGGGTCTGACATGAAGGGACCCGTGAACACTCTTGGGTCTGACATGAAGGGACCATGTGAGGGAGGGGTGGGGTGGGCTGGGTCCCTGCATGGGGATCGCCAAGGGGTGATGGCCACGAAATGCCGGGGACCCAAGGTTGTCATTCACAGAGGGTGAGGTGGGGATGCCAGAGGCGCCTCTGCCTGGAACACCCTGGCTTCTGTCCTAGCAGGATGCTGGACGCTGGCCACGGTGAGGGTGATGCAGGTGCTTTTCTTGTGGGGTCCCTGGCCCACCTCACACGTGAGCTCTCAGGGAAATGGACCCCCAGAACACGTGGAGGGCAGGACCGCTGGGCTCTGGGTCTCCCCGCAGTGCTGCCGTCCACGAGGACCCCCCACTTCTCCAGCAAAGGTGTGGGTGTGCATGCCCGGCCCTGGCACAGCCCAGAGCATCTGGGGCCGTGGCTGGGGAAGGACGGGGTGCTTGGGGAATGCAGTGGGTATGGGGATGTCGGAGGACACTCGGGTTGTGCAGGAGCCTCACCAGGGATGTGGGTGGGGGACGCTGTCTTTCGTTTCACAGCCCCAGGGAGGCTTCTGATGTCTCAGCCTTGAACCCTAATTGGGGGGCTCCTAGTGTCAGTGTGGGAAGCTGAGGGTCCCAGTCAGAGGTGAACCCCTCACTTCTGGCCCCTCACTCCCATGACCATGGGCTCCAGCTCATAGGTGTGTGTGAGGGGTGTCCTGAGGTGGTGTGGGGCAGACATGCTCTCCCAGATGGGCTCCCCGGAGCTTGGGGCAGGGTGGGGCCTGCAGGCTGTGGCTCCCAGTGTCACTTCCCTGCAGCAGCCACAGTCAGACTCTCCGGCCCTGCACCTGTCCTGTTGTTGGGGACCCTGACCCTTCGCAGACCCAGGTGGGGGCATCCGGGAATTCAGGGGAGCACCTGGTGACAGAGGACACCTTGGGGGCAGCAGCCATTTCCCTGGGAGGTGCGGCCAGTCTACCCACTGCCTGGAGCCCGCACCGTCTCTCCTCAGGGGTCATGGGACCACCCTGTGCATCCACCTCCTTCACAGCCACAGCTGCCAGTAGATTAACGGGGCGTGTGTGCTGCTCTTGGGGTGGTCCCGGCCCGGCCCGGCCCTGCCCTCCCCACCAAGTGCCCAGGGCCGCCCTGCCCGCCTGTGCCCTGCCCTGTAGATGCTGCCACCTCCCTTTCCTGGGGGAGCATTTTGTCTTGTGTGAGGACGGGGTCATTCCCATGGTCACCACCTGTGACCCTCCCCTGCCTGCAGAGGGAACAGAGCTGGGCCTGGGCTTATCCATGTCGGGTGCCCCTGGGGGACCTGGGGGCTCGTGGCCTCCCCTGCACACAGGGCTCCTCCTGGCGGGGCCTCCGAACACCCTCATTTAGGTGTCGCTGCACGTGGCTCCCAGGTGTGGACGTCCCCACTCTGGCGAGGGCTCCTTCCTTCTGGGGTCGTTTGTGGAATGTGGCCTGGGTCCATGGCTCTGGGAGGGAACAGCCCAAGGGTGGGGACCCCTGGCTGGGGAGGAGGCCCCGCAGAGAGGCCCAGACTGTATCCCGATGCATCTGGCGTGGCCGCGGTCCCCCTCCAGCGCCGACGTTTGTAAATTCTGAAAGGAGCCATGCTGTGGCTGAGGGAGCCAAGCCCGTGACTGAAAAATCCTCCAAACATTCATTCAAAAATACAAGTGTGATCGCCAGAAACGCTTTTGTACATTTACACAAAACATTCATACAGGCCATGGCGGAGGCTCCTGTCTAGGACTGGCAAGGCGCCCGGGAGCCGCCGGTCACCCTTGTGCCTACACAGACCCTTTCCAGAAAGATGCAGGCCCTGGAACTGAGGCCGGGTCAAGTCGGGAATGGCAAGTGCCAGAGGGTGTCAGTGTGGGAACCTGTCCTGTTCACGAGCGGCCCTACATGTCCCCCGGGCACAGAGCTCTAGGCAGGTCCAGCCACGAACCCACAGCGGCAATCAACACGCTTCTGTGAATAAATAAAAATTTATCATTCCATGCAAACACACTCATTTTCCACAAAAGACAACAGTTTTTACACAAGCGGCGGTGTCCCAGTGGTGGCCGTGGCACGTGTGGAGCGGCCCCGCAGCGGCGTTCTCATGGGTGGCGTCACAGTGGCTCCAGGTCCTCATCCCCGCATGCATACTCGTACAGGTCCACGGCGCCCAGGGGTGAGGGCACCTCGAAGAAGGGCCTCTGGGCCAGCGGGGACTGCAGCGCACTCAGCTTCTGCTCCACAGGTCTGAGCTCGGCCTCGAACCTGCAACGAGGGGATGGTGAAGACGTGGACAGCGGCGTGGAGCAGGCCCTGGGCCCTGTTTTCCGAGAAATGCAGGCTGCTCCGCAGCCAACCTCCAGCACGAGAAAGTCCCCTGAGCCGACCTTGAGCTCCAGCCGCTGACCCCGCAACAGGCTCCTGGCTGAGAAAGCCGGCTCCACCAACGCTCCCGGGGGAGGGGCCAGCGGTGCAGGTGAAAACCCACCCAGGACGGGACGGAGCCCCAGGCATGAGGTGCACAGAGAGGAACCGGGCGGGCTCATCTTTTCCCCAAAGCGACACGACGGTGACTCTCAGAGGGCAGCCTCTGAGCTGCAAGGGGCCTGTGTTTACACAACTGGGTCATGGTGTCTACACAGGATTGGAGAACAAACGGGACCACAGTTTGGACAAATTCTCCCAAAGCACAGAAGCTCCTAGTGGAGGCCACCACTTCCATTCTGACCAGAACACACAGCAGTGCGAGGACTGGACGCGCACCTTCCGTTAAGGTCTCGGCAGTGACATCGGGCGCTACTCCGGGGAAACCAGCGCGGCCACCGACAACACAGTCTCATAGAGATCCTGCAGGGACACCTCTGCTTTCCAAGATGCCCCCCACAGCCTGGCACTGAGCTCCCACTGCCGGAGCAGGCATGGACACGGTGAAGGCAGTCAACCCCAGTGTGGTGCTGGCCACTGGTCAGGTGTGGAGCAGAGGTGACAGACGGTGGTGGGGACAGGTGCATACCCATCCAGGCTATGTCTGGGGGACACAGCTGCCTCAGGGTGTCTGGCAGGAGAAGGCAGACTGGGAAGTTCTGGGGGAGTGGGGACCCAGAGGTGGGCTGCCAGGTCAGAGCCACTGTGCAAATAACTGATCACAAGGAGGACAGACACACAGGACAGATGGCCCAGGGTAAGAAATTTCCTCAGGAAAGGCTCTGGTAGAGGAATCACAGTTAGATGAACCAAAGCTTCAAATTCTACATTTTCATACATATATATATATATATATATATACACACACACATATACACAACTTTAGCAATAAAAAACAAGTAGACTTTAATACTCGTATACTTTATAATTCATTTTGGAACTGCCTCATTCTCCCTTTAGCTGGTCACTGTGCACCTCGTGTTCTCAGTCTCTCCACCAAAAAAAAAATTTCCTCAGGAAAGGCTCTGAGAGAGGAATCGTAGTTAGATGAACTAAAGCTTCAAATTCTACATATATATATATATATATTTAGCAGTAAAAACAAGTAGACTTTAATACTCTTATACTTTATAATTCATTTAGGAAAAGAAGGAACACCTTTGCAGCTACTCCTGCTAAGTTACCAAGAGTTTTTTCAATACTAATCTTCACAATTCATATTCAAATACTAAGAATCCCTAATCCCTTTTAAAATACATTTGTATTTCCAATAATTTGATATAGGCTCTCAAAAAGTCATTACATTTTGAGGGTAAAATCGAAACAACCTAAACATTAATGCCAAGTAATGAATATAATAGTTCACACATATTAAACAGTTAATTCATATGTGTAATACATTGTTACATATATACTTATACACAAAAACAAACATGTATGTGTATAAAATCTCAACAAATCCGATAAGAATTATTAGAACTAGTAATTAGACACTGTTGTTCTACTTCTGTAACCCATGATCTTAAACCATTATAGAATAAACCTTAAAAGCAATCATTATTTTCAAAGACAATTTTGAAACTTGCCTTGTGCGAGTTAGTAAATAACTGTGCTCCTTGGTTTCCTCATCTGTTACATGGGTAGAACCTACACTGTTACATAAAGATTAGAGCAGTTAATAGATAGAATATTTTAGTATTTATAGATCTAGAATATAAAAAGGAATTAATAAGTTTTAAGGAGAAAAAATAAGGGAAAAATAGTCTCATTTTCAAGCCTACTAAACATAAAATGTTTCTTACATTTAATTTATACATGCAGGGTAGGTCACTATACTAAAAATAAAGCACATTTAATTTGAAATTTTAGAAAGGGTAGATTGTTCTTATTTAGAGAATTGCAATACATTTTAATTTGTGAGCAGGAGGTCATGGTGTTATTTAGAAACAGTGACAAGAAACTTTTTTTGGCTATTATAAATGGAAATGGAAAAAAAGAAAGAAAAGCCAAGAGTAGTCATTTGACTCCAAGAAGTAGTTTTTAAAAACTATTTCATTTGATTATCAGCTTCAGTTTCAAACGTTATATATCTGATAAACAAAACACAAAGGAAAAGCTTGATAATTAACAAAAAACTCTATAGTATTTCCTTTTTTTCATCTTTTTCCAGGTCAGACTCTTGCAAGCACTGGGAAATTAGTGTTTATTTAAGATTTAATGACAATGTTAATGCCACTGTCAATCTGTATTCTTTATCTAGAAAGGCAAATCTGATTTACATTAACCTGAACACCTTAATAACTAATTAAAATCAGCCTTCTGGCTAAGTTCTTAGACATTTATTCTGTTTAACTCAGCAACAAAATATTATTAGTCACTTTCTTTTGAGAAAGGTGAGTCTAATTTATTGGTACTATTAGGGCATTTTATAATCTGCAACCTAATTAGCCTTAACAAAGTATTTTGTACTCAGCATGACTCAAATATTTTACTGAACTTACTGAAAAAGAATGCTGCCATTGCATTTCCACTCTAATATACTGCAGTGATTTTGTGTTTGCACATATTTGTCCATGTCATATGTTTGCTTGAAAGAATGTAAAACAAAGAATGCATATAGATTATTAAAGAAATCCTCCCAAATTTGTTCACATATATTAGATCCTAAAACTAAATAGGTGCTTTTTTCTGAATTGAAATAGATTAACAGAACATATTAACTGAAATAACTGTCCTATTATTTATAATTCTTACCAGACACATGCAATTGAGCCTATGACTGAGGATGAAGACTCTATAAAGGACATCGCTCAAGTATACAATATGATTTTCTTTAATTTTGATCTGAAAGACTTGTTAATAGAAAGACTGAAGTTCTGTCAAACAAATTGATTACATTTCTACTGGATTTCGGAAATACGTAGCATCTGTGATAAATTAAAGTACTTAATCATCACTTATTGTCTTTAGTGTACAATTTATTATATCTCTATTTTTATACCCCTCAAAGTATTTGCAAAATTAATAGAACTTTCTTAAGAATACAGTGACTGTCCTCAAAATCCACTTAAAATTGGTAGCCTCAAATTTATATTTCATCTACTCTTCCAAAATAATTATTGTATTGTTGGTTTTAAATCTAACATCTCACTATTTTCTATTTTATCATATGCTTTTCTGATGCATTTTTTTTTCTGCTTTATGTTGATTTTTATGATCTTTTTTTTCTTTATTAGGTTTTAGGTGTAACTCTTTTTATTTTTGTAGTTACTTCATAGTTCATAATATGCAGCTTTAACTTATCACAGTCTACCTTCAAATGATATTACATCACTCAGACTGATTTGTGAGTACAGAGAGACTGGGCAGGGACATATATGATGAATCAGAAGCACCTGACTCTTTTAAAAGGCTCACTAATCTTAGTAAAATAAACCCATACAGAAAATTCTTTTATTTTAAGGTGAGTAAACATGCACACACATGGCCCTTCAAGGTCATTCTGTCAGTCAGCCTTAATCCAACCCATGAGATACCAATTTGCTAGTTTATGATCATTGCCATAGAACAGTTTTTTTTATTTTAAATTCTAAGTTTAAACTGAAGATTCAATGGAGGTGGAACTAGTTTTCTTTTTGAGCAAGAAAATAACTCAATTAAATGTACTATGTCTCAAAATATGCAGTATACACACCATCATGAAAACGAGACAAGAGTAAATAAATTATGACATCTAGAAAATTAGGTAAGACACTGTTCAATAATGAGGCAAAATAGGATGTGGATGTCACCTACGCTATCAAATAGAAATGTGGGGTTTCATCGAATAAATCTGAGGTTGAGTGTATAGAACATTATTTCAAATATGTCTTGATTTGTATTTAAACTTATATCCTATAAAATCATGCAGAATATGAGGAGTCATTATCTAATTTTAAGTAGGAAAAATATGAATCAGTACTAATAATAAAAACTAATAATTTACTCAATGCCAGGCAATGTTTCTAGTGTTTTACATTTTCAGAAAACAATTATAACTGTGAAGAAAACAATTCTTCACTTTTCAAGAAAGAAAACCAAAGTAATGAGAAACTAAGTAAGTGGCCCACCCAAGGTCGTATAGTTAAGAAATGACTAAGTTGTAGACCTTATAGACCTTAACATGTTTTATTTGTTTGCTTGTTTTGAGATGGCATCTCACTCTGTCGCCCAGGCTGGAGTGCAGTGGCACGATCTCGGCTCACTGCAAGCTCTGCCTCCTGGGTTCATGCCATTCTCCTGCCTCAGTCTCCCAAGTAGCTGGGACTACAGGCGTCCACCACCATTCTCGGCTAATTTTTTTGTGTTTTTAGTAGAGACAGGGTTTCACCATATTAGCCAGGATGGTCTCGATCTCCTGACCTCGTGATCCATCTGCCTCGGCCTCCCAAAGTGCTGGGATTACAGGCATGAGCCACCACACCCAAGAGACCTTAACATGTTTTTAAGTAAAATGTATTATTTTTCATGTATAATGTTTGCTCTGTCTCTCATATATACATAAAAATATAATCATGAAGAGAATTATAATAGCCAACTTTATATTTCAGAGATATTGGCTTGGCATTGCTTTCAGCAGGTATTTTGACATTAGCCTCTGGAGTGGAGTTGGGGACAGGTTGATTTCAATGTTTCAAAAATATATGAGAACTGTGAACCTATGTTAGTGGATTGCCTATTCGTGACTTCTAGTTGAACACTATCAAAATTGACAACTAAAAAAAAAATGAAATGAGAGAAAATGTTTATAGCACTTAAGAGGATAAATTAGTTTCTTTATGTCTAGATTTTATATTAAATAAAGAGCTTTCAGGAAAAGTAAATGACAGTTAATGATTTTGATTATAATCAGTCAGATTTTTTCCATATTTGAGCAAAAATTGTAATTGACTTATCCACTGCTTTCAGTGTAGATTAGCTGAATCATCTAACTTATGTCATCTCTTATAAAAATATTGATTGAGATGAAAAATGAATAAATGATTTATCTTAAAACAGTTCTATGTTGATAATATAAAAAATACTGACAGTTTCATCTAAAATATGTTTGGATAAGCTACATTATATATGATTCAGATTCATATCTTATGTATAATTTTTATATGATATTTGATTTGGTTCATACACAAAGGAACAAATGTTTCTATGTAAGAAAGTTATTTTGCTTATTACAGAATTTAAAACTAAAATGATTCTTCCACGATGGCCATTTAACAATTTAAATTTAGGAAACATCTGGCATGTTCAACTGAGTATTTACTTTGCATAATTGTGTTCCATATCTTAATGCATTCCCTTTAGCAGTTTCTTTCAGCAAGCAACACATGTAAACTTGTTTCTCGCTAAATATTTTTTATTTAGCAAAGTTTTAGACCTAGAGATTTAAAGAAAAATTGCAAAGATGTTACAAAGATGAACTCTTGAACCGAATCTTTTATTTTTAAGCATGCAAAATGGTGTGGTTTTTTAAAACCCTGAAGACATAAATGTACAACTGAGAACCCAAAGAAAATTGGACTGTTTTGTTTTGTGATTTGATGTCTGAAAAATAAAATCCTTTAGTTTCCTTTCATTTTTCCTGAGAGAATATAAACTGTGTTGTGATGTCAAACTCATTCTGAGTTTAGATGCCCCATGGGCAAATCGTTTCATCTAATTAAAACAAAATGAAGACAAATCTCTTACACATAAATCTTTGATGGTGGGAAATGTAGCTTCATGTTTTTAAAGCCTTCACAGAAGACAAAGTACCTCTCAATCTTGTAACTCTACTTTTTATAGCTACCTAATTATTAAGGCATATTTGATATACTGTAATCAATTTATATTTGTGTTTTGTTTAATAATTGGGATCCTTTGGACTGTTTGCTGCAAATATCCTATATTTAAAAAAAAAACTTTGTCTAAATATATCATGTAGAAAAATATTTATACCTAAAAATATAAACTCCATTAACAAAAATTGTTCAGCAAAACTCTATTAATTCAATACACTGTATGGTTAATTTTTGTAGCCAATTTTTCCTTTTCTTCTCTCTAATGATGTGATGTTCTTCAATGTCTTCTGAAAACTTGAGCATAGGAAGTTGGAAGTGTATAAAGCAAAACAAATAGTAAGGAGATAATTTAGAATGCTAATTTTTGAAGGGGAAATATAAATTTTACAACTCTTAGATTGCATTTTAAATTTATATTATCTGTATTTAAGTATTTAAGTTGATTTTCACCAGTGTGTTAGTGTGTTTGTGTTGTTGTAAAACAAATAACTAAGACTGGGTCATTTATAAAGAAAATAGATTTATTTGGCCCTTGGTTCTGCAGATTGTACACAATGCATAGTGTCAGCATCTGCTTGTGGTGAGGGCCTCAGGAAGATTACAATCATGGCAGAATTTGAAGGGGAGCCAGCATGTCATAGGGCAAGAGAGGGAGCAAGAGAGAGAGAGGGAAGGTGCCACACTCTTAAACAACTAGATCTCCTGTAAACTCTTTACCACTTATTACCCAAGGGAGGGAACCAAACCATTCATGAGGGATTTGCCCCCATGACCTAATACCTCCCACTAGGCCTCACATCCAACAATACAGGTCACATTTTAATATGAGATTTGGAGGGGATAAAACATCCAAACCATATCAACTGTTCACTGCTAACTACTAAATCAAAGAATTAATTTTTTACAGGCAATGTATTTTTTTTCTTCATTCAAAAGAAAAATACTTGACTGGACCTTATGAGGAGAAAATGTTAATCTCTTGCAGTTTTTAATTAAATAAAATAATTTGAGGCTATTTTTGCAAATTAAGGCCATTGAGAAGGACTCTAGACTGTAAAAAGATTCCAGACATTTTCTATAAACATATTTCATTATATATATATATATATATATATATATATATATATAGTTGTTATCATAGTAGATTTACACCATTGCCATCTGGAAGTAATTCCCTTATTCAACACAGAAGGATTTCTCATCCTTCTCCTAAATATTTTCTTCTAGCTCAGAGTGCCTGTGGCCAAAAACAAGAGATTTTAAAACAACAACAAAAACAAAAAATTCTGCTATCCCCATATGGGTTATCTTTCTTTTGTAGTCTTCTTTTTACTTGAGTTAAAATATTTCCTTTGAATTCAGACTGACAAAGATATTGAAGGACATCGAATGTCGTTTAGAGCACTGTTCCTGCGCCTGTTTTCACTAGATCAATAGTGGAGGTGACTGGAGATATTGGAAGAAAGAAATAAACTAGGGTAGCTCATATCACCCATTCCATGTTTTTTGTCTTTAGGATGTCCCAGCCTGCAGTGAAAATGAATTCTGTTCTGCCTCTGCTATGCGGTAAATTTAGCAATAAAGTTTCTGCTCTGTGCCCTGTACTGGAGTGTAGTGTAGGAAAATCCCTGTTGCTAAGCACCACGCCAACAACACCATGAGCTACAGAGCTCACATGTTTATTTCATTATGCTTTACTTCTGTTTTTTTTTTTTTTTTTTTTGTTGTTGTTTTGAGATGGAGTCTGGCTCTGTAGCCCAGGCTGGAGTGCCATGGCGCGATCTCGGCTCACTGCGAGCTCCGCCTACCTGGTTCACGCCATTCTCCTGCCTCAGCCTCCGAAGTAGCTGGGACTACAGGCGCCCACCACCACGCCCAGCTAATTTTGTATATTTTTATTAGAGACGGGGTTTCACCGTGTTAGCCAGAATGGTCTCGATCTCCTGAGCTCATGATCCACCTGCCTCGGCCTCCCAAAGTTCATTATGCTTTATTTCTATGTCTATCTTGAATTGTTTCATATTCAGAGAAAACAGGAAGGTAAGTTGTTAACATTCTTCATTGCAACAAATTTTTAGAACTAATTCTATATTGAGGAATGTCTTACATTTTAACCAAAACCTTTTGATAAATTACAAAGTTGCTGAATATATCTAGATCTAAATCTTAAACTATATCTATAGCTATTATATAGATGTATATGATTTATCAAGAGCTATTATCTGGAATATATACTTGATTCCTTTTACAATTTTCATAATGTAACCAGAAAATGACCCTTGAGATCCTTGAGAGTGATTATATAAACATACCCTTGATTTGCTATCTCCAGCCTAATTATCACAGTTAAAATTTTGGTATCAAAAATGGAGCAAAGATAATAAGACTTGTAAAGCAGCAGACCTTACAAAATGTTAAAAACAATTTTATTTACATAGTGCATCCACACAGACCTAATTATATGTATTAAACCTAATGTTTAACATTATTAGCAAGTCAGAGAATTTAGAAAAATCAGACATAATTTTAGATAAAATAAATATTAATACTAGTCATTAATATAATCCCTGTTTGATAAAATGACTATATGAAAATAACTGCCCTCAAATTATTTTCAGCTCACATATTTTTAATGAAAGGAGATGGTGGCTGGAGGCAGTGGCTCACGCCTATAATGACAACACTTTGGGAGGCCAAGGCCGCGGATCACTTGAGATCAGGAGTTCAAGACCAACCTGGCCAACCTGGTGAAACTTTATCTGTACTAAAAATACAAAAGTTAGCTGGTTGTGGTGGTGGGCGTAATCCTAGCTACTCAGGAGGCTAAGGCAGGAGAATCACTTGAACACAGGAGGTGGAGGTTGTAGTGAGCCAAGATGGTGCTACTGCACTCCAACCTTTGTGAGAGATCAAAACTCTGTCTCAATGAATAAATAAACAAGGAGATGGTATGGAATCATTATTAATTTTGGGCCCCTCATGTTAGCTAATATGTTTAAACCTAGGTCAAGATAGAAACTGACCCAGATTATTACCATGTTTCAGTGCATAATATTTTAAAATAATTCAACACTGACACATAATACTATGCTATTCCACTTAGATATAAAAAAATGGTAAGAGAAGTCTCATGTTCTTGTCCCGGCATGGTCACTTACACCTGTAATCCTAGCACTTTGGGAAGCCAAGTGGGGAGGATCCCTTGAGGCCAGGAGTTTGAAACCAGACTAGGCAACACAGTGAGACCTATCTCTACAGAAAATTTAAAAACTAGCTGGGCATTGTGGCAAGCACCTGTAGTCCCAGCTACTGGGGAGGCTGAGGAGGGAGAATTGCTTTGCTCAGGAGTTCCAGGCTACAGTGAGCTATGATCACATCACTGCACCCCAGCCTGCGTAATACAGTGAGACCCTGTCTCTTAAACAAACAAAAAATAATCCCAGAACTCTAATGTTCTTATATGATATAGGACTTTTAAAAATTAGCCAGGCATGGTGGCGCATGCCTGTAGTCCCAGCTACTTGGAAGGCTGAGGCACGAGAATCACTTGAGCCTTGGAGGTGGAGGTTGCAGTGAGCCGAGATCATGCCACTATACTCCAGCCTGGATGATAGAGCGAAACTGTCTCAAAATAAATAAATAAATGAATGAAAGTACACCGAAAGTTTTAACTTAACAAATTTTATTTATGCCTCACATTGATGGAGTGATAAAAACAAATAAGTAATACTAATGAACGTATAGGATATTTTACAATTTTTTTAAAAATTAGAACTTTATGTATACAAAGTAATTTAATTTTTTTTTTGTTTTTTTGAGATGGAGTCTCGGTCTATCACCAGGCTGGAGTGCAGTGGTGCGATCTCAGCTTGCTGCAACCTTTGCCTCCTGGGTTCAAGCAATTCTCCTGCCTCAGCCTCTCCAGTAGCTGGGACTACAGGCACGCAGCACCACACCCGGCTAATTTTTTGTATTTTTAGTAGAGATGGGGTTTCACCATGTTGGCCAGGATTGTCTCGATCTCTTGACCTCATGATCCACCCGCCTCGGCCTCCCAATGTGCTGAGATTACAGGTGTGAACCACCATGCTCGGCTGCAAAGTGATTTAAATTTATCAACAATTTTATCTTAACGCAAAATTTTTGTCATTTGTGATATTTTCCAATAGCTTATCCGAATTCCTTAGGATCAGATTTCAAAATAAGATTTCCAAGTCAGATTCTTTGAAATTACAATCCAAAAATATTTAGATTTTAGAAAGGTAATGTGGTAAATATTCTGCCTATTATGGAATAACTCTAGTGGCAAATCATATGAATAATCACATGAACTGGGATCAATAAGACTATAAATACCCCTGGTCAGGTGCAGTGGCTCACACCTGTAATCCTAGCACTTGGTGAGGTTAAGGTGGGTGGATCACAAGGTCAGAAGATCGAGACCATCCTGGCTAACACAGTGAAACTCTGTCTCTACTAAAAATACAAAAAATTAGCTGGGCATGGTGGCAGGCACATGTAGTCCCAGCTACTCGGGAGGCTGAGGCAGGAGAATGAATGGCGTGAACCCAGGAGGTGTAGCTTGCAGTGAGCCAAGATTGAGCCACTGCACTCCAGCATGGGTGACAGAGCAAGACTCCGTATCAAAAAAAAAAAAAAAATTAGCTGGGTGTGGGCAGGTGCCTGTCATCCCAGCTACACGGGAGGCTGAGGCAAGAGAATTACTTGAAAACAAGAATTGGATGTTGCAGTGAGCCAAGATCATGCCATTGCACTCCAGCCTGGGCAAGAGCAAAAACTCTGTTTAAAAAAAAAAAAAAAAAAAAAAAAAAACTATAAATACCCCTACATCAGCATAGATCAGATTTTCCAAAACTTAGGTTTAGGTATTCATAACTGTTGAATTTTGTAATTCCACATGAAGAATTGTAGATCTGCATATATTTTCAAATACTAATATTTATAATTACATAGTTTATAATTTATAAGTCCAATTTTTGGTTATTTTCATTATTAATACTTTTCCAGTCATCTACCCTTTCTAAAAGAGAATACAAAATGCTTCTTTTCCTTTTTTTTTGTTTTCAAGGCTAGAACCAAGATGGGGCAAAGGCCGGGGCAGATCTAGGGCACAAGCAGGGCAGGCTAGGGCAGGGCAATGGCAGGGCCAGCCATGGCAGGGCACAGGTGGGGCAGGGTCAGTGCCACGGCTGGGGCAGGACAAGGACGAGGACCGGGGTCCAGGCCAGGGCAAGGGTATGGCCAGGGCAGAGGTAGGGCCAGAGCCAGGGTCTGGGCAGGACCAAGGCAGGTCCATTGCAGGGCCAGGGTTCAGACCAGGGCCAGAGTAGGGCTGGGACAGGGCCAGGGCCAGGACCTGGAAAGGGCAATGTCAGGACAAGGGCCATGGCAGGACCAGCAACGGGGCTAGGGCCAGGACAGGGACAGGGAGAGGGTCAGGGCTAGGGCCAGAATAGCATACCAGGGTAGAGCCAGGCCAAATTAGGGCCAGGACAGGGTCAGGACCAGGGCTGGGTCAGTGTATGGCCTTAAGTATTGAAGGGCCAGGGCCAGGGTCCATGCCAGTGCCAGCGCCGGTCTAGGGCAGAGGCAGGGCTATGGCCAGGTCTAGGACAAGGCTGGGGCAGGGCCAAGTTCTGGGTCAGGGTCAGCACAAGACCAGGACAGAGCCAGGAGAGGGACAAGGCTGTGGTCGGGCCAGGTTAACTCAGGGACAAGACACCTGAAAATCCACTTCAGGGCCAGGGTCAGGGCAGCACCAGTTCAGGGCCAGGGCCAAGACAGGGCCAGGGCCAGAGCTGTCAGGGTTATTGGCAGGGCAAGGGCCATGGCAGGACCAGGGTCAGGAGCAGGGGTCAATGCCAGGCCAAGGCCACAGATAGGACCAGGTCTGTGCTAGGGCCAGTGTGAGAGCCAAGGCAGGGTCAGGGCAGGGCCAAAGGGAGGGCAGGGCCAGGGCAGGGTGGAGCAGGCCCAGGGTAGCACAGGGTTAAGGTAGGGCACGACCAACCAGGGCAGGTCTATGGCTGGGGCTGTGGCAGGGCCACGTCCAGGGCAGGGCCAGAGCCAGGGCAGGGCCAAGACAGTGGCAGCTCCAGGGCAGGGCCAGGGTTAGGACCACGGACATTTCCAAGGCCAGTGCCAGGGCAAGGGCAAGGGCAGGGCAGGGCCAGGTTCATCTAAGAACCAGGGACAAAGCCAGGCCCACAGCAGGGCCAGGACAAGCACCTGGCAGGGCTAGCATCTGGGACAGGGCCATGGCAGGGCCAGGGCCACAAGCAGGTCTGTGCTATGGCCAGGTCCAACACAGTGCCCAAGTAAGGCTAGGGTGAAGGTCAAGGTAGGGCCAGGGCAGGGTCAAAGCCAGGCTAGGGCCAAGGCAGGGGCAGGGCCGGAAGGCAGGGCCAGGAAAGCATAGGGCCAAGGCAGGGCAGGGCCAGGCCAGTGCCAAGACCTGGGCAGGGCCAGGGAACAGCCAGGGCAGGGCCAGGGCCAGGGCCATGGCCATGGCCTGGGCAGGTCCAGGTTTGGGGCAGGAGCAAAACAAGGGCAAGGACAGTGCAGGATCTTGGCACAGCCAGGGTCCAGGATAGTGTCAGGGCAGGGCCAAGGCAGGGTCTGGGCCATGGTAAGACCAGCAACAGGGCTGGGGCTAGGCCAGTGACAGGACCAGAGTCAGAGCAAGGGCCAGAGCAGTGCAAGGCCAGGGTAGGGCCAGGCATTTCAGGGTCAGGGCCAGGGGAGAACCAGGACAAGGTCTCAAGCAGGGAAGGGCCAGGGCCAGGGCCAGGGCCAGGACAGGTCCAGGGCAGGGCCATGACAGGGTCAGGGGCTGCGTTAGGGCAAGGGCAGGGCCAGAGCAAGGTAAGGGTCAGGGCCAAGGCTGGGGTAGGGACAGGGCAAGAAATATGTCAGGACCAGGGGCAATGCCAAGGCCAAGGCTGGGCCAGGGCTGAGCCAGGCCAGAGTCAGGGCAGGGCAGGGCAGGGCATGGTATGACCAGTGCAGGACAGGACAAGAGCCGGTCCACAGAGAGAGCAGGGCTGATGCCAAGAAAAAGCCACGCTAGTGTCAAGGCTGAGGAAGTGTCAGAGCATATCCAGGGCAGGGCTGGGTCCAGGGCCAGAATCGAGCCAGGGCACAGCCAAGGCAGGGTAGGGCAGGGAAATAGCAGCAGGGCCTAGCGAAGACTAGGGTGAGGGCTAAGGTAAGGCCAGGGCAGGGTCAAAGGCAGAGTAGGGCCAGGGCAGCATGATGACACATCCAGAGCACAGCAGGGCAGGGTGATGGCAAGACCAGGGGCAGACCACTGCCAGCTCAGGGCCAGGGAAAGGCCAGTGCAGGGCCAGGAAAGGGTCTGGGTCTGGGTCAGGGCCAGGAACAAGGCAGAGGAGGGCCAGGGCCATGGCAGAGTCAGGGCAGGTCCTTGACAGGACCAGGTTCCAGGCCAGGGCCAGGGCAGCAGCAGGGGCAGGGCCTGGATAAGGGTAGGGCCAGGGATATGCCAGGACCAGGGCTAGGGCCAGGGACAGGCCATAGTGAGGGCAGGGCAAAAGCCAAGGCAGGGTCAGGGCAGGTCCAGGGAGCGGCCAGCACCAAGCGGGGCCAAGGCACAACCATTGGGTAAGGCAGGGCAATGGCACCACTGGGCCATGACAGGGCAAGGTCAGTGCCAGGAGAGGGCAGAACAGGCAGGCCCATGGTGGGGCCAGGGCAGGGATGGGCCAAAGCAGGGCCAGGACATGTCCAAGGCCAGGTCAGGGCCAGAACAGGAGCAGGACCATGACCATTGGCAGGGCCAGTGCCACGACAGGACAAGGGTCAGGACAAGGGGCAGGGCCAGAGCCAGGGCCAGAGCCAAGGTCAGGCCAGTGCAGGTTCAGGGCAGGGCCAGTGTCAGGGCAAGACCAGGGCAGGGACAGGGTATCACAGGGCCAAGACAGGGTCAGGATGGGACCAGAGCAGGACTTGGCCGAAACAGTCCAGGTAATAGTAGGGCAGGTACACGGCAAGGCAGGGCAGTACAGGGCCAGATCCATGGCAGGGGCAGGACAAAGCCAGGCCTATTGCCAATGCACCAGTCCTCCCTACAAGGCTCCTACCACCTGGCCACTGCTGCAGCCCGTCCATCACTGCAAGCCTGACCCCCAACCCTGGCTGCAGCCGCCTGCCCTCCTAGCGCGGCCGCTCTCCTACCGCTCCGGCGCACTGCAGTCTCCGTTGCTGCCACCCACCTGCAGCGAGGCGAGCCATGGTGTCGCAGGCTCTAGGTGTCTCCTCCTCCTCCTGGCATGGAGCAGCTGGGCGGGCAAAGCCAGAAAAGCCTAGAGGAAGATGTGAGGGGCGGAAGGGTTAGAGCCTCAACTTGTCATGCTGGCCACTGGGTGGCAGGGGCCAGTTTCAGCAAAGGCACTCACACCCACCCTCCAAAGTCCAGCCTCTCCTTTTGGTCCAAGCTGGCCCGGAACTGGAGTCTGGGGTGGGTGCTGGAGATACCACAGCACCCAGCTCCCCACTCCACAGGAATCATTGGGCCCACTGGGGCTGCACTCCTCGGGGAGCAGGAGAAGCAGAAAAATTCAGACCCAGCCAACCCTCCGCACCTAGGTGCCAATTCCTGTTCCAGACGCCTCCACACACAGGGCCCTGTCCCCCGTGGTGTCCCCAGGGGTGCCTGGCAGCCTCTGAGGCACAGACCCAGAGTGCACAGGCCCAGGAACCACGGTGGGTGTGGGGGCTCTGCCATGCTCAGGATTCCCACGCAAACGCTGCATGCCTGCTGCACTCCAGTATGACCAAGAGTGGGTCGCCCTCTGGAATGTGGAGTCAGGGAGAGGAGAACCACTCCTTCCTTGGATGCCAACTCTCCTGACCGCCGTCAGCAGTGCAGCCACTGATAGCACCGAACTCGCCCCCCCTCCACGGCTAGTCCTGCCCTCAATAGCGCCCCCCACCTCCGTCCCCCAATGCCACCAGTAGCGTATACCCTATAGTGCCCTAACGTGTCCTCCTCCATGGGCATTGCAGCCCCAGAAAGTGCCCATAACCCACCCTCCCTGCCGTGGGAAGTGCAGCCCTGTACAGTGCTACCAACCAGTACCCCTAATGCAGGCAATGACACCCTGCATAGCGCCCCCAACCCACCCCACACTGCAAAAGGTGCAGCCCTGGATAGCCCCTGTCCTACCACTCTGGTCGTGCTGCACACTCTGTCACCGCCACCACCAACCACAGTGAGGCAAGCCAGTGGTCCACAAGCTCTAGCACCCAGCAGCCAGGCATGGAGCAGCTCTCACCGATGGCCAGCTCCTACCACTCTGACCACGCTGCTGTCTCCCTGGCCATCTTCTTTGACTACAAAGGAATAAAACTAGGTATCAGTAAGAAGAGTAATTTTGGAAACAATACAATCACATGGAAGTTAAACACTACCCTCCTGAATAAATGACTAGCGGGTCAATGAAGATACTAAGACAGAAATTCAAAAATTTCATGAAACAAAGGGTAATGAAAACACAGTATACCAAAACTTGTTACGCAGAAAACAGTACAAAGGCAGAGATTTACACTATAAGTGCCTACCATCCAAACAAAAGAAAAACTTCAAATAAACAATACATCTTAAAGAACTAGTAAAGTAAGAACAAACTAAACCGAAATTAAGAAAATAACTAAGATCGTAGCAGAAATAAAATTGAAATAAGAAACACACAAGATTAAATGAAAAGTTGGTTTTCTGGAAAGCTAAACAAAATTGACAAACTTTTAACCAGGCTAACTAAGAAAAAAGAGACAAGATTCAAATAAAATCAACAGATTAAAAAAAAGGAGACACTACAACTAATAACTTCAGAAATTCAAAGGATCATAACTGGCTATTACATGCCAATAAATTGGAAAGCCTAGTAGAAATTGGCAAATTCCTAGATGCATAAAACCTACTTAGGTTGAATAATGAAAATATCCAAGACCAGAACAGATTGGTAACAAGTAATGAGATTGAAGCCATCAGAAAAAGTCTCCCAGTAAAGAAAAGCCCAGGAACTGATGTCTTCACTGCTGATGGCTTCACACCAAACAATTTAAAGACCTTGTACGAATCCTACTCAAACTATTTTGAAAAACAGGAGGGAATACTTCCAAACTTATTCTATGAGACCATTATTACTGTGATACCAAAATCAGACAAAGGCATCAAAGAAGGAAACTACAGGCCAGTATCTCTAATATTGATGCAAAAATCCTCAACGGAATACCAGTGAATCAAATTCAGTAATACATTAAAAAGATAATTCATCATGATCAAGTGGAATGTATCCCTGGGATGCAAGGGTCACTCAACATACAATGTGATGCATCATATCAACTAAATAAATGACAAAAACAGTATGATCATGTCAACTGAAACTGAAAAAGCATTCGATGAAATTCAACATCCCTTCATGCTATTAATCCTCAAATAAACGGGTACAGAAGAAACATACCACAACATAATAAAAACTACAGGAAAGACACCCACAGCTAGAATCATATGGAGGGAGGTCCAGGCTGCAGTGATCTGTGATCCCACCAATGCACTCCAGCCTGGGCAACAGAGTGAAACCCTGTCTTAAAAAAATATGTAAAAAGAGGTATGAGCCTCTTTTATAGGTGCAGTGACTCACATCTGTAATGCTAACACTTTCTGGGAGTCTGAGGTGAGAGGATCTCTTGAGGCCAGGAGTTCAATATCAGCCTGGGCAACATAGCGAGACCCTTCATCTACAAAAAAATTTAAATATTTGCCAGGTGTGGTTGCATGTGCCTGTATTCTTAAACAATTATCAGATGACCCAGATAGTCTATTCCTTAGGGATATACCCAAGGGAAATGAAAATATACATCCACACTAAAATTTGTACACAAATGTTCATAGCAGCATTGTTCATAATAGCCAAAAATTGGAAAAAAAACTCAAGTGCCTATCAACAGAGGAACTGATAAAATATGGTATATCCATTCAAAAGATTACTCAGCATTAGAAAAGAGTGAAGTGCTGATATACGCTACAGCATGGATAAACCTTGAAAACACTGTGCCAAGTGAAATAAGTCAATCACAAAAGACCATATGTAGTAAGATTTCATTCTGTGAAATCTCCAGAAGAGCTAAACTCAGAGACAGAAAGTAAGCTAGTTATTGCCAGGGACGAGAGGAAAAGGGAATAAGGATGACTGCTAATGGGTATGGGATTTCTTGTGGACTGATGAAAATGGTCTGAAAGTATCTAGACACCTGTCTTGTTTGTGTGATTCTGTGAACATATTATAAACCATAAAATTCTGCACTCAAGGGGTTGATTTCATGGTAGGTGAATTTATCTCATTTATCTTTATCTCAATAAAGCTTTCTAAAGAAACTTTAAAAAGACATCTGTATAACCTACAAAAATAACACACTGAGAGACTAAAATGCCTAATTTTTCCATTTTTCTTCTTCAGCGCAATCTGAAGTCAAAAAGTCTTTCCTTCCTATGTATGCATATTTTGTCCAGTGAAACAAGAAACTCTATTAATTTTTTTATTAGAAATAAAAAAAAGCCATGTGTGCTGGCTCACAGCTGTGCTTCCAGCTACTCAGAAGGCTGAGGCAGAAGGATCACTTGAGGCCAAGACTGGGAGTTCAAGACCAGCTGAGGCAACATAGCTAGATCCTGTCTTTAAAAATATTTTTTAGGCCAGGCACGGGGGCTCACGCCTGTAATCCCAGCACTTTGGGAGGCCAAGGAGGGCAGATCATTTGAGATCAGGAGTTCAAAACCAGCCTGGACAACATGGTGAAACCCCATCTCTACTAAAAATATAAAAATTAGCCAGATGTGGTGGTGGGCACCTGTAGTCCCAGCTACTTGGGAGGCTAAGGCAGGAGAATTGCTTGAGCCAGGAGGGTGGAGGCTGCAGTGAGGCCAAGATCATGCCAATGCACTCCAGCCTGGGTGACAGAGCAAGACTCTGTCTCAGGAAAAAAAAAAAAAAAAAATATATATATATATATATATATATGTATATACACACACACACACATATACATATATATGTATATATATATTTTTAAGTTAAAACCCTCCTGAAATGAAATAAAATAAAATTCGACTTAATTAAAAAATAGTTCCTGAAATATTAATTTTCAAACAATTCTATTTTAGCTTTGACTCTGAACAAAATATAAACGTCAATTTCAAAATATCACAAAGATTGGCTGGGGGCAGTGGCTCATGCCTGTAATTCCAGCACTTTGGGAGGACGAATCAGGTGGATAATTAGAGGCCAGGAGTTCCAGAGCAGCCTGGCCAACATAGGGAAACCCAGTCTCTACTAAAAAAATACAACAAAAATTACCCGGGTCTAGTAACCCCAGCTACTCAGGAGGCCGAGGCATTAGAATCGCTGGAATCTGGGAGGTGGAGGTTGTAGTGAGTGGAGATCATGCCACAGCACTCCAACCTGGGCGACAGACTGAGTCTGTCTCAAAAAAATAAAAATAAGGCCAGGTGCCGTGGTTCACGCCTGTAATCCCAGCACTTTGGGAGGCCAAGGTGGGCAGATCACTTGAGGTCAAGGAGTTTGGGACCAGCCTGGGCAACATAGTGAAACCTCCTCTCTACTGAAAATACATAAATTAGCTGGGCATCGTGGCACACACTTGTAATGCCAGCTACACCAGAGGCTGAGGCAGGGGAATCGTTTGAATTCGGGAGGTGGAGGTTGCAGTGACCTGAGATTGTGCTACTGCACTCCAGCCTGGACGACAGAGTGAGACTCCATCTCAAAAAAAAAGAAAAAAAAAGAAAAATTTAAATTTAAAATTTAAAAAAATCACAAAGACTACAAATACTCAGGTTTAAGCAAATTCCCGCCTTTCTCGAATTAACAGTAATTCATATTTGCTTTGTCAAAAATGTTGATATTTACCTGCCTCAACAGAATGAAATCCTAAAAGCCTAGTGTTCTCAAATGATGAAGAGAAAGACACATGCATATTTTAATTTAGAATTTTGATTCAGAATTAATTTTAATCTAGCTGGAGTATACATAATCGTTTATGTATTTATTTACTTATTTAAGAGACTGGGTTTCACTGTGTTATCCAGGATGGAATGCAGTGGCACAAGTTGGCTCACTGCAACTTGTACGTCCTGAGCTCAAGCGATCCTCCCACCTCAGTCTCCAGAGTAGCTGGGACTTCAAGTGCACGCTACCACACCCAGCTAATTTTTGCGGAGACGAACCTCGCTATGTTTCCCACACTGGTCTCTAAGTCCTTGGCTCACTACAGCCTCAAGCCCCTGGGCTCAAGCAATCTGCCTCCCAAAGTGATGAGATTACAGGAGTGAGCCACCGCAATCGGCCTAGTGGATAGTGTATACTAAGCAACATATACCCTGCTTTTGCCTAGAACATACTGAAAACATGGCATTAAAACAATCACAAAAGTTGGGAGCTGAGAAAAATCATATACTGTAAAACAAATCTGACAGATATTAATCTCAGGAAGCTCCTGAAAATGTCTCAAGAACTCCTATGCTGCACTCTCCCTAATAATTTAGACTTTCTACAGATATTTTCTGATCATCTACCGTGTGTCAGGCACCATGCCAGGTACCAAGATGCCATGGTGAGGAATACACAAAACCGGCTCCTGCTTGCAGGACACCTACTCTCTCAAACAGTGCTTGCCAAGCTCGACTGATCACAACTTGGGAGCTTGTTTAAGTTCCAAATCGGCTTCCCTGCTTAGGTGAGCCACAATCCGTGGCATTTTTATCAGGTGCTCCCAATGATTCCTACGCTCTAACGGGTTTGGGAGGAAAGGGTGGGGGTTAGCTCGAGAGCCCAGACCCATCCCGTCCAGCGGGGGCCCCACCTCTAAAGTCCATGTCGCTCAGCATCCTTCCCCCTGACTAGTGGCCCAAACACAGCAGGAAGCTGAGGTGGGTGGAACGCTTTCCAAAACAGCACTCTGTGATGAGCCACCGACAGACTTGCTCACCTCCGGGGACGAAGAGCTCCCTCCTCACAAACCCCACCCAGGAAAGGTAGCACCTGAGCCTCCCGGGCTGCACTGACACCTGTCTCCCCGCGGGTGCCGCCTACTGCTCCAGTGGACTCCAGTCCCCAGGTTCCGACCCACGGGGACTGGGGAGAGTGGGGGAGGCGCCGCGAGCATTAGGCGCCGACTGTATACCGACACCCCCTCTCCGGTGTGCGCAGGCCAACACCCATACACACCCTCACACACCCACACCCACTCTAGTGGAAACTGAGGCAGGCAGGCTTTGGACCAGGTCCCGCCGCCTGAAGGCTCGCAGCTGGGATGGAACCCGGACTGCGAGACGCCTTCCGCCTCACAGGCGCTCCTCAGCCTCAGGCCCGGCCTGGCTCCCACCGCCGGAGTTTCACAAAGAAAGTCTCCCGGCCCGAGCCCCTCACGCACTCACCGGCACCGACGCCGGCGGCGACTCGGGCTCCCGCCGCCTTCAGCTCCTTGTGGTGGTTGGCCCTTGGGTGGGCTCCGGCGCCAGCGGCGGCGATTGCTCCATATCCACGGGGTCCGGGCCGCATCCGCCTCGATCTAACGGTCCCGCCAGCTAGGCGCGCGCGCCGGTTCCGCGCGCCATGTTCCCGCCGTGCTGCGCACCGCCCAGGTGACCCTCGCTGCCCGCTAACCGCGCGCGCGCCCCCGCGGGCCCACACATGAACCGCGCACGCGCGCGTTAGCCGCACCCCCTCCCCGTGCGCCCCGCCTCACGCCCTCTAGAGCTGGCGGCTGTTCCCAATGCCTTGCCCACCCCTGCCGGGCCCGTCGGACTCGGCGGGTGAGTGCGTGGTTCCCCGCTCCGCACCGCCGCCTGCCTCTCTGCAGACCACCCCGGACCCAACCCCTCAGCCACTTCCCCACACTGCCCCTTTCGCTTCCCCCACCACGCGGGGCCTAGGAAGAGGGTCTGGGCCAAGAGGAACTTCCCCGCAAGAAGTACCGAGCTAAGGACGCTACTAAGGGGGCGGGATCGCCACCGTGGAGGTGTGCGAGCACATGCCTGCGTCAGGGAGACAGCCAGAGTCAACGGAGAAGCTGAGTTCAAGTCCCACATCTCCACTAACCCTTGCGTGTTAGGGTCAGGGCTTCGGGACTTGTTTCTCCTAAATCTTTTTTTTTTTTTTTTTTTTTTTGAGACAGTCTCGCTCTGTCACCCAGGCTGGAGTGCTGTGGCGCGATCTCGGCTCACTGCAAGCTCCGCCTCCTGGGTTCACGCCATTCTCCTGCCTCAGTCTCCCGAGCAGCTGAGAATACAGGCGCCTGCCACCACGCCTGCTAATTTTTGTATTTTTAGTAGAGACAGGGTTTCACGGTGTTAGCCAGGATAGTCTCCATCTCCTGACCTCGTGATCCTCCCACCTCAGCCTCCCAAAGTGCTGAGATTACAGGCGTGAGCCAGCACGCTCAGCCTGTTTCTCCTAAATCTAAAGACTCAATATAATAATCAAGAGAACGCCTCAGCACCGCGCCTAGCACTTAGTAGGTAGTGATCAAGAGAGAAGACCTCTTAAGTGGTTTTAATGGTTAAGGACCACAGGTTCTCAAGAAAGGGAAATCTCAATTCAAGTCCCACCTCCATCTCTTGGAAACTGAGAAACCTTGAACTAGTCACTCAGAGGAGCCAAAGATCCTTGATTTCTACATGTGCAAAAGGGGAGTGTGGCAGTAGCACTGCAGAGGGTTGACTGAGCTTTCAGGGTGATGATGACTATATGATCATGCCTCTCTTAATCATGGGATGGTTCTGAGAAATGCCTCCTTAGGTGACTGCAGCATTGTGCAAACAGCAAAGTGCATTTACCCAAACCTTGTATAGCCTACTACACACCTAGGCTGTATGGCGTAGCCTATTGCTCCTAGGCTACACACCCTTACAGCCTGATACTTTACTGAATATACCATAAGCAGTTGTAACACAATGTAAGTACTTGTGTACCTGAACATAGAGAAAATACAGTAAGAATAGAGTATAAGAGATTTTAAAATGGTACTCCTGTATAGGGCACTTACCATGAAATGAGCTTGCAGGACTGGAAGATGCTGTGGATGAGTCAGTGAGTGTGAAGGCATAGGACCTTACTGTACACTACTGTAGACTTTATAAACACCATATGCTTAGGCTACACCAAAAATTTTTAAAGCTTTTCTTCAATAAATTCACCTTAGCTTACTGAAATGTATCTTAAAAAATTTTGCCGGTCATGGTGTCTCACACCTGCAATCCCAGCACTTTGGGAGGCCAAGGCAGGAAGATCATTTGAGGTCGGGAATTCAAGACCATCCTGGCCAACGTAGTGAAACACTCATGTCTACTAAAAATACAAAACTTAGCCAGGCATGGTGGTGTGCACCTGTAATCCCAGCTACTCAGGAGACTGACACAGGAGAATCACTTGAACCCAGGAGGTGGAGGTTGCAGTGAGCCGAGATCGTGCCACTGCACTCCCGCCTGGGCAATTACACGCATGGAGATGTCATCTCCTGTGATAAGAATGCCTTCTTCTTCCAGAATACTTCCTGAAGGACCTACCTGAGGCTGTTTTATAGTTAACTATTTTTTAATGTAAGTAGAAGACATACATTCTAAAATTATGAAAAACACTAAATACACCAGGGCTGGGCACAGTGTCTCATGTGGGTAATCCCAGCACTTCAGGAGGCTGAGGCGGGCAGATGATTTGAGGTCAGGAGTTTGAGACCAGCCTGGGCAGTGTGGTGAAACCCCATCTCTGCTAAAAATACAAAGATTAGCTGGCCGTGGTGGTGGGTGCCTGTATTCCCTGCTACTCAGGAGGCTGAGGCAGAAGAATCGCTTCAACCTGTGAGGCAGAAGTTGCAGTGAGCCAAGATCGCGCCACTGCACTCCAGCCTGTGCAACAGAGCAAGACTCTGTCTCAAAAAAATAAAATAAACCAGTAACATAGTTGTTCATTATCAAGTATTATATATTGTATGTAATTGTACATGCTATGCTTTTATAGAACTGGCAGCACAGATTTGTTTACACCAGCATCACCAGAAACACAGAAATGCATTACCCTAACATTACAATGGCTATGTCACTGAGCAATAGGAATTTTTCAGCTCCATAATCGTCTTATGGTACCAGTGACTTACATGTGGTTTGTCATTGACTAAAATGTCATTATACAACACATGACTGCATATCCCAGGGCCCAATGCCTGGCACACACAAAGCTGAGTTTCACTGGTGTAATTCCCACCCTATCCATCCAAGAATCCTAAAAGTTTAATGAAAGGGGCTCTGCTCCCAAAACCCTGTGGTATAAGTAGCTGGGAGGAGTTCGCCCGACTTGGGGCTGCAAGGACTCTTTCTTCCCACCTGTTTGCTTTCCTTTCTCTCCCCCAAACTTCTCTGAAAACCCTAAAGTTGGCAGAAAAATGGAGAATGTTTTCCCTACTAACAAAAAGAATCTTCAAGAGTCTCTTGGGATTTGTAAATGGTTGCATTTACTAGTCTGTTTTTTTTGTTTTGTTTCTTTGTTTTTGTTTTTGTTTTTTTTTTGAGATGGAGTCTTGCTCTGTCACCTAGGCTGGAGTGCAGTGGCACGATCTCAGCTCACTGCAACCTCCGCCTCCCAGATGCAAGCAATTCTCCTGCCTCAGCCTCCTGAGTAGCTGGGATTAAAGGCACGCACCACCACGCCTGGCTAATTTTTTTGTATTTTTAGTAGAGACAGGATTTCACCATGTTGGTCAGGCTGATCTCAAACTCCTGACCTCATGATCCACCTGCCTTGGCCTCCCAAAGTACTGGGATTACAGGCATGAACCACTGCACCCAGCCTTCTAGTTTGGTATTTTTCTTATTCAAGTAACAAGGAAAAAAAAAATAACTCCACCAAGAGTAAAACAGAAAAAAGGAACAAAACTGATAGCATGACTGAAAAGGCCTGGGGTGGTACCTCACTTCAGGCATAGCTGGATACAGGCACTTATACAAGATAAGTCTCTCTAATCTCTCACTGCTTGCTTCCCTTTGATTACTTCATTCTCACGCAATTCTTTCCACATAGTGGCCTGAGCAGCTCCTAACTCACATCTGCGCAAGAAAGCAGAGGCTGTTCCCCAATAGTTCCAGCCAAAGTCCCAGGACTGACTTTCACTGGACCCGTTTGGGCCACATGCCCCTGCCTGAGCCAACCACCACATCCAGCCTGGCCAGACCTGGCTTTCATGAAGCTCCTTCAGGAAGCGGTTGGGGTCATCCCCTCCAGAAGGACATGGGGAAAACCAGAAAGTGGGAGGAGGGATGCTTCCTTCTGGAAAATAGGGATGCAATTACCACAAGAGGTATCAGGTACAGGGCTGGCACAAACAAGAGCTATCCACGGCACCATCATGTAGGCATGCAGCAGGTCCACCATGAAGCAACCTGGCTGCTCCGCAAAACGGAGTCACAGTTAATTCAGCCAATGAGAAATATCCCTCTACTTGGGTTCCCACCATTCACCCCAGGCCTGGCACGTCCCAAATTTCCTTGGTCAAAGGCAAGCAAATTACCCGCCTTTTATGCTGCACAAAAAGCTGAAAAGATTGTCTTACTTCTCTGGCTCAAGAACTTTCTATGACTCCCTCTGGCTACTTATGTGGCTCCCCCACCCTTAATGATAGAAGCCAACATTCATGAATCCCTTACCACATGCCAGGTACCTAATGGACCTGCCTCCTCCAAACAGCATAGAAGAGGTTGGTACTCTTACTGCACCTATTTTATAAATATGGAAACAAAGGCTCAGCAATTTGAGGTAATTTACCCAGAGACAAAGTTAGGAAGTGCAGAGTTCAGATTAGCACAATATTGTTCCCGCCATTACCATCCCAGCTCCATTTGTTCATGTTTCAAAGTCTTACACCCACCTCTAGCTAGGGGCCAGTGGGAACCGCTCCACGGCAGAAGAAGCCTCTAGGAACCCCTTCAGCTTCTGCAGTGGTGGGGCTGGGGAGTAGGTGCAAAAGATACTTAGCTTTACCATCCTCTCCCATGACTTTTTTTTTTTTTTTTTGAGATAGATTCTCACTCTGTCACCCAGGCTAGAGTGCAGTGGTGCGATCTCAGCTCACTGCAACCTCTGCTTCCTGGGTTCAAGCAATTCTCATGCCACAGCCTCTGGAGTAGCTGGGATTACAGGTGCCCACCACCACACCTGGCTAATTTTTGTATTTTTAGTAGAGATGTGGTTTCACTATGTTGGCCAGGCTAGTCTCAAACTCTGGACCTCAAGTGATCCACCCACCTCAGCCTCCCAAAGTGCTGGGATTGCTAAGCCACCATGCCTGGCCCCATCTCCCATAACTTAATGGGATAGGGAAAAGAATTCCTCCAAGATAAAATTAAAGTGAGGTTAGGAAAGGAAGTAGGTGTTTGTTAGCCTTAAGTCAGCAGCTGATTTCTCCCATTGGTGAGTCAATTAGTTTTCTATGGCTGCTGTAACAAATTACCACGATCTGATTGGCTTACAACAACACAGACTTAATATCTTATTGTTCTATAGGTCAGAAGCCTCAAATCAGTTTCACTTGGCTAAAGTCAAGTTGTAAAGTACTGATTTCTTCAGGAGGCTCTGAAGGGAAAACCCATTTTCTTGCCTTTTTCTGCTTTTAGTGGTTACCTATATTCCCTGGATTGTGGCCCTTTCCTCCATTTTTAATGCACACCACTCCAATCTCTGCACAGTGCTATGGTTTGAATGTGTTCCCCAAAGTTCATGTGTTGGAAATTTAATCCCCAATGCAAGTGTTGAGAGGTGGGACTTTTAAGAGGAGATTAGGTCATGAAAGATCTGCCCTCATTAATAGAGTAATGATGTTATCTCAGCAGAGGGTTAATTATCATGCGGATGGGTTCCTAATAAAAGGATTGAGTTCAGCCCCCTTTCTCTCTTGATGTGATACCTTCCATCATGGGATGACACAGCAAGAAGACCCTCACCAGAAGCAGGCCCTTTGATCTTGACCTTCCCAGCCTCCAGAACTGTAAGAAATAAACTTGTTCTTTATAAATTACCCAGTCTCAGATATTGCATAGCAATACAAAAAAGACTAAGACACTCAGTCACCATCGCATTGGAATCTCCCCTGACTGCTGAGTCCCTCTTAAAAGAGCACTGTAGGCTGGATGTGGTGGCTCATGCCTGTAATCCCAGCACTTTGGGAGGTCAAGGTGGGCAGATCACGAGGTCAGGAGTTCGAGACTAGCCTGGCCAACATGGTGAAACCCCATCTCTACTGGAAAAACAAAAATTAGCTGGACATGTTGGCGAGCACCTGTAATCCAGCTACTCGGGAGGCTGAGGCAAGAGAATCGCTTGAATCTTCGGAGGTGGAGTTGCAGTGAGGCAAGATTGTGCCATTGCACTCCAGCCTGGGCACCAAGAGCAAGAAACTCCGTCTCAAAAAAAAAAAAAAAAAAGCACTGTGATGGGACACTGGGCCCACAGGCAACATAGGATAAGTTCCCATCTCAAGATGCTTAATCACATCTGCAAAGTCCCTTTTGTCATGGAAAGGAACATAGTCACAGATTCTGGGGATTAAGTTGAGGACACTTTGGAGGGGCCATTATTCAGCCTATCATGGAAGATATCATGAGAGGGAGTTAATACAAAATGCTCTGGAAACAGAGAAGGGCGGCCGGGCATGGTAGCTCATGCCTCTAATCCCAGTACTTTGGGAGGGAGGCGGGCAGATTGCCTGAGGTCAGGGGTTCAAGAACAGCCTGACCAACATGGTGAAATCCCATCTGTACTAAAAATACAAAAATTAGCTGGGCATGGTGGCAGGTGCCTGTAATCCCAGCTACTCGAGAGGCTGAGTCAGGAGAATCGCTTGAACCCAGGAGGCGGAGGTTGCAGTGAGCTGAGATTGCACCATTGCAGTCCAGCCTGGGTGACAAGCATGAGACTTCATCTCAATCAAAAAAGAAAAAAAAGAAAAGAAACGGGTTCCGTTGGCCAAAAGGGGGTCTGCTAAGTCGGGTGGGGGGCTTAGGATTTTATTTTTAGTTCTCAAGGGAGATAAAATAATTTAATCCATTGGCCCCTGTGACTGTGGGACTAACATGGCTATGATCTGTCGGACAGACTTCAGGCTGGCACCCAGGCAAAATTGTATGCTGTAGTAAATGCATCATGCACATTTGTAACAACACGTACATAACAATGTCACAAAATACTTTCATGGTGACACCTAGATTAGTGTTTTATTGAATAGCTGATGATATAAACTGGCTCATTTGGTGCCAAGACTGACCATCACCACCATACCAAGGTCATCACCGATCAGAGGCCTAACCCAAGGAGGGGGTCATGTGCAGGCCCAGCGGTAGGGAGGAAAGATGCCGCAGAGGAGACGGATGCCCACAGAGGCCCCTGAGCGGATACCATGCTCACTAAGTGGTAAGTATAGACTCAATGTAGGCTGTAAGCTCTCCCCCTGTGCAAATGGGACCCCATCCACTTGAGAGTCAAGGGTCTGTTTGGGTGGCAGGGTTAGCTACTTCTGAAGGTAGAAAGGAAAATAAGCCACCAAATTGGTACCTTTCTGTGAAATGGACATCGTGCTCAGAATCTCCATTTTCCCCACAACCTGGAGGAATAAGTACTGTCATCTGCATTTTATAGCTGAGGAATCTGACTGAACAAAATTGAATTACTCGCCTAAGCAATTAGCAATTAACCAAGTCTTTCTGACTCAGAAACCCAGCTGTTGCCTGTTCATATCCAGCCCCCTGTATTGGTGTCAAGATCTGGCCTGTTCTCAATGCAGCAAGATCCAGGCAGATCACACTGGACTCCCAGCACTGAATCTGGCTCAAGGGGACATCAAATTTGACTGGGTCATGGGGCTCAGGAGCATCACTCTCAAAAATAGCAGTACAGGAAGAGGCGATGGCCCTAAACAGCACTTGCAGGCAGATCCCATGTTAATTGTAAGGGTCAGGACTCTCTCACTTTTCTGTCTCTCTCTCTGTCTCTCCTCTAGGGCTGACCCCACATTGGACACCACTGCTTCCATGTCCATCACACACCACAGCTGCCTTTTCTTCTGCCTGCTTATGGGAAAGTCCCCTCCTCTCCTCCGTTTTCTTCTCTTCCTGCCCTATCACACCGTGCACTTCTCCCTTTCCTTAAAGAACCACCATCAACTTTAGGAGGAGGGAAAGGGGTGGCTCTGGCAGGAAAAGCCAGAATCCCCTCTAGCCAACAGAGAGAGAGAGGAATGGCTGCATGTTTTCTCCCTCAATCCAAGGCACTGGGTCTTGGCTGAGTTGCAGGTTCCAAGCTGCTCTCCTGCTGTGTCGGTGAGTTCTGGTCAACCTGCAACCTCCTGACGTGGCCACTGCAGTTCATCGAGTCTTCAGGGACTCCCCATGGCCTAGAGTACTTTGCCTTGCTTACACGGGAGAGGAGAATGGATTTATAGAGAACATCATCTAAATCCAACTTGACCATTGTGTGGCCACACTTGCTAGATTGCTATAGTCTAAATCTAGCATTGTAGAAAGACGGGGGAGCTTGGAGCTGCACAAACCCAGGTCTGGAAATGGCTCCTTACCTTGGAAGGTGAATGATCCTGGCAGGACTTAGCCTCCCTGGGCCTCAGTTTCTTTATCTGTTTCATGGGAATGAGGATCTCTGCTGGTTGGTTGGGTGATGCGGGGGCTGTGTGAAAACAGCTTGTCAATACAAGCCGAAATAGAAATATTTCTCCACAGAGTATGAAGGTCAAATGAGAGAATACATTTAAATTAAATGGAAAATTAAAATGGCAAAAAAGGCAAAGCTGTATTCAAAGTTCCGAGCTTCTCTATAAGGAGCTTTTTGACTATGTAAGAATCCTGTACTCGTTCCCCCTAAATACAAAAAAAAAAAAAAAAGTTGAAGGAGGCAGAAGGGAGAGTGATGCACGATGGGCGAGGACTTCACCTGCTGTTGCTGGCTTTGAGGATAGAGAAAGAAGGCCACAAACCTAGAAGCTGGAGCCCCTAGAAGCTAGAAAAGGCAGGGAGCCGATTCATCCCTTAAGCCTCCAGAAGGGACATAGCCCCGCTGGCACCTTGATTTTAGCCCAGTGAGATCCTCTTAGGAATTTTGGCAACCAGAACTATAAGACAGAAATGGAAGCCACTGAGTCTGTAGCTGTTTGTTGCAGCAGCAATAGAAAACTAATGCAGAGCCCAAGAAATCACTGGTGATGAGATGGGGAAAGTGGGCTCAGGAGGTCTGGATCTGTGATGAGATGGGGAAAGTGGGCTCAGGAGGTCTGGATCTGTGATGAGATGGGGGAAGTGGGCTCAGGAGGTCTGGATCTGAGGTGCGGATCTGGAGTGGAAGGGGAATTCATTTGTTCATTGTCTATCCTTTTGCATTGATTGAGTTTTTTTCTATATATATGTGTGAATTTTCACAATAACAGTTTTTTCCAAAATAAAATAAAAGAACAAAAGGGGCTTTTTGCAACCCAAATCCTATCTATGTCTGAGTCCACTTGTATTGAATGAGTCTTTCTGCTAACGTCCTTATATTTGGGTGACAATCTGAATGGCAGTGACCAATCAGAGCAGAGGCAAACCTTGGAGTGGGCAGGGCATCCTGAGGGCCCTGATTCCTGCCATGAGTCATAACTCTTTAGGTGCCAGACCATGGGGAGGTCCAGGGGTTGCAGGGGAGGGCTGTGCATCTGCAATGACTCTCAGGGGGCTCCTGGTGGTGGCAATTGGTGAATCTGCACAGTGGTGTTTCAATATTGTCACAACCCTGCTGTCTCTCATGCTCTCAAAAAGCATTCCTCTTACCTGTGACAGACTTCCTACACCTAACAGCTTGCAAAAGTGTTCCAGGTTAATGAGAATAATCTCTCGGAGCCATACCTCCCTGCTTGGGGTCTCAGTTTCCCCAACTGTCTCCAGACAAGTTAGGCTAGAAGGCCCCTGAGCCTCAGCCCCTCTATACCCCTCCTGTCACCCAGACCTGATCTGGGTCTTGCACCCTGGGTGCAGCATGACAGGGGTGGGCAGGGGCTGGCTCTGGGCCAGAGGACCCTTTCTGATGGACTTCAGCTGTTGGCCTTGCATGGGAGACAGATCAACCGCACAAGAGTCATACGGTGAGTAGCCGTGGGCAAATCCATCCCCCTCGTCTTAGATTTATGGGGAGACAGACAAAGAGGAGACACTCCAGGAAGACCTGCAGGTGGGAGTACCAGGTTGAAACCAAGGACACCTTCCTGGAGGAGCTGCTGCTTGAGCCAGCTCTGAGAACAGGTGGGGACAGGACTGGAGAGGAGGAGGGGGTCCCCTATGAGCAAAGACTGGCCACCACCCCACCTAACACCCCCACAGGGCCCCTGTGGCATCCCTGTCCAGTCCCTGTCACCACCCAGTTTTTCCCTCTGGACCCAGGAATTCAAAGTAAGCAAGGAGGTCCGCTGCTCCAGTTGGCTGCAAATAATTACAACCTTAAGCCCAAGCAGCACTTTGGGTCCTGGTTTGGGACCATGAAGCGACTCGGTGAGACTGAGAGGTAAGGCCAGGGCAGGAATTGGGACAGTAGGATTGAACTCTCCCTGGGGGCCAGCCTCAGAAAGCCTGTGGCCATAGCCTCTTGGCCAACATCAGATCCTGTGGTCTGGCAATGCCTGGGGTACCCAGACCTCACTCTGGACAGGCCCTGGGAGGGGGCCCTGGTGAGATTCCTGGCAGCCTCACAGCCACTCTTCTGTCCGTAGCTACAACCTATCATGCCAGCTGGAGGCTCCATCCCAGTTGGCTGGGAGCACAAAGGCCAGGAAGATAGACATCACCCACCACAGGGGCCAGTCGGGGCCTGAGCCAGGGCGGGCAGAGGTTGGCTGCCTTGGGATATGGGTGGGCTCAGGGAGTCAGACAGCAAGGGACTAGCCTCCCATCCTACTCCTGACCAGACCTGTGACTGGGGAGAGTCACCTTACTTCTCTGGGCCTCAGTTTCCCCCTCTGTGGAGTGACGCTAAATGATCTCTCTGGAGACGGGGATCAATAGGGCACTGGTGATTGACCAGGCACTCAGCACATGCCTGGAACACACAGTGCAGGACTGTGGTGGGGAGGTGGCCTGAGATCCTGGGGAGTCACCCATGTGTGCCTGCCCTTCCGACCAGCCACCAGGCCCTCAGGGCAGAGCCCACTACCAGCAGCAGCTCACACCCCGAGACCAGCTCAGAGGCGGCCCCTACCTCAGCAGCAGGGACATCACGGACACTTTAAGCTGGTACTAGGGTGGCTTCTCCAGCTCCCACGTGGAGAGGGGTCCCAGCTGAGTCCCACTCACGTGGAGTCTCATGCCCATGAAAGCGCCATTCACCACTGGCCAGGCTCATGAGGCCGCATGAGGGGGGTCACTGGGGAGGAGATATCGGGGGAACAGAGAGGATGGCTGAATTTTTGTATAATAGGCAGTGCAAGTGTTTACCGTTTGGGAGGGGAAAGGTTTGTTATTATTAGCAATGCTACACTTGAATATTATACTAAAATCCAGTCTCTCTATAACCTGGGAGTTGCTCTTTTGTTCTTTCTTTTCCTGTCTTAATTAAAATGAGATGCAGACTCTCACGGTCCACAGTCAATTAAGAAATCTTGCACGGCCATCAGGTTATGTCTTGGAGAGCAGAGTTTCAGTACCATCAGCCTGGCAAGGAGCTGGGCCTGCTCCTCAGAGCTCCCGGGACTGCGAGATTTGGCGTGTTCACAGGGCACCGTCACAGCCTCTGAAACATGCTGTCTTTAAAGACTTTTGCCGTGGCTCACTCACTCACAGTGGGACACGGTGGCTCACTCCTGTAATCCCAGCACTTTGGGAGGCAGAAGCGGGTGGCTCACTTGAGGTCAGGAGTTAAGAGACCAACATGGCCAACATGGCAAAACCCCATCTCTACTAAAAATACAAAAAATTAGCCAGGTGTGGTGTCAGGTGCCTGTAATTCCAGCTACTCAGGAGGCTGAGGTAGGAGAATTGCTTGAACCCAGGAGGCGGAGGTTGCAATGAGCAGAGGTCACACCACTGCACTCCAGTCTGGGCAACAAGAGCAAAACTTCATCTCAAAATAAAAAAACAAAACAAAACACAAAGACATTTGCAAGGACCATGTCCTCACCCAGAATGGTGCCTGCCTTTCTACAGTTTTTCAGGAAGAGGAAACATTTTCTGCTTCTCTCGCTGAGGTTTTTTTTAACCACCCATTAGGAACCTATAGATTTCAGGATCGAACACTGGGATTCCCTCAGCACTAAAGGAGGAAAATTGCAAACAGAGCTGGAAGTGCAATGTGGAAAGGTCAGGCTGAGGAAGGTTCTTAGCCAGTAGACCAAGGGCAGGAAGGACACTGCCTCCTCAGTCTCCCACTAGGGAACTTGTGATTCTTGTCCCCTGATGTCAGAATTCCTTGTCATGTTTGTTTTGTCTCCAAGGGAAGGGTTTGAATTTCAGAATTTAAGGCTAGAGTGGGCCTCGTGCAGTTAACATTAACCCTCTCTCTCCTTCGCTGGCCGAGGTGAGGTCCAGGACCATGTAGTTCTGACGTCCACTCTCTCGGGGGATCACCAGTTCACCCATCTCACCCGGCAAGCTGGGCCCTAGTTTGGCGACAGGCATCTTCCACCCACCTGGGAGGCAGGGTTCAACACTCTGCCTCTGACCTTGTTTCCTTCTTCTGCCACCTGCTTAGGCAACCAGAAGGGGTTGTCCAGCCAGCACCTGGGCTTTAGCGCTCCTCAACCAGGTGGAGGAAGTTTCAGGCACCTGGCTCCTCAGGTGTCTGCCATCCAGGTGCTCTTCAGGCTTGCCCAGCAGAGCTCTCTTGATCCAGCTAGAACTGGCCAGAACTGACTCACTCAGGAATGTGTAGACTTTGGCATCAGGGGCTGCTTTAATTTGCACAATTTCCAAATACCTCTTTTTTCTTCTTTTTCTGATGAGTCATCTCCCTAGACTTGCATTTTAAAGAGATAGATAGTTATCAGGTTCCAGAGAAGACGTGGTAGAACATTTATATCTCAAAGACACAGAGCTGAGACTTCAGGTTGAGATATGATAATTTGCCTAAACCAAAAAGGAAGGTGTAGGTAAAGTTCTAGTCAAGACAGGATGGCCAGGAAAAACACCTTAAACCAAAGGATGGCTTGCTTTGCTGATTTAAGCCAATGGCTTCTTTATCATAAGACTTCCCAGTGATTTAGTCCTCCCTCTCTTCCAGTGCACAGAGACATACCCCTCCTTACAAATTAAAAATGTTCTTTATAGATGGAAATTTATTTTACAAAAATGTTTCAAAATAACCAGATGAAAATCATCCTTATGCCAGAAAGACTTTATTTTTTTATTACTAGAAATGAAACACTAAGTATTTGTTGTATTGACATACTTAGGCTTAGACCTATGTTTAACAAGAAAGCCTTAATAATAGCACTGTGGTTAGACTCTAGCCTATTTTTCCAAACCATCATTTTATTATTAAGGAAACAAAGGATCAAATACCTTTCATTCATCTGATATGATCCTTTAAAACACATTCCACCAATAAGTCCTATTTGGAACAGCTGAAAATCTTTTAATAAAACTTTTTAAAGATGAACTCATGGCTTAGTGTAAATTTCACAAGCTTAATTAGGTCAAGTGGAAGGAACTCAGATGAGTAGTTGCCCAATCAGAGCCCATTATTTGTAAGTCATCAGCCCCCTCCATGACCTTAAAACTCCACTCTGACCTAATTATTGCAAACCTATACACAACAAAGTGAAAGGATTAATTTTCATTCATCAACCTCTCAATCCCAGATTTTCAAAGAAAAAAACCTGTGTAAGGAATACTTACCAAAACCAGACAGGAAAATTAGAGCCTGCATACTTAAGAGTCAAATTTGTTCCACTACAGCCAGGTCGCATACAGTTACATCATTTGGTTCTTCATACACTCTAGAACTGACCAGGACAGAGTTTAGCATAGAAAAACTGTAAGAAATAGGTTCTGAAACATAGAAATTGCAAAGTTCAAAAGGCTATGAAAAAAACGAATGTAAATGAGACTTCCCTCCCTTTGTTTTAAATAAATAGACCCATCAGAGAAATGCAAATCAAAACCACAATGAGATACCATCTCACACCAGTTAGAATGGCGATCATTAAAAAGTCAGGAAACAACAGGTGCTGCCGAGGATGTGGAGAAATAGGAACACTTTTACACTGTTGGTGGGACTGTAAACTAGTTCAACCATTGTGGAAGACAGTGTGGCCATTCCTCAGGGATCTAGAACTAGAAATACCATTTGACCCAGCCATCCCACTACTGGGTATATACCCAAAGGATTATAAATCATGCTGCTATAAAGACACATGCACACGTATGTTTATTGTGGCACTACTCACAATAGCAAAGACTTGGAACAAACCCAAATGTCCAAAAACGATAGACTGGATTAAGAAAATGTGGCACATATACACCATGGAATACTATGCAGCCATAAAAAATGATGAGTTCATATCCTTTGCAGGGACATGGATGAAGCTGGAAACCATCATTCTTAGCAAACTATCACAAGGACAAAAAACCAAACACCGCATGTTCTCACTCATAGATGGGAATTGAACAATGAGAACACTTGGACACAGGAAGGGGAACATCACACACCAGGGCCTGTTGTGGGGTGGGGGGAGGGGGGAGGGATAGCATTAGGAGATATGCCTAATATAAATGATGAGTTAATGGGTGCAGCACACCAACATGGCACATGTATTCATATGCAACAAACCTGCACATTGTGCATGTGTACCCTAGAATTTAAAGTATAATAAAAAAATAAAAAAAGAAAGAAATAGATGTTCTGTAAAAATATACACAATTTTTACAGACAAATACATTTATAAGTTGTTTTTATCTTAAAAATTGGGGATATTTCATATTTATAACTAATTATTGAGCCTTAAGTTTTCTTGGCCATTTCTAGGCTAATAAACTAAGAATCATGTAAACTAAGCCAAAGTAGAATAGTCATAAAAGTCCTGAACACTTCAACTTCCTATTCTTCAAGAAGTATACTTGGCAAATCTCATTTGAGAGAGGAAAAGCTTTCCTCCACCCTCTGTTTTACAGCGCTGAGGCTTCTCATCACATTTCTATGACTTGTAGCTTAATCCATGTTACATGGTCACTGGCATTATTAGTGCTTCTCTTTTAACACTGTAGGAATTAATCAATTTGGTGGTGTATTTAATTAATTCTATCACTAGAGGATTGTAAAATTACATATATGAATACCTCACTTTAGAGGCCACTTAATTTTTTTCCAAGGGGATATTTGACTATATTTCACTTGTGTCTTAATGATTTTATAATTTAAACCCTAAATTATAAATCTAGAATTTAGAAAGTATATTTCCTCACTGGATTACATTTTTGGAAATATTATTTTATATGTGCACAAATATTACAAAATCACCGTAGACACCTGAAAACTATATTATCTTTTAAAGGCAATATTCTACATTAAACTGCTATAACAAAATTGTTTGGTGCATTTTTTCTAGTACATTTTGTATATATTACATGTTTAACCTTTTTTTTATCCAGCAAATAATTTTTGAGTATCCACTAAGTGCTAGGTTCTGCATGACTAACTGAATTTAAAGAGTGAAATAACAGACATGGTCTCAGACAATACAAATTAACATTAGGTCACCTATTTATATATTTTTAAATGGTAATTATGAAAACTTTTTGAGATTTTTAACTAGATAACATTATAATAACACACTTGATGTTGTTAATATTTGCCAGTGAGCAAAAAAGAAAATAAAAAGATGGTTTTATTCAATATACACTTTAAAATTGCAGGAAATAGTCAAGTTTCTCTGCTTTGCAGTTGAATGTCTATGTGTTTTTCTCTGCAACTTGGCTTTTGTGGAGTGAGAGAAACAATTATTCTTCCAGCCCAATGAAGGCAGAAGAGTAACAATAAATCTAATATTTTAAATGCTTATCAAAAGGTAGTAAACATATTATTTCAGAATACTGAGATCAATAAGTTGACCTAGAAAAAAAGCCAAACTGACAGTATTACTGAATAAGGAAAGGCCCAAAGAGACAAAATACTTATTATTTTGTAACCTCGATATGACACAACTTACCCTAACTATAAAGACCCTAAATTACCAAGATGGGTGCTTATAATATGGAGAGTAAAAAAAGTCATTTCACTTTTAGCTTTTTTATTTCTCTCAGAATAAAAAGTGTATAAGGAGTTGATAAAGAAGTTGATACTATAAGTTAGTACTACAATGACAGCACTTTTCAAGAAAAGACTTTTTTCTCTCTTACAAATATCATGTTAGCAGTATTTGTTTTCTCCAGAAATAATGAGGAAATAAAAACATAAGTATGTGGGTAATTAGTGTAGTTTCTTAAAGAAATGAGTTAGGCAACAGGCTAATAATGTATACTTCGCTGGCTTTTGAATGCCAACAATCATATTCTTTATAAGGCACAGGGAAGATTTTTCTAAAGAACAAGTATGTGAACCTGAAAAGTAATCACCACTTGGTAGTGACAATATGGATAGGGTGAAGGGCGTCACCAAGAAGCAATGAAAAGATACATTTGCAGTTAAATTTGAAAACCATGATGTTTAATACATATAGTAATAAAGAATACTTTCTCCTGTTTCAAAATTATTTTAGAATTTAAGATAGAAGCTAAAATACCTAGGGATAATGATATGACTATCGAAAATTAAAAATTAAAGGACATTTTGAGTATTAGAAGTTAAGAATGAGAACTTATTACCCAATGAACAGGGGATAATTCATTATGCTCCATATCCATTGAATTAAAAGACAGGCCCGGCCGGGCGCGGTGGCTCACGCCTGTAATCCCAGCACTTTGGGAGGCCGAGGCAGGCGGATCACGAGGTCAGGAGATCGAGACCATCCCGGCTAAAACGGTGAAACCCCGTCTCTACTAAAAATAGAAAAAATTAGCCGGGCGTAGTGGCGGGCGCCTGTAGTCCCAGCTACTTGGGAGGCTGAGGCAGGAGAATGGCGTGAACCCGGGAGGCGGAGCTTGCAGTGAGCCGAGATCCCGCCACTGCACTCCAGCCTGGGCGACAGAGCGAGACTCCGTCTCAAAAAAAAAAAAAAAAAAAAAAAGACAGGCCCATTACCTGGATAATTTGAAAGTTTAATTTTATTTAAAAGTCTTGTTTCATTCATCAAGCTAAAGGATTAGCTCCCAGAAATATTCTAGGATTGCATATCCCCAACTCTGTAGGAAGTATAGAAAGAATGTTATAAGGGCCACCACCTAAACATTATTATGTAAATAATTTAGTACCATTCCATTTGCCTTTGTAGATTTAAAAATGTAAATGGCTTTCTCATATTAGGAAACATCATTTTTCAAAACCCAGATAAACGTAGTATATTGCAAGAGAATAATTATTTTCTTTATTAAAAAAGAAATACTGGATGCTAAGTCCAAAAGACATAAATTATTTTATACTAATAACTACCAACATTTTATTCATTAAAATATAAAGGTCAAAGATTTTAAAATGATCTTTAAATGATTAATAACATGTTGATCTTTTTCTTCTTTCTGTAAACCTTTTTGAGTCTTAAAAATACTAAACTATACAAGCAATATTAAATAGTATATAAACTTGGATTAAAATATTCAAATTTACTAGAATGTGGACATTGGAAAGAATGAAAATAAACAGAAGCATAAAGCAGCAGATATAAAATTACGAAAGCAACTAAGAGTGTTTAAAGTACATATTCATCTGTAGTCTAATGTCTACCATAAACAATGACTCTTCTCAGTAAAACACAAGTCGTTCATGAAGGGAAAAAGCATGTTGTATTAGAGAATATTCAACATAACTTTTTTAGTACTAACTTGTGCCTGGAGTATTATTGGCTTTTCTATTATGAACTTATGCACTTGATATTTTTTTTCATAAAGATTGTATGTACAACTCCATTCAAAAGCAGTTTTTGGTGGTTTTTTTTTTTTTTTTTTTTTTTTGAGACAGAGTTTTGCTCTTTTCACCCAGGCTGGAGTGCAATGGTGCGAACTTGGCTCACAGCAACCTAGCAACCTTTGCCTCCCAGGTTCAGGTGATTGTCTTGCCTCAGCCTCCTGAGTGGTTAGGACTACAAGCATGTACCACCATGCCTGGCTAATTTTGTGTTTTCAGTAGAGACATGGTTTTGCCATGTTGACCAGGCTGGTCTTGAACTCCTGACCTGAGGTAATCCGCCCACCTTGGCCTCCCAAAGTGCTGGGTATGGGCAAGAGCCACCATACCCGGCCTCAAAAGCAGTTTTTAAAAGCAAACACAATATAACACCAAAGTTGAAAAATCCAGGCTCACCCAAGGATGCCAGGTTTAATAAATTATTTATAGAACACTGCATCAAAAATAAGACAATAACCCAAAATATACCATTAAAGATGTATCCACTCCTACAACTAGAGATAATTAATCTATCTGGTAGCAAATGATACTTCAATCAGTTTCAGCATGTCTGAAATCTTTAAGGACAAAAGTGATAAAACATGACTTCATTCTTCATTAGACTCTTAGAACACTTGAAGGAAGATAATTTCTGAAGCACAAAGAGGTAAAGAGGTGTAATCTCTCAAAAAGATATTCAGTGTTCAAAATCCAAGAGTGCAATATCAGGCTGGGTGCGGTGGCTTATGCCTGTAATCCCAGCACTTTGGGAGACCATGGTGGGTGGATCACCTGAGGTCAGGAGTTCGAGACCAGCCTGGACAACAGGGTGAAACTCTGACTGTACTAAAAATACAAAAATTAGCCAGGCATGGTGGTGTGCACCTGTAGTCCTAGCTACTTGGGGGGCTGAGACAGGAGAATCGCTTGAACCTGGGAGGTGGAGGTTGCAGATCATGCCACCTCACTCCAGCATCAGTAACAGAATGAGATTCCATCTCAAAAAAAAAAAAAAAAAGAGTGTAATATCATATCGGTATACACAGATAATACACTGAATGAAAGAAATAGAATAATTTGAAGAGGTATCTTGATGAACGAGGAGTCATTAGAAAGGTTGTATTCATGTCTTTGAAGCAACTTTGCAATGTGAGAAATTAATACTTTGACTACTATACTAAAAGTTTATTGCTAACATGTATTGAGTTATTAACGTGTGTTAGGCAGAGTACCATATAATTTGCAAGTGTTATCTCATTTATTGTAGGTAAAATGTAATTTCGAACTCTGGGAGTATAAACGAATTAGATAGAATAAAATTCTATTTAAATTGCTATCAGTAAATCGGTATCTAGGAACAGGGTGATACAGTGCCCAAGTTTTCTATTCTTACTAAACGTTGTGTTTCATTTTCAATGTTTTCTTGGATATTGCTCTTTTTTGGCGACTTTGATTTTTTTTATTTTAGAAAACTAATAAATTGACTCTTCTTGGTACTGACTCTTGGGTTTTATAGAAGAAAAAGTAATTAAATTCTGTACATTTACCTTTACCTCATTTTTTCTCTTTTAAATTTACTTTGACATATAATAAATGTACATGTTATGGGGTACAGAGTGATATTTTGATATATTTATGCAATGCATAAAGATCAAGTCACAGTCATTATCACATCCATTACCTAAATCATGTATTATTTCTTTTCAGTGAGAATATTCAAAATCTTTTATTTTAGTTATTTGAAAACACACAATAAATTCCCGTTAACTACAGTCACCCAACAGTGCTGTAGAGAACTAGAACTTCTTCCTTCTCTCCACCTGTAATTTTGTATGTATTAACCACATTTTTCTTATACTCTTCTTTCTCCTACTCTTTCCAGGATATGGTAACCAAAACTCTACTATCTACTTCTACGAGATTAAAAATTTTAGCTTCCATACATAAGTGAGAACACGTAGTTATGTGGTGTTTATGTTTCTATGCCAGGCTTATTTCACCTAACATAGTGCCCTCCACTTGCATTCTTGTTGCCACAAATAACAGGATTTTGTTCTTTATTATGACTAAATAATATTCCATTATATATGTATGTCACATTTCTTTATCCATTCATCTGTTGATGGACACTTTTGTTGATTCCATATCTTGGCTATTGTGAATAGTGTTGTAATAAACATGCAGGTGCAGGTAACTCTTTGATATACTGATTTTCTTTCCTTTGGATATATACTGAAAACCATATGATCAAATTAATAAACACAATAAAAGCATTTGGCAAAATTAAATATTCTTACATGACAAAAAACCTCTTAACAATTTAGTATAGAAAATATATGCCTTAACACAGAAGGACATAAAGGACAAATCTACAGCTAAGATCATACTGAGTGTGGAAAAGGTGAAAGATTTTACTGTGAACAAGAAAAAGATTTTACTGTAACAAGAAAAGGATGCCTATTTTCACCAATCATATTTCACATAGTGAAAGTCTTAGCCAGGACAATTAGGTGAGAGAAAGAAATACAGGATATCTGAATTGGAAAGGAGACAGTCAAATTGTCCTTGTTTAAAGACAATGTGATCTTATACACGGAAAAAAATAAGATGCTACCAAAAGCTTCTTAGGGTGATACATGAAATTAATAAAGTTGCAGGATATAAATCAACATACAAAAATCAGTAGCATTTCTATATATTGATAGTAAACTAGCTGAAACAAGAAATTAAGAAAGCAATTCCTTTTACAATAGCTACAAAAATGTACTTAGAAATAAATTTAACCAAGGAAGTAAAAGATTTCTACAACAAAAATGACGAATATTAATGAAAGAAATTAAAGAAAACACAAAAAAGACATCCACGTTTATAGATTGAAATAACTAATATTCTTAAAATGACCCACTATCCTATGTAATTTACAAATTTAGTACAATCACTAGCTTGTATTTTTAAAAGCACCTTTGCTGCATATTCTTAAGATATTCAATGACAATGCCTGGATTTATGTTTGAGGTATTATTATATCTATTTTATATTGGGCACAATATAATGTTATCAGAGGTAACGGTTTTGATTGGTCCTAGGTCATACAGTAATATATACATTGTGATTTATAGACGTTATCTTTTAATACTCAGGCATTTAGAAAGTTCATTTAGACAAAGTTATAAAAACTTGCCTTCCTTTCTGCCTATATCACCTAAAAATCCTAATTTAAGAGGTAATAACATTTTTTATTTGATATACAATTTATCAACACAATAAAAATCTAACAATTATCATGTGCAGAGTGTGAAAATCTCATCAGATTAAGGAACGCAAAGACATCTTTTTCATATTTCGAATGTAAAACTCTTTTGGAAACTTATTTTTAGAAACAGTTAAAAACACTTTTTCATTAGTTTTTCATGTAAAATTGTGACAACCAGCATGAAATAACTGTCATCACAGAAGCATGGTATATTTGATTCCAAAACATATTCTTTGTAAGTTTTAATATATTTATGTATTATTTATACTTAGATTGTAACCCATAATGTAGATATTATTTTTCCTTCAACTCTTAAGAATATTCTTAAATAATAAAATTAAAATGAATTGTAATTTTTGTTGGTTGGGAAAAAGAATAGACACACACGTGACAGTGCATCACTTCACCTCATCATTTCATCTCATCATTTCATCTCATTTCATCATTTCATCTCATCATTTCATCTCATTTTATCTCATCATATCATCTCATCATTTCATCAAATCTCATCTCATTTCCATTTCATTTTCATTATTTCATTTCACTATTTCATTTAATTTCATCTAATTTCATTATGTCACTTCATATCATCTCATTTCATCTCATCATTTTTCATATCATTTTTCATCTCATCATTTCATCTCAATTCATTTCATCTCATCATTTCATCTCATCTCATCATTTCCTCCTTTCAACATTTCATCTCATCATTTCTTCTCATCTCATTTCAATTTCATTATTTCATTTCATCTCATTTCATTATTTCACCTAATCTCATTATTTCATCTCATCTCATCTCAATTCATCTCATCTCATTTCATCTCATCATTTCATCTCATCATTTTTCATCTCATTTAATCTCATTTCATTTCGTCTCATCATTTCAGCTCATCATTTCATCTCACCACATCTCTTCATTTCATCATTTCATCTCATCTCATCTTTCAATTTCATTTCAATATCATTTCCTCATTTCATCTCATTTCATTATTTCATTATTTCATTTCATCTCATTTCAATTCATCTCATTTCATCTCATCATTTTTATCTCATCATTTCATCTCATCATATCTCATCATTTCATCATTTCATCTCATTTCTTCTCATCATTTCATCTCATCAGTTTAACTCATTTCGTCTCATCTCAATTTCATTATTTCATTTCATTTCACTTTATTTCATTTCATCTCATCTCATCATTTCATCTCATCTTACCTCATTTCATCTCATCATTTCATCATTTCATCTCATTTCATCTCATCTCACCTCATCTCATTTCATCTCATCTCATCATTTCATCTCATCCTTTCATTTCATCTCCTTTCACCTCATCTCACCTCAGCATTTCATCATTTCATCTCATTTCATCTCATCTCACCTCATCTCATTTCATCTCATCTCATCATTTCATCTCATCCTTTCATTTCATCTCCTTTCACCTCATCTCACCTCAGCATTTCATCATTTCATCTCATCATTTCTTATTTCATCTCATTTTATCTCATTTCATCTCATTTCAATTTCCTTCATTATTTCATTTCATCTCATTCATTTCATCTCATTTCATTACATCTCATCATTACATCTCATCTCATCTCATCATTTCATCTCATCATTGCATCTCATCATTCATCTCATCATTTCATCTCATCTCATCATTTCCATTTCCATTTCATTATTTCATTTCATCATTTAATTTCATCATCTCATTTAATTTCACCTCATTTCATTATTTCATTTCATTATGTCATTTCATTTCATCTCATTACATTTCATCTAATTTCATTTCATCTAATTTCATCTCATTTCATCTCTTTTCATCTCATCATTTCATCTCATCATCTCATCAACTCATTTCATCTTATCATTTCATCATTTCATCTCATCTTATATCTTCTCATCTCATTTCAATTTCATTTCATTATTTCATTTCATTATTTCATGTCATGTCATCTCATCATTTCATCTCATCACATCTCATCATTTCATCATTTTATTTCATTTCATCTTATTATTTCATCTCATCTCATTTCAATTTTATTTCAATTTCATTTTATTTCATTATTTCATATCATTTCATCTCATTATTTCATTATTTCATTTCATTTCATCTCATCATTTCATCTCATCATTTCATCTCATCGTCTCCTCTTATCTCATTTCATCTCATTCACCTCATCATTTCATCTCATTATTTTATCTCACCATTTCATTTCATCTCATCTCATCATTTCATCTCATTTCATCATTACATCTTATTTCATCTCATTTTATGTCATTTCATGTCATCATTTCATCACATCTCGTCTCATCTCATCTTTTCATCTCATCATTTCATCTCATTTCAACTCATTGCATCTCATCTCATGATTTCCATTTCATCATTCCATTTCATCATTTCATTTCATTATTTCATTTCATTATGTCATTTCATCTCATCACATTTCATCTCATCTCATCATTTCATCTTTCATCTCATTATTTCATCTGATTTCATGTCATCATATCATGTCATCATTTCATCTTTCATCACATCTCATCATTTAATCTCATTTCATCTCATCATTTCATCTCATCTCATCATTTCTTATTTCATCTCATTTTATCTCATCATTTCATCTCATCTCATCTCAATTCAATTTCCTTTCATTATTTCATTTCATCTCATTCATTTCATCTCATTTCATTACATCTCATCATTACATCTCACCTCATCATTTCATCTCATCATTGCATCTCATCATTCATCTCATCATTTCATCTCATCTCATCATTTCCATTTCATTTCCATTTCATTATTTCATCACTTAATTTCATCATCTCATTTAATTTCACCTCATTTCATTATTTCATTTCATTTTTTCATTTCATTATGTCATTTCATTTCATCTCATTACATTTCATCTAATTTCATTTCATCTAATTTCATCTCATCATTTCATCTCATCATCTCATCAACTCATTTCATCTTATCATTTCATCATTTCATCTCATCATTTCATCTCATCTCATATCTTCTCATCTCAATTTCATTTCATTATTTCATTTCATTATTTCATGTCATGTCATCTCATCATTTCATCTCATCACATCTCATCATTTCATCATTTTATTTCATCATTTCATCTTATTTCATCTCATCTCATTTCAATTTTATTTCAATTTCATTTTATTTCATTATTTCATATCATTCATCTCATTATTTCATTTCATTTCATTTCATCTCATCATTTCATCTCATCATCTCCTCTTATCATTCATCTGATCATTTCATATCATCATTTCATATCATCACTTTATCTCACCATTTCATCTCATCTCATCATTTCATCTCATTTCATTCATTACATCTTATTTCATCTCATTTTATGTCATTTCATGTCATCATTTCATCACATCTCGTCTCCTCATCTTTTCATCTCATCATTTCATCTCATTTCATCTCATCATTTCAACTCATTGCATCTCATCTCATCATTTCCATTTCATTATTCCATTTCATCATTTCATTTCATTATTTCATTTCATTATGTCATTTCATCTCATCACATTTCATCTCATCTCATTTCATCTCATCATTTCATCTCATCATTTCATCTCATTATTTCATCTGATTTCATGTCATCATTTCATCTCATTTCATCACATCTCATCATTTAATCTCATCATTTAATCTCATTTCATCTCATCATTTCATCATTTCATCTCATCATTTCTTCTCATCTCATCATTGCCATTTCATTATTTCATCATTACATTTCATAATTTCCTTTCATTATTTGATTTCATCTCATTTCATTATTTCATCTCATTTTTCATCTCATTTCATCTCATCATTTCGTCTTATCATCTCATCTTATTTCATCATTTCATCTTATCGTTCATCTCATTTCATCTCATCATTTTATCTCATTATATCATCTCATCTCATCTCAATTTCATTATTTCATATCATTTCATTTCATTATTTCATTTCATTTCTTCTCATCATTTCATCTCGTTTCATCTCATCATTTCATCCATCATCTCATTTCATGTCATCTCATCTCCTTTCAATTTCTTTTCAATTTTGTCATTTTATCTCATCATTTCATCTCATCATTTCTACTCATCATTTCATCTCAAAATTTCATCTCATCATTTCATCTCATCATTTCATCATTTCATCTCATCATTTCATCTCATCTCAAGTAACCTTATCACTTCATCTAAGTGAAATGATGTAATGGAATCATGAAATGAAATGGATAGGATGCCCTCAGTGATGTTAAATTTAAAAATTGTTTTCATGTATTCATTTTTATATTTATATGTATTTATATTTATATTTACTTATATTTCTTTTTACTTATTTTTATTTATATTTTTACTTATTTATTGGTAGACAAGGTCCTGTTCTGTGGCCTAGGCTGGAATGCAGTGGTGCATTCACAGTTCACTGCAGCCTCAAGCAAACCTCCCACCTTAGCCTCCCAGGTAGCTGGGACCCCAGGTGCGCACCACCACACCTGGTTAATATTTTATTATTTGTAGAGATGGAGTCTTGCTATGCTGCCCAGGCTGGTCTCAAACTCCTGGGCTCAAGCAATCCTCCTGCCTTCGCAACCCAAAATGCTGGGATCACAGATATGAGCCACAGTGCCCATCCTATTTATTTACTTATTTATTTATTTAATAAAGAAAAGGTCTCAATATGTTGCCCAGGCTGGTCAACTCCTGGACTCAAATGATTCTCCAAACTTGGCCTCTCAAAATGTTGGGATTACAGGTATGAGCCACCATGCCTGGCCTAAAAATAGTATTATATTTTTGCATTATATAATTTTCAATTAAGTAATATGAATATTCTGTACAGGAAATATGCCCTTAATTACATAGGAATAAACATTTGTTACACTGAGAAAAAATCTAATAGAGCTAAAAATAAAAATTAGTTTGGAGAGGTCATTAGATACTCATACATTCTTACGTTTATATATTCTTTCATATATTCATATATTCTTTTAACAGTATCAATGGTTTGGAGTTATGTGTACAAAACCATGACCTACATGTAATACAACTAATAACAAGCACTTACAATTCAAGGCATATTATATACAAAGCTTTAACTTCTCATCTTCAGATTTTGTTTTTTTTCTTTCTGTTTTGGCAGATACTATGAACACAACATTCAACTCACAGACACTATGGAGCCCTTACTAAGCATAAAGTACTGTGAAAGGCCAGGGCTAGGACAGAACTGAGACAGGGCCAGGGATAGGACAGAACCGGGGCAGGGTCATGGCCAGAGAAAAACCAGGGGCAGGGTCACAGCCAGGGACATAAGAGGACCAAGGCCAGGGCCAGAAGTAGGGCAGAACCAGGGCCAGGGCAGGGACATGGCAGGGGCAGGGCCAGGGCCATGGCAGGATCAGGGCCAGCAGAAGGCCAGGGCAGGGCTAGGGTAGCACAGGGCCAAGGCAGGGCAGGGTCAGTGTAGAGCAAGAAACGGGCCAGGGTATGGCAGGGCAGGGACAGGGAGGTCCAGGGCCAGAGTCAGGTCCAGGACATGGACAGGGCAGGGCCAGAAACATGGCAGGACCAGAAAGGGGAAAGGGCAAGGGCAAGGCCAGAGAAGGACCACAGTAAAAACATGGCCAGGGAGGGTCCAGGGCAAGGGCAAGGCCATGGCAGAACCAGAGCCAGGGCAGTCCAAAGGCAGGGCCAGGGCAGGGCCAGTGTAGGGTGAGGGTAGGGCCAGGGCAAGTTCAGGGCCAGGGCAGGACTAAGATAGCACAGGGCCAAGGCCAAGGCCCTGTACTAAGATAGCACAGGGCCAGGGCAGGGCCAAAGGAGGGGCCAGGGCCAAGCATGGCCAGTGTGCGGCCTGGGGATTGTCAGGGCCAGGGCCAGGGTCAAGGCTGAGCCAGGAACAGGGCCAGAGCAAGGGCAGGGCCAGGGAGAAGGCAGAACCAGAGAGGATCCAGAGAAAGGGCAGGGCCAGGGCAGAACCAGGACCAGGATAAGGCAAAGCCAAGGCCAGGGCAGGGCAAGGCCAGGGCAGGGCAAGACCAGGGAAGGGCAAGGCCAGGGTAGAAATGGCCAGTGTACGGCCAGGCCAGGGTAGGAAAAGGCCACGGTAGGGCCAAGGCCAAGGCGGGGCAGGGCTAGGGTAGCACAGGTCATGGCCAAAAACAGGGCAGGGCCATAGCAGTGGCAGGACTAGCAACAGGGCCAGGGTAAGCGCTGGACCAGAGCATGGTGGGGACAATACAGGGCCAGGACAGATGATGGCAAGGCAGGTCCAGGGTCATTTCATGGACTCGGTAGGCCTGGGGTCAGGCCAGGGCAGGGAAAGGGCAAGGCCAGGGAGAAGGCAGGGCCAGGGCCAAGGCACTGCCAGGGCAGGGCAGGACCAGTGCAGGGTGAGGGAAAGGCCAGGGCATGGAAGGGCAGGGCAGGACCAAGGAAGGGCCAGGAGAATGCCACGGCAGGGTCAAGGCCAGAACAAGGGTACGGGTGGGGTCAGAAATATGGTAGGGCAAGGGCTGGGCCCAGGCTGGGACATGCAGGGCAGAGCATGGCCTGTGCAAGGCAGGGCCAGAGCCAGGCCATAGAGATGGGAGGGCAACACCAAGGCAGAGTCAGGGTAGATCCAGGGCTGAGCAGAGTCAGGGCAGGTCCAGAGTCGAGGCAGAGCTAGGGCCCAAGCAGGGCCATGGCAGCACCAGGGCAGAAAAGGGCAGGGCAATGCAGGACTGGGCCATGGCAGTGCCTGGTCAACTCTGGGGCAGGGCCAGAAGCAGGACAGGGCCAGGGCCAATGCTCAGACCAGGGACAGGGCATGACAGGAAGTGCCAGAGCAGGGCTGGGCCAACGTTGGGACAGGGCAAATCAGACCAGGACACCTCCAAGTCCAGCTCTGGCCCTGCCTTGGCCCTGGCCCCTTCCTGACCTGACCTTGTCCCTGGCCCTGCCCTATCCATGCCCTGTGTGTTTGACCAGTGTTTTATAACCAGAATCCTATAAGAAACTTAAATCAGCTCTTTTTGTGCATTTTTAGTAGAGATGGGGTTTCACAATGTTGCCCAGGCTGGTTCCAAACTCCTGAGCTCAAGCCATTTGCCTGCCTTGGCCTCCCAAAGTGCTGGGATTACAGGAGTAATCTGGCCAAGTATTTAACTTCTTTATGCCTGTTTCCTACATTTGGAAAATGGGGATGCTTTAAGTACCTAGCACCTAGAATTATTGTGAGAATCAATGCCTCACATATTTACATATTGATAAAATTGTACTCATAGAACACTACTGGAAGCAAAGATAGTATTAGTTAAAATTTAGTGATTATTTACTGCAAATATTATTACTATTACAAACAACATAGTATAGACATTATTACCACTACTATAGTTATCTTAAAAATCTAAAATAAAAATTTTATGTGATAGCCTAATGTAATCTCTCCTGCTCTGCCCCGGCTCAGCCCTAGTGCCGGCTCTGCCCCTAGTCCTACCACATCACTGGCCCTGACCCTTCCCTGGTCCTGCCGCTGCCCCGGCCCTTCCCATCTTCAGGCCTTACCATGGCCCTACCCTGGTCCTGACCCTGGCCCTACCCCAGAGAAGGGGTATGGCAGAGCCAGGGAAGGGCCGGGGCAAATAAGGGACAGGACACATCCAAATCCAGGAAAGGGCCAGGGCCATGACAGAGCCAGGGCGAGTCCTTGGCAGGGCCAAGTTCCAGGCCAGGGCCAGGAAAGGGTCATGGCAGGGTCACTGTACGGCCAAGGTCCAGGCCAAAGCCAAGGCAGGGGCAGGGGCAGGCCTGCATAAGGGCAGGACCAGAGCCAGTGATACGGCAGGGCCAGGGCTGTGCCAGGACAGAACAAGAGCAGAGCAGGGCAGGACCAGAGCCAGGCCATAGAGAGAGTAGGGCAAATGCCAAGCCAAGGCCAGGGTAGTGCCAGGGCTGAGGCAAGGTCAGGGAAGGTCCAGGGCTGAGTCAAGGCTGGAACCAAGACAGGGGCAAAGGCCGGGGCAGATCTAGGGCACAAGCAGGGCAGGCTAGGGCAGGCCAATGGCAAGACCAGGCCATGGCAGGGCCAGCCCAGGATAGAACAGGGCACAGGCAGGGCGGGGCCGGGGCCACGGCTGGGGCAGGACAAGGACCAGTACTGGGGTCCAGGCCAGGGCAAAGGTATAGCCAGGGCAGAGGTAGGGCCAGAACCAGGGTCTGGGTAGGACCAAGGAGGGTCCATTGCAGGGCCAGGGTTCAGACCAGGGCCAGAACAGGGCTGGGACAGGGCCAGGGCCAGGACCAGGAAAGGGCAATGTCAGGATAAGAGCCATGGCAGGACCAGCAATGGGGCTAGGGCCAGGACAGGGACAGGGTCAGGGCTAGGGCCAGAATAGCATGCCAGGGTAGAGCCAGGCCAAATTAGGGCCAGGACAGGGTCAGGACCAGGGCTGGGACAGGGTATGGCCTTAAGTAGCAAAGGGCCAGGGCCAGGGTCCATGCCAGTGACAGCGCTGGTCCAGGGCAGAGGCAGGGCCATGGCCAGGTCAAGGACAAGGCTGGGGCAGGGCCAAGGTCTGGGTCAGGGTCAGCACGAGACCAGGACAGAGCCAGGAGAGGGACAGGGCCATGGTAGGGCCAGGTTAAATCAGGGACAAGACACCTGCAAATCCAATTCAGGGCCGGGGTCAGGGCAGGGCCAGTTCAGGGCCAGGGCCAAGACAGGGCCAGGGCCAGGGCTGTCAGGGTCATTGGCAGGGCAAGGGCCATGGCAGGAGTAGGGTCAGGAGCAGGGGTCAATGCCAGGCCAACGCCACAGATAGGACCAGGTATGTGCTAGGGCCAAGGCGGGGTCAGGGCAGGGCCAAAGGGAGGGCAGGGCCAGGGCAGGTCTATGGCTGGGGCCGGGGCAGGGCCAGGGCCGGGGCAGGGCCACGACAGTGGCAGCTCCAGGACAGGGCCAGGGTTAGGACCACGGACATGTCCAAGGCCAGTGCCAGGGCAAGGACAAGGGCAGGGGCAGGGCCAGGGTCATCTAAGAACCAGGGACAAAGCCAGGCCCAGAGCAGGGCCAGGACAGGTACCTGGCAGGGCTAGGGTCTGGGGCAGGGCCATGGCAGGGCCAGGGCCACAACCAGGTCTGCGCTATGGCCAGGTACAACACAGTGCCCAGGTAAGGCTAGGATGAAGGCCAAGGTAGGGCCAGGGCAGGGTCAAAGCCAGGCTAGGGCCAAGGCAGGACCAGGGCCGTCAAGGAAGGGCCAGGAAAGCATAGGGCCAAGGCAGGGCAGGGCCAGGCCAGTGCCAAGACCTGGGCAGGGCCAGGGAACAGCCAGGGGAGGGCCAGGGCCAGGGCCTGGGCAGGACCAGGTTTGGGGCAGGAGCAAAACAAGGGCAAGGACAGTGCAGGATCTTGGCACAGCCAGGGTCCAGGACAGTGTCAGGGCAGGGCCAAGGCAGGGTCTGGGCCATGATAAGACCAGCAACAGGGCTGGGGCTAGGCCAGTGACAGGACCAGAGTCAGGGCAAGGGCCAGAGCAGTGCAAGGCCAGGGTAGGGCCAGGCATTTCAGGGTCAGGGCCAGAGGAGAACCAGGGCAAGGTCTCAAGCAGGGAAGGGCCAGGGCCAGGCCAGGGCCAGGACAGGGCCAGGACAGGTCCAGGGCAGGGCCATGACAGGGCCAGGGGCTGTGTTAGGGCAAGGGCAGGGCCAGAGCAAGGTAAGGGTCAGGGCCAAGGCCAGGGTAGGGACAGGGCAAGAAATATGGCAGGACCAGGGGCAATGCCAAGGCCAAGGCTGGGCCAGGGCTGAGCCAGGGCTGAGTCAGGGCAGGGCAGGGCAGGGCATGGTATGGCCAGTGCAGGACAGGACAAGAGCCGGTCCACAGAGAGAGCAGGACTGATGCCAAGAAAGAGCCAGGCTAGTGCCAAGGCTGAGGCAGTGTCAGAACATGTCCAGGGCAGGGCCGGGCCCAGGGCCAGAACTGAGCCAGGGCACAGCCAAGGCAGGGTACGGCAGGGAAATAGCATGGCCGGGTCAGTACTGGGACAGGGCAGAGCAGGGCAAGGCAATGGTAGGGGCAGGGCAGGGACAGGCCAATGCAGAGCCATGTTACGCCGGGGCCAGGACACCTCCAAGTCCACTTCAGGGCCAGGGCTATGGCAGGACAAAGACCAGGGCCAGGGTCAGGGCCAGGTCTGTGCTAGGGCCAGCTCCAGAGCAGGGCCTAGCGAAGACTAGGGTGAGGGCCAAGGTAAGGCCAGGGCAGGGTCAAAGGCAGAGTAGGGCCAGGGCAGGGTGATGACACATCCAGAGCACAGCAGGGCAGGGTGATGGCCAGACCAGGGGCAGACCACTGCCAGCTCAGGGCCAGGGAAAGGCCAGTGCAGAGCCAGGAGAGGGTCAGGGCCAGGAACAAGGCAGAGCAGGGCCAGGGCCATGGCAGAGTCAGGGCAGGTCCTTGACAGGACCAGGTTCCAGGCCAGGGCCAGGGCAGCAGCAGGGGCAGGGCCTGGATAAGGGCAGGGCCAGGGGTATGGCAGGACCAGGGCTAGGGCCAGGGCCAGGCCGTAGTGAGGGCAGGGCAAAAGTCGAGGCAGGGTCTGGGCAGGTCCAGGGAGTGGCCAGCACCAAGCGGGGCCGAGGTACAACCAGTGCAGGGTAAAGCAGGGCAATGGCACCACTGGGCCATGACAGGGCAAGGTCAGTGCCAGGAGAAGGCAGAAAAGGCAGGCCCATGGTAGGGCCAGGGCAGGGATGGGCCAAAGCAAGACCAGGACATGTCCAAGGCCAGGTCAGGGCCAGAACAGGAGTAGGACCATGACCACTGGCAGGGCCAGTGCCATGACATGACCAGGGTCAGGACAAGGGGTAGGGCCAGAGCCAGGGCCAGAGCCAAGGTCAGGCCAGTGCAGGTTCAGGGCAGGGCCAGTGCCGGTTCAGGGCAGGGCCAGTGCCAGGGCAAGACCAGGGCAGGGACAGGGTAGCACAGGGCCAAGACAGGGTCAGGATGGGACCAGAGCAGGACAGGGCCGAGACAGTCCATGTAACAGTAGGGCAGGTACAGGGCAATGCAGGGCAAAGCCAGGCCCATTGCCAATGCACCAGCCTTCCCTACAAGGCTCCTACCACCTGGCCACTGCTGCAGCCCGTCCATCGCTGTAAGCCTGAGCCCCAACCCTGGCTGCAGCCGCCTGCCCTCCTAGCGCGGCCGCTCTCCTACCGCTCTGGCGCACTGCAGTCTCTGTCGCTGCCACCCACCCGCAGTGAGGCAAGTCGTGGTGTCGCAGGCTCTAGGTGTCTCCTCCTCCTCCTGGCATGGAGCAGCTGGGTGGGCAAAGCCAGAAAAGCCTAGAGGAAGATGTGAGGGGTGGAAGGGTTAGAGCCTCAACTTGTCATGCTGGCCACTGGGTGGCAGGGGCCAGTTTCAGCAAAGGCACTCACACCCACCCTCCAAAGTCCAGCCTCTCCTTTTGGTCCAAGCTGGCCAGGAACTGGGGTCTGGGGAGGGTGCTGGAGACACCACAGCACCCAGCTCCCCACTCCACAGGAACCATTGGGCCCACCGGGGCTGCACTCCTCGGGGAGCAGGAGAAGCAGAAAAATTCAGACCCAGCCAGCCCTCTGCACCCAGGTGCCAATTCCTGTTCCAGACGCCTCCACACACAGGGCCCTGTCCCCCGTGGTGTCCCCAGGGGTGCCTGGCAGCCTCTGAGGCACAGACCCAGAGTGCACAGGCCCAGGAACCATGGTGGGTGTGGGGGCTCTGCCGTGCTCAGGATTCCCACGCAAATGCTGCGTGCCTGCCGCATTCCAGTATGACCAAGAGTGGGTCGCCCTCTGGAGTGTGGAGTCAGGGAGAGGAGAACCACTCCTTCCTTGGATGCCAACTCTGCTGACCACTGCCAGCAGTGCAGCCCCTGATAGCACTGAACTCGCCCCCACTCCACGGCTAGTCCTGCCCTCAATAGCGCCCCCCACCTCCATCCCCCAATGCCGCCAGTAGCGTATACCTGATAGTGCCCTAACCTGTCCTCCTCCATGGGCATTGCAGCCCCAGAAAGTGCCCATAACCCACCCTCCCTGCCATGGGAAGTGCAGCCCTGTACAGTGCTACCAACCAGTACCCCTAATGCAGGCAATGACACCCTGGATAGCACCCCCAACCCACCCCACACTGTGAAAGGTGCAGCCCTGGATAGCCCCTGTCCTACCACTCTGGTCGTGCTGCAGTCTCTGTCACCGCCACCACCAACCATAGTGAGGCAAGCCAGTGGGCCACAGGCTCTAGCACTCAGCAGCCAGACATGGAGCAGCTCTCGCCGATGACCAGCTCCTACCACTCTGACCACGCTGCTATCTCCGTGGCCATCTTCTTTGACTACAAAGGAATAAAACTAGATATCAATAAGAAGAGTAATTTTGGAAACAATACAATCACATGGAAGTTAAACACTACCCACCTGAATAAATGACTAGCGGGTCAATGAAGATACTAAGACAGAAATTCAAAAATTTCATGAAACAAAGGGTAACGAAAACACAGTATACCAAAACTTGTTATGCAGAAAGCAGTACAAAGGCAGAGATTTACAGCTATAAGTGCCTACCATCCAAACAAAAGAAAAACTTCAAATAAACAATACATCTTAAATAACTAGTAAAGTAAGAACAAACTAAACCAAAAATAAGAAAAATAAATAAGATCATAGCAGAAATAAAATTGAAAGAAAAAACACACAAGATGAAATGAAAAGTTGGTTTTCTGGAAAGCAAAACAAAATTGACAAACTTTTAACCAGGCTAACTAAGAAAAAAGAGACAAGATTCAAATAAATAAAATCAACAGATTAAAAAAGGCAGACATTACAACTAATACTTCAGAAATTCAAAGGATCATAACTGGCTATTATATGCCAATAAATTGGAAAGCCTAGTAGAAATTGGCAAATTCCTAGATGCATACAACCTACTTAGGTTGAACAATGAAAACATCCAAGACCAGAACAGATTGGTAACAAGTAATGAGATTGAAGCCATCAGAAAAAGTCTCCCAGTAAAGAAAAGCCCAGGAACTGATGTCTTCACTGCTGATGGCTTCACACCAAACAATTTAATGACCTAGTACAAATCCTACTCAAACTATTTTGAAAAACAGGAGGGAATACTTCCAAACTTGTTCTATGAGACCATTATTACTGTGATACCAAAATCAGACAAAGGCATCAAAGAAGGAAACTACAGGCCAGTATCTCGAATATTGATGCAAAAATCCTCAACGAAATACCAGTGAATCAAATTCAGTAAAACATTAAAAAGATAATTCATCATGATCAAGTGGGATGTATCCCTGGGATGCAAGGGTCACTCAACATACAATGTGATACATCATATCAACCAAATAAACGACAAAAACAGTATGATCATGTCAACTGAAACTGAAAAAGCATTTGATGAAATTCAATATCCCTTCATGCTATTAATCCTCAAATAAACGGGTACAGAAGAAACATACCACAACATAATAGAAACTACAGGAAAGACACCCAAAGCTAGAATCATATGGAGAGAGGTCCAGGCTGCAGTGGGCTGTGATCCCACCACTGCACTCCAGCCTGGGCAACAGAGTGAAAGCCTGTCTCAAAAAAAAAAAATACATAAAAAGAGGTATGAGCCCCTTTTATAGGTGCAGTGACTCACATCTGTAATGCTAACACTTTCTGGGAGGCTGAGGTGAGAGGATCTCTTGAGGCCAGGAGTTCAAGATCAGCCTGGGCAAAATAGCGAGACCCTTTATCTACAAAAAAATTTTAAATATTTGCCAGGTGTGGTGGCACGTGCCTGTAGTCTCAAACAATTATCATATGACCCGGATAGTGTATTCCTTAGGGATATACCCAAGGGAAATGAAAATATACATCCACACTAAAATTTGTACACAAATGTTCATAGCAGCATTGTTCATAATAGCCAAAAATTGGAAAAAAAACTCAAGTGCCTATCAACAGAGGAACTGATAAAATATGGTATATCCATTCAAAAGATTACTCAGCATTAGAAAAGAGTGAAGTGCTGATATACGCTACAGCATGGATAAACCTTGAAAACACTGTGCCAAGTGAAATAAGTCAATCACAAAAGACCATATGTAGTAAGATTTCATTCTGTGAAATCTCCAGAACAGCTAAACTCAGAGACAGAAAGTAAGCTAGTTATTGCCAGGGACTAGGGGAAAAGGGAATAAGGATGACTGCTAATGGGTATGGGATTTCTTGTGGACTGATGAAAATGGTCTGAAAGTATCTAGATACCTGTCTTGTTTGTGCGATTCTGTGAACATATTATAAACCACAAAATTCTGCACTCAAGGGGTTGATTTCATGGTAGGTGCATTTATCTCATTTATCTTTATCTCAATAAAGCTTTTTAAAGACACTTTAAAAAGACATATCTGTATAAGCTACAAAAATAACACACTGAGACTAAAATGCTTAATTTTTCCATTTTTCTTCTTCAGCACAATCTCAAGTCCAAAAGTCTTTCCTTCCTATATATGCATATTTTGTCCAGTGAAACAAGAAACTCTATTAACTTTTTTATTAGAAATAAAAAAAAGCCATGTGTGCTGGCTCACAGCTGTGCTTCCAGCTATTCAGAAGGCTGAGGAAGAAGGATCACTTGAGGCCAAGACTGGGAGTTCAAGACCAGCTGAGGCAACATAGCTAGATCCTGCCTTTAAAAATATTTTTTAGGCCAGGCACGGGGGCTCACGCCTGTAATCCCAGCACTTTGGGAGGCCAAGGAGGGCAGATCATTTGAGATCAGGAGTTCAAAACCAGCCTGGACAACATGGTGAAACCCCATCTCTTCTAAAAATATAAAAATTAGCCAGGTGTAGTGGTGGGCACCTGTAGTTCCAGCTACTTGGGAGGCTGAGGCAGGAGAATTGCTTGAGCCGGGAGGGTGGAGGCTGCAGTGAGGCCAAGATCATTCCACTGCACTCCACCCTGGGTGACAGAGCAAGACTCTGTCTCAGGAAAAAAAAAAAAAAAAAAATATATATATATATATATATATATATGTATATACACACATATACGCATATATGCGTATATGTATATACGCATATATGTGTGTATGTATATATATATTTTTTAGGTTAAAACCCTACTGAAATGAAACTAATAAAATAAAATTCAACTTAATTAAAAAATAGTTCCTGAAATATTAATTTTCAAACAATTCTATTTTAGCTTTGACTCTGAATAAAATATAAACGTCAATTTCAAAATATCACAAAGATTGGCTGGGGGCAGTGGCTCATGCCTGTAATTCCAGCACTTTGGGAGGACGAGGCAGGTGGATCACTAGAGGCCAGGAGTTCCAGAGCAGCCTGGTCAACATAGGGAAACCCAGTCTCTACGAAAAAAATACAACAAAAATTACCCGGGTCTAGTAACCCCAGCTACTCAGGAGGCTGAGGCATTAGAATCGCTGGAATCTGGGAGGTGGAGGTTGCAGTGAGTGGAGATCATGCCACAGCACTCCAACCTGGGCGACAGACTGAGAGTCTGTCTCAAAAAAATAAAAATAAGGCCAGGTGCTGTGGCTCACACCTGTAATCCCAGCACTTTGGGAGGCCAAGGTGGGCAGATCACTTGAGGTCAAGGAGTTTGGGACCAGCCTGGGCAACACAGTGAAACCTCCTCTCTACTAAAAATACATAAATTAGCTGGGCGTGGTGGCACACACTTGTAATGCCAGCTACACCAGAGGCTGAGGCAGGGGAATTGTTTGAATTCGGGAGGTGCAGGTTGTAGTGACCTGAGATTGTGCTACTGCACTCCAGCCTGGACGACAGAGTGAGACTCCATCTCAAAAAAAATAGAAAAAAAAAAGAAAATTTAAATTTAAAATTTAAAAAAGTCACAGAGACTACAAATACTCAGGTTTAAGCAAATTCCCACCTTTCTTGAATTAACAGTAATTCATATTTGCTTTGTCAAAAATGTAGATATTTACCTGCCTCAACGGAATGAAATCCTAAAAGCCTAGTGTTCTCAAATGATGAAGACAAAGAAACATGCATATTTTAATTTAGAATTTTGATTCAGAATTAATTTTAACCTAGCTGGAGTATACATAATCATCTATGTATTTATTTACTTATTTAAGAGACTGGGTTTCGCTGTGTTATCCAGGATGGAATGCAGTGGCACAACCTTGGCTCACTGCAACTTGTACTTCCTGAGCTCAAGCGATCCTCCCACCTCAGTCTCCAGAGTAGCTGGGACTGCAAGTGCACGTTACCACACCCAGCTAATTTTTGCGGAGACGAGCCTCACTATGTTTCCCACACTGGTCTCTAACTCCTTGGCTCACTACAGCCTCAAGCCCCTGGGCTCAAGCAATCTGCCTCCCAAAGTGCTGAGATTACAGGAGTGAGCCACCACAACCGGCCTAGTCGATAGTGTATACTAAGCAACATATACCCTGCTTTTGCCTAGAACATACTGAAAACATGGCATTAAAAACAATCACAAAAGTTGGGAGCTGAGAAAAATATACTGTAAAACAAATCTGACAGATATTAATCTCAAGAAGCTCCTGAAAATGTCTCAAGAACTCCTATGCTGCACTCTCCCTAATAATTTAGACTTTCTACAGATATTTTCTGATCATCTACCATGTGCCAGGCACCATGCCAGGTACCAAGATGCCATGGTGAGGTATACACAAAACCGGCTCCTGCTTGCGGGAAGCCTACTCTCTCAAACAGTGCTTGCCAAGCTCGACTGATCACAACTTGGGAGCTTGTTTAAGTTCCAAATCGGCTTCCCTGCTTAGGTGAGCCACAATCCGTGGCATTTTTATCAGGTGCTCCCAATGATTCCTACGCTCTAACGGGTTTGGGAGGAAAGGGTGGGGGTAAGCTCGAGAGCCCAGACCCATCCCGTCCAGCGGGGGCCCCACCTCTAAAGTCCATGTCGCTCAGCATCCTTCCCCCTGACTAGTGGCCCAAACACAGCACGAAGCTGAGGTGGGTGGAACGCTGTCCAAAACAGCGCTCTGTGATGAGCCACCGACAGACTTGCTCGCCTCTGGGAACGAAGAGCTCACTCCTCACAAACCCCACCAGGGAAAGGTAGCACCTGAGCCTCCCGGGCTGCGCGGACACCTGTCTCCCCGCGGGTGCCGCCTACTACTCCGGTGGACTCCAGTCCCCAGGTTCCGCCCCACGGGGACTGGGGGGAGGGGGGAGGCGCCGCGCGCATTAGGCGCTGACAGTATACCGACCCCCCCTCCGGTGTGCACAGGCCAACACCCATACACACCCTCACACACCCGCACACACTCCCGTGGAAACTGAGGCAGGCAGGCGGCGGACCAGGTCCCGCCGCCTGACGGCTAGCGGCTGGGATGGAACCCGGACTGCCAGACGCCTTCCGCCTCACAGGCACTCCTCAGCCGCTGAGGCCCGGCCCGGCTCCCACCGCCGGAGTTTCACAAAGAAAGTCTCCCGGCCCGAGCCCCTCACGCACTCACCGGCGCCGACGCCCGCGGCGACTGGGGCTCCCACCTCCTTCAGCTCCTTGCGGGGGTCGGCCCTGGGGTCGGCTTGGGCGCCGGCAGCGGCGACTGCTCCACATCCACCGGGTCCGGGCCGCGTCCGCCTCGAGCTAACGGTCCCGCCAGCTAGGCGCGCGCGCCAGTTCCGGGCGCCATGTTCCCGCCGTGCTGCTCGCCGCCGAGGCGACCCTCACTGCCCCCCAGCCGCGCGCGCCCCCGCGGGCCCACACACGAACCGCGCACGCGCGCGTTCGCCGCGCCCCCCTCCCTCCCCGCGCGCCCCGCCTCGCCCCTCTGGAGCTGGCCGCTGTTCCCAGTGTCTCGCCCACCCCCGCCGGGCCCGTCCGACTCCGCGGGTGAGCGCGTGGTTCCCGGCTGGGCACCGCCGCCTGCCTCTCTGCAGACCACCCCGGACCCGACCCCTCGGCCACTTCCCCACACTGCCCCTTTCGCTTCCCCCACCACGTGGGGCCTAGGAAGAGGGTCTGGGCCAAGAGGAGCTTCCCTGCAAGAAGTGCCCAGCTAAGGACGCTACTAAGGGGGCGGGATCGCCACCGTGGAGGTGTGCAAGCAGGTGCCTGCGTCCCGGAGACAGCCGACTCAACGGAGAAGCTGAGTTGAAGTCCCACATCTCCACTAACACTTGCGTGTTAGGGTCAGGGCTTCGGAACTTGTTTCTCCTAAATCTTTTTTTTTTTTTTTGAGACAGTCTCGCTCTGTCACCGAGGCTGGAGTGCTGTGACGCGATCTCGGCTCACTGCAAGCTCCACCTCCCGGGTTCACGCCATTCTCCTGCCTCAGCCTCCCGAGCAGCTGAGACTACAGGCGCCTGCCACCACCTGCTGATTTTTGTATTTTTAGTAGAGGTGGGGTTTCACCGTGTTAGCCAGGATGGTCTCCATCTCCTGACCTCGTGATCCTCCCACCTTGGCCTCCCAAAGTGCTGAGATTACAGGCGTGAGCCAGCGCGCTCGGCCTGTTTCTCCGAAATCTAAAGACTCAATATCATAATCAAGAGAACGCCTCAGCACCGCGCCTAGCACTTAGTAGGTAGTGATCAAGAGAGAAGATCTCTTAAGTGGTTTTAATGGTTAAGGACCACAGGTTCTCAAGAAAGGGAAATCTCAATTCAAGTCCCGCCTCCATCTCTTGGAAACTGAGAAACCTTGAACAAGTCACTCAGAGGAGCCAAAGATCCTTGATTTCTACATGTGCAAAAGGGGAGTGTGGCAGTAGCACTGCACAGGGTTGACTGAGCTTTCAGGGAGATGATGACTGTACGATCATGCCTCTCTTAATCACGGGATGGTTCTGAGACATGCCTCCTTAGGTGACTGCAGCATTGTGCAAACAGCAAAGTGCATTTGCACAAACCTTGTATAGCCTTGTATAGCCTACTAAACACCTAGGCTGTATGGCCTATTGCTCCTAGGCTACACACCTGTACAGCCTGATACTTTACTGAATGTACCATAAGCAGTTGTAACGCAATGTAAGTACTTGTGTACCTGAACATAGAGAAGGTACAATAAGAATAGAGTATAAGAGAATTTAAAATGGTACTCCTGTATAGGGCACTTACCACGAAAGGAGCTTGCAGGACTGGAAGATGCTGTGGATGAGTCAATGAGTGTGAAGGCATAGGACCTTACTGTACACTACTGTAGACTTTATAAACACCATATGCTTAGGCTACACCAAAATTTTTTAAAGCTTTTCTTCAATAAATTCACCTTAGCTTACTGAAATGTATCTTAAAAATTTTGCCAGTCGTGGTGTCTCACGCCTGTAATCCCAGCACTTTGGGAGGCCGAGGCAGGCAGATCATTTGAGGTCAGGAGTTCAAGACCATCCTGGCCAACGTGGTGAAACCCTCATCTCTACTAAAAATACAAAACTTAGCCAGGCATGGTGGTGTGCACCTGCAATCCCAGCTACTCAGGAGACTGACGCAGGAGAATCGCTTGAACCTAGGAGGCGGAGGTTGCAGTGAGCCGAGATCGTGCCACTGCACTCCCGCCTGGGCAATTACATGCATGGAGATGTCCTCTCCTGTGATAACAATGCCTTCTTCTTCCAGAATACTTCCTGAAGGACCTGCCTGAGGCTGTTTTATAGTTAATTATTTTTTAATGTAAGTAGAAGACATACATTCTAAAATTATGAAAAACACTAAATACACCAGGGCTGGGCACAGTGTCTCATGTGGGTAATCCCAGCACTTCAGGTGGCTGAGGTGGGAAGATCATTTGAGGTCAGGAGTTTGAGACCAGCCTGGGCAGTGTGGTGAAACCCCATCTCTGCTAAAAATACAAAGATTAGCTGGCCGTGGTGGTGGGTGCCTGTATTCCCTGCTACTCAGGAGGCTGAGGCAGAAGAATCGCTTCAACCTGTGAGGCAGAAGTTGCAGTGAGCCAAGATTGCGCCACTGCACTCCAGCCTGTGCGACAGAGCAAGACTCTGTCTCAAAAACATAAAATAAACCAGTAACATAGTTGTTCATTATCAAGTATTATATATTGTATGTAATTGTACATGCTATGCTTTTATAGAACTGGCAGCACAGATTTGTTTACACCAGCATCACCAGAAACACAGAAATGCATTACCCTAACATTACAATGGCTATGTCACTAAGCAATAGGAATTTTTCAGCTCCATAATCGTCTTATGGTACCAGTGACTTACATGTGGTTTGTCATTGACTAAAATGTCATTATACAACACATGACTGCATATCCCAGGGCCCAATGCCTGGCACACACAAAGCTGAGTTTCACTGGTGTAATTCCCACCCTATCCATCCAAGAATCCTGAAAGTTTAATGAAAGGGGCTCTGCTCCCAAAACCCTGTGGTATAAGTAGCTGGGAGGAGTTCGCCCAACTTGGGGTTGCAAGGACTCTTTCTTCCCACCTCTTTGCTTTCCTTTCTCTCCCCCAAACTTCTCTGAAAACCCTAAAGTTGGCAGAAAAATGGAGAATGTTTTCCCTACTAACAAAAAGAATCTTCAAGAGTCTCTTGGGATTTGTAAATGGTTGCATTTACTAGTCTGGTTTTTTTTTGTTTTGTTTTTTTGTTTTTGTTTTTGTTTTTTTTGAGATGGAGTCTTGCTCTGTCACCTAGGCTGGAGTGCAGTGGCACGATCTCGGCTCACTGCAACCTCCGCCTCCCAGATGCAAGCAATTCTCTTGCCTCAGCCTCCTGAGTAGCTGGGATTAAAGGCACGCACCACCACGCCTGGCTAATTTTTTTGTATTTTTAGTAGAGACAGGATTTCACCATGTTGGTCAGGCTGATCTCAAACTCCTGACCTCATGATCCACCTGCCTTGGCCTTCCAAAGTACTGGGATTACAGGCGTGAGCCACTGCACCCAGCCTTCTAGTTTCGTATTTTTCTTATTCAAGTAACAAGGAAAAAATAAATAACTCCACCAAGAGGAAAACAGAAAAAAGGAACAAAACTGATAGCATGACTGAAAAGGCCTGGGGTGGTACCTCACTTCAGGCATAGCTGGATACAGGCACTTATACAAGATAAGTCTCTCTAATCTCTCTGTGCTTGCTTCCCTTTGATTACTTCATTCTCATGCAATTCTTTCCACATAGTGGCCTGAGCAGCTCCTAACTCACATCTGCGCAAGAAAGCAGAGGCTGTTCCCCAATAGTCCCAGCCAAAGTCCCAGGACTGACTTTCACTGGACCCGTTTGGGCCACATGCCCTGCCTGAGCCAATCACCACATCCAGCCTGGCCAGACCTGGCTTTCATGAAGCCCCTTCAGGAAGCAGTTGGGGTCATCCCCTCCAGAAGGACATGGGGAAAACCAGAAAGTGGGAGGAGGGATGCTTCCTTCTGAAAAATAGGGATGCAATTACCACAAGAGGTATCAGACACAGGGCTGGCACAAACAAGAGCTATCCACGGCACCATCATGTAGGCATGCAGCTGGTCCACCATGAAGCAACCTGGCTGCTCCGCAAAATGGAATCACAGTTAATTCAGCCAATGAGAAATATCCCTCTACTTGGGTTCCCACCATTCACCCCAGGCCTGGCACGTCCCACATTTCCTTGGTCAAAGGCAAGCAAATTACCCGCCTTTTATGCTGCACAAAAAGCTGAAAAGATTATCTTACTTCTCTGGCTCAAGAACTTTCTATGACTCCCTCTGGCTACTTATGTGGCTCCCCCACCCTTAATGATAGAAGCCAACATTCATGAATCCCCTACCACATGCCAGGTACCTTATGACCTGCCTCCTCCAAACAGCATAGAAGAGGTTGGTACTCTTACCGCACCCATTTTATTAATATGGAAACAAAGGCTCAGCAATTTGAGGTAATTTACCAAGAGCCAAAGTTAGGAAGTGCAGAGTTCAGATTAGCACAATATTGTTCCCGCCATTGCCATCCCAGCTCCATTTGTTCATGTTTCAAAGTCCTACACCCACCTCTAGCTAGGGGCCAGTGGGAACAGCTCCATGGCAGAAGAAGCCTCTAGGAACCCCTTCAGCTTCTGCAGTGGTGGGGCTGGGGAGTAGGTGCAAAAGATACTTAGCTTTACCATCCTCTCCCATAACATTTTTTTTTTTTTTTGAGATGGAGTCTCACTCTGTCACACAAGCTGGAGTGCAGTGGTGCGATCTCAGCTCACTGCAACCTCTGCCTCCTAGGTTCAAGCAATTCTCATGCCACAGCCTCTGGAGTAGCTGGGATTACAGGTGCCCACCACCACACCTGGCTAATTTTTGTATTTTTAGTAAAGATGGGGTTTCACTATGTTGTCCAGGCTAGTCTCAAACTCCAGACCTCAAGTGATCCACCCGCCTCAGCCTCCCAAAGTGCTGGGATTGCTAAGCCACCATGCCTGGCCCCATCTCCCATAACTTAATGGGGTAGGGAAAAGAATTCCTCCAAGATAAAATTAAAGTGACGTTAGGAAAGGAAGTAGATGTTTGGTAACCTTCAATCAGCAGCTGATTTCTCCCATTGGTGAGTCAGTTAGTTTTCTATGGCCGCTGTAACAAATTACCACGAACTGATTGGCTTACAACAACACAGACTTAATATCTTATTGTTCTATAGTTCAGAAGCCTCAAATCAGTTTCACTTGGCTAAAGTCAAGTTGTAAAGGACTGATTCCTTCAGGAGGTTCTGAAGGGAAAACCCGTTTTCTTGCCTTTTTCTGCTTTTAGTGGTTACCTATATTCCCTGGATTGTGGCCCTTTCCTCCATTTTTAAAGCGTATCACTCCAATCTCTGCACAGTGCTATGGTTTGAATGTGTCCCCCAAAGTTCATGTGTTGGAAATTTAATCCCCAATGCAACACTGTTGAGAGGTGGGACCTTTAAGAGGAGATTAGGTCATGAAAGATCTTCCCTCATTAATAGAGTAATAATGTTATCTCAGCAGAGGGTTAATTATCATGGGGATGGGTTCCTAATAAAAGTATTGAGTTCAGCCCCCTTTCTCTCTTGATGTGATACCTTCCATCATGGGATGACACAGCAAGAAGACCCTCACCAGAAGCAGGCCCCTTGATCTTGACCTTCCCAGCCTCCAGAACTCTAAGAAATAAACCTGTTCTTTATAAATTACCCAGCCTCAGATATTGCATAGCAATACAAAAAAGACTAAGACACTCAGTCACCATCGCATTGCCATCTCCCCTGACTGCTGAGTCCCTCTTAAAAGAGCACTGTAGGCTGGATGTGGTGGCTCACGCCTATAATCCCAGCACTTTGGGATGCCAAGGTGGGCAGATCACGAGGTCAGGAGTTCGAGACTAGCCTGGCCAACATGGTGAAACCCCATCTCTACTGGAAAAACAAAAATTAGCTGGACATGTTGGCGAGCACCTGTAATCCAGCTGCTCGGAAGGCTGAGGCAAGAGAATCGCTTGAACCTTGGGAGGTGGAGTTGCAGTGATCCGAGATTGCATCATTGCACTCCAGCCTGGGCACCAAGAGCAAAAAACTCCATCTCAAAAAAAAAAAAAAAAAGCACTGTGATGGGACACTGGGCCCACAGGCAACATAGGATAAGTTCCCATCTCAAGATGCTTAATCACATCTGCAAAGTCCCTTTTGTCATGGAAAGGAACATAGTCACAGATTCCGGGGATTAAGTTGAGGACACTTTGGAGGGGCCATTATTCAGCCTGCCATGGAAGATATCATGAGAGGGAGTTAATACAAAATGCTCTGGAAACAGAGAAGGGCGGCCGGGCATGGTAGCTCATGCCTCTAATCCCAGTACTTTGGGAGGGAGGTGGGTGGATTGCCTGAGGTCAGGGGTTCAAGACCAGTCTGACCAACATGGTGAAAACCCATCTCTACTAAAAATACAAAAATTAGCTGGGCATGGTGGCAGGTGGCTGTAATCCCAGCTACTCAGGAGGCTGAGTCAGGAGAATCGCTTGAACCCAGGAGGCGTAGGTTGCAGTGAGCTGAGATTGCACCATTGCACTCCAGCCTGGGTGACAAGCATAAGATGATTGTCACCTTCATCTCGATTAAAAAAAGAAAAAAGAAAAAAGCAACAGAGAAAAGCTGGCTAACTCTCCACAGTGGGAAAAATGTCCCAGGAAACCACAGCCTCCACATTAAATATTCAAATGAGCTAAAACCCATCTAATTGGCAATCTCAGTCTTATTCCTTTAAACATGCAAACCACCTAAATTCCCAACAAACCCCCTACACCTGGCCAGCCAAGTCTCAGAATGCTTATATACCCTTTAATAGAAATTTTCAACCACCATCCCCATTTCCTAAGGAAATGGCTGTGTGCCCTCGAGCCTGCCTTGACTGAATCACCAGTGGCCTTTGAACCACGGCACTCAATTCATGGCATGGCCAGTGAGCTACAAAGTGTCCTAGCATCGACCAAGCAAAGTTATAAAAGCAGATTCAGTGGACAATAAGGAACATTAGCTTTAGAGTCAAAAAGACCTGGGTTGGGTCCCAGCTCTGCCATTTACCAGCTGCGCGACATCAGAAAAGTTACCTTCATCCTCCAACTTTGGTTTCCTCACCTGTGACATGACAGTGGCTAGAGGACCTCATAGAATCACTGTGAGGACAAGAGCAGCCAAGGGTAAGTCTTTGCACAGGGCCTCCCCGGTCATTATTGGGTCATCAAGACATAACCGTGCCTTATCTCCACTTCAAAAACCCAAACAGCTCTCAAAAATGAGTCATTGTAGCTCATTTGGAAGAAAAGACTGATATGAATCAATATGCAACTACCTATAATCTTTCTCTATCCCTCTTACTGTGAATATTTGCTGTGGAAATATTAACATGTTTGGTCTCCACTGGGGTAGGACTCCACATGTGTAGGACTCCACTGGGGTGCTACACATACACATAGTAGATATGCCTTACCACCTTCCGAAAATTGGGTAATTAAATTTCACAACTTATCTAGCCCAAAGGTTTCAGAGACTGTAGACCTGTATCTTTATGAGGGCAAGGATGAGAATATAACCTGGCCTGTTATTATGCACCAAGGTACCTGCTGTTCTCATGAAGATGTCAGCAGCCAGCCAGCCAGTCTCTACAAACTCCACCCCCAACCTCGCTATGCTCCTTTCCCTGGAACTTTCCAAGGGGCCCTTAGAATTTGCATTCAGCTCTCACAGGCTGAGACCAGGGTGACATCCTGGGAAACCTGCCTAGTGATAGCCAAGGTGTAGCTCCAGATGAAAGGCACACAACAACTTTAAATATAAAAAAACCATTCAGGCTAGGCATAGTGGCTCACGTGTGTAATCCCAGCACTTTAAGAGACCGAGGCAGGCGGATCACCTGAGGTCAGAAGTTCAAGACCAGGCTGGCCAACGTGGCAAAACCCTGTCTCTACAAAAAAATATAAAAATTAGCTTGGCATGGTGGCGCATACCTGTAATCCCAGCTACTCAGGAGGCTGAGGCACGAGAATCGCTTGAACCTGGGAAGCAGAGGTTGCAGTGAGCCAAGCTTGCACCACTACACTTCAGGCTGGGCAACAGAGTGAGACTCCGTCTCAAATAAATAAATAATAAAGCCATTCAACTAAAGAACCGATTATCAAGCAGAAGCACAAAGCCCAGGTTCCATCAGGTTTTTTATTGTACATCAGTGACTGTGAAAAAACAATTATTTCCATAATTAATATACAAACTATAAAAAAACAGACTCAAAGAAAAGAAAGATGACAGAGTGAAAGAAGGTACATTTCTTTCATGTTCAAACCACGGAGTTCACAACACAGCAGCACACACAGCCAGGCGCTTTGTGGTCTCGGCACCCTCGGCTTCCCCTTCACGAGGCCGCTTTTGACTAGTAGAAGGCTGAAAATAAAGGAAAATGGAGAAATATTCAAAAGAAAATCACTGGCTTCTTTAAGATTATCAAAGTTCCTCAATGTACTTCCAGTAAAGTGGGGGCATTTGATGTGAAATTCTAGTACCAAAAATTACTGGTTTTCATCATTGACAACTGAGTCCTCATCACAGCCCACAACTCAGACATGCTTATCTAATGGATATTTCTCTCCCTTATGGCTTCTGACCTCTGAATGATGTATACTGAAAGCAAGTAGCATAACCAACTTCCTCTTGATCATCCTCTTCTAAATATCAAGTTTAAAAGGACTACAATACCTCTCAGTTGAAGCCCCAAGTCTTGGTCTTTTGCGGGAAGACAACCTTTGTGCCTTAGTTGTTTTCCCATATACAAAATTGGGAGGAAGGCTGGGTGTGGTGACTCACACCTGTAATCCAAGCACTTTGGGAAGCCGAGGTGGGTAGGTCACTTCAGGTCAAAAGTTCGAGACAAGCCTGACCAACATGGCAAAACCCCATCTCACCTAAAAATACAAAAATTAACTGGGCACAGTGGCAGACACCTGTAGTCCCAGACACTCAGGAGACTGAGGCAGGAGAACTGCTTGAACCCAGGAGGCAGAGGTTGCAGTGAGCTGAGATTGCACCACTGCACTCTGGCCTGAGTGACAGACTAAGAGTCTGTCTCAAGAAAATAAAAATCGGGGGGGGGAGAAAACAGTGGGAAAAAGGACAGCTACCATTCAACAACAACAACAACAACAAAAAAGCAGGACTGGAATTAACTTATACTCACAAAGAACTTTAAAGAACAAAATTGTAATCAAGGAATCAACTACTGACCCAAATTTTAATTTTCCAACAAATTTATATTTGAGCCTCTAATAGAGTCTTTTGAAATTGCCTTGCAGGTGACCTTTTGGATGACAATCCCTAGCTGTGCTTATCTGTCTATTATGTGTTAGATATTAAACATATCCTGCAATTTTAAATCTAAGGGTGCTGGAGTGAATCAAGTTCAAACAGAGTTTCTACTACATTATAACTGAAACAATGTTAAGCAATTGCTACTCAGGAAAATCTTGAATTTCATCATCTTTGCTAATCAGCTCCTTAAGCCCAGACTATATTTAGTGATCATCAGGAATACGAATACCTGGGCTAGAACCTGAGATAGAGCTGTGGATTCATTTTCCTCAGACAGAAGATCTTGAAACTTTCTCTTCATGTCTTCATTCTGTGAGGGAATTAAAAACATAAGTAGCTGTGTCTGAAGGATAATAAACTCCTAGAATGACAGGGCTAGCATGCCCCTGTGGAAAGAGGGAGGAAAAGATGTCCTTCCAAGAATCATCCCCTTGATGAAGCTCCCACAGCGAAGGCATTATGTGTTGCCCCCCTCTACCTTCCCAGAGGAGTCCAATTAGCAGTCAATGCTCCATCAATCCTGGCTGACTCACATCCACATGCCTAAAAGCTCTCAGTGGGTCAATCACAGCCTCCAGCAGTCAAGAGTTTCTGAATTAACATCCCAGATCCTGAGAAAGGTGACAATCAGGGGGCCAGGGGCTGGGCCTGACTCCGTGCAGCTCCTCAAATCCTTCCGGGACCACTCTCCACCTGCTGCCCCTGCCATGAATGAGGCCAGTCACCCAGGCTGTCCTAACAACCAGCCCAGCACCCTAGGAAAATTCACCCAGCAGATGCCATACAAATTTTCAGAAGTACTTAAGGCCACAATATCCCAGAGCTCAGGTCTAATGAGAAAGGGAGACAATAAACATAACAAAGCATTACAGCTGTTTCATGCTGCAGGAGCGGGAGATGAGGAGGGCACAGACAGTGTGTATACGAGTAGCTCCCACCTCTCTGGATGCTTACTTCTGCAGGGTTCAAGGATTTGCATTAGGAAACCCTGAGAGGTGGTCTGGTGCAGCTCTCCCCATCTTCAGCAAGGTGAAAGGAACATCTATAAATAGGAATGTGGCCTTTGAGTGTTGGCCAGAAGCCCAGCTCAGCCACTCACAGGTGGCATGTGTGGAATACAGACCCAGAGTTATCTGATTCCAATGCCTCATGTACTTTCCCACCCAACTCCAGCCCCTCCTCCCACTGAGCCAAGCATACCACAGTGGGGAAAGGGAGAGGATACAGCAAAGTCCTCCACCATTTGGCAATTTGATGGATATGGAACTTTTACAACACTAGGTTGGGCATGGTGGCTCATGCCTATAATCCCAGCACTTTGGGAGGACAAAGTGGGAGAATTGCTTGAGGCCAGGAATTTGAGACCAGCCTGGGCAATATAGTGGGACTTTGTCACTACAAAAAAAAAAAATTAAAAATTAGGCCAGGCACGGAGGCTCACGCCTGTAATCCCAGCACTTTGGGAGGCCAAGGCGGGCAAATCACCTGAGGTCAGAAGTTTGAGATCAGCCTGGCTAACATGGTGAAACCCCGTCTCTACTAAAAATACAAAATTAGCCAGGTGTGGTAGTGCATGCCTGTAATCCCAGCTACTCAGGAGGCTGAGGCAGGAGAACCACTTGAATTCGAGAGGCGGAGGTTGCAGTAAGACAGGATCACACCACTGCACTCCAGCCTGGACAAAAGACTACGACTCTGTCTCAAAAAAAAAAAAAAATTAAATTAGCCAGACATGGTGGCATGCACCTGTAGTCTCAGCTACTTGGGAGGCTGGGGCAGGAGGATCACTTGAGCCTGAAAGTCATGGTGCAGTGATCATGCCGCTGCACTCCAGCCTAGGTGAGACAGCAAGACCCTGAGGAAGGAAGAAAGGAAAGAAGCAAGGAATTTAAAAGGGGGGGGATGAAAGAGGGGAGGGGGAAGGAAGGAGGAAGAAAGAAAGAAGGAAAGAAGGACCAGGCACAGTGGCTCACGCCTGTAATCCCAGCACTTTGGGAGGCCAAGGCGGGCAAATCACCTGAGGTCAGAAGTTTGAGATCAGCCTGGCTAACATGGTGAAACCCCGTCTCTACTAAAAATACAAAATTAGCCAGGTGTGGTAGTGCATGCCTGTAATCCCAGCTACTCAGGAGGCTGAGGCAGGAGAATCACTTGAATTCGAGAGGCGGAGGTTGCAGTAAGACAGGATCACACCACTGCACTCCAGCCTGGGCAAAAGACTACGACTCTGCCTCAAAAAAAAAAAAAAAAAAAAATTTAAATTAGCCAGACACGGTGGCATGCACCTGTAGTCTCAGCTACCTGGGAGGCTGGGGCAGGAGGATCACTTGAGCCTGAAAGTCATGGTGCAGTGATCATGCCACTGCACTCCAGCCTAGGTGAGAGAGCAAGACCCTGAGGAAGGAAGGAAGGAAAGAAGCAAGGAAGGAAAAAGGGAGGGGGGATGAAAGAGGGGAGGGGAAAGGAATGGAGGAGAGGGGAGGGGGAAGGAAAGAGGAAGAAAGAAAGAAGGAAAGGAGGACCAGGCACAGTGGTTCACACCTGTAATCCCAGCACTTTGGGAGGCCAAGGCAGGGCAGATCACTTGAGGTCACTCTGTTTTGAGTTACTCAGTGTAGCTCCCCATTGCCATTTGACAGCAGCAAGCTCATCTGGATTCCTCTCCGCACCCTCTCACAGCCTTACTTAGGATCTCAATTATCTTGCAGTGTCACTCTCAAAAGTCCATCTCTTGGAAGCCCTTCAGTGAAGCCAAACAGAGTGGTCACAAGCCTAATCAGGCCTATATTTAAAACAAGTAATCAGGACAGGCGCAGTGGCTCATGCCTGGAATCCCAGCACTTTGGGAGGCCAAGGTGGGTGGATCACCTGAGGTCAGGAGTTTGAGACTAGTCTGACCAACATGGTGAAACCCCATCTCTACTAAAAATACAAAAATGGGCTGGGCATTGTGGCAGGCACCTGTAATCCCAGCCACTTGGGAGTCTGATGCAGGAGAATCACTTGAACCCAGAGGTGGAGGTTGCAGTGAGTTGAGATCACACCATTGCACTCCAGCCTGGTAGGCAAAAGCGAGACTCCATCTCAAAAAAGGCAATAAATAAATAAACATTGATTTTCTTCATGATGTCTACAATTATTCCAAAATATTAAATTAGCCAGGAACAGTGGCTCGTGCCTATTATCCAAGCACTTTATGAGGCTGAGGCGGGAGGATCCCTTAAGGCCAGGAGGTCGAGGCTGCCGTGAGCTATAATTGCACCAGTGCACTCCAGTTTGGGCAACAGAAGAAGACCTTGTCTCCAACAATAAATAAAATAAAAATTAAATTATAATATCCCTTGAAAGCAAACAGAAGTAATCCTCTATTTCAGGCAGTAAATACGAGGCAGACAGTAGATGTAAGGGATGCTCCCAAAACTGGGCACTCTGTTAATGACAAAACAGAGACCAGAATCCACATTCCCAACACTCAGTCCAGCGCCAGACCCACAAAACCATTTGGTTTTTGTGAAAACACTGAATTTTCCCAAAATAAAACCCAAACTATCACTAACAGATGTTTTAGATGGTCAGTCTTCATCCTCGTCTTCATTCAATGCTCATTCCTCCTTTTACTGCAAAAACAAAAGGTGGCTAGAAGAGTATTCCAGGGAGATCCTGCAACAGAGATGAACTACACCTTCTCCTTGGTTGTTAATAAGTTTTCTTTGAGATGAAGAAGTACAAGAAAAATGGGCTGTGCTTGCTCATAAATTTCAGGCAGATGCAAACCCTGTTCCCAGGCTCAACAGGCCAGCTCTGTTTTTTTTGCTGGAGATGAACACAGCTCCTGTACCTCTACATTTAGACCCAAGAGTTTCCCTATTAGGACACATGAAAAGAGCCAAAAGACATGTTTCTCTTTTTCATCAAAATTAAAATCCCCACATGCAAAGGCACCCTTTGTTTCCAAACCCCTTTCCTCCAGGGTCCCACTGTTTCAAATCTGTGTGGTCTATTAAATGCTAAATCATCTGACAGATTTCTTCTGGGGAGACTATAGTTTCCAGCGCAACATCCAAAACACATATATCTGTCTTTTTTTTTTTTTTTAAGTTTTTCTTGTTCTCAACCTGAGCTGGCCTGAGCAAAACTGTTAGGTGTAGAGTATTAGAACAGAGAATGGGGACAGTCTTCCCAGAGTCCCAGAAGTACGGGGCTGAGGCTGGATTGCCCAAGGAGTTCCTGGACCAGTAATCCCCAGAGAAACAGCATTTAGCTCAAGTAACAGCCTTTAGCTCAAGCTACGAGTTCTGTCCCCCATCTCCACAGAAAACGGATTGATACAGTTTGGCTTTATGTCCCTACCCAAATCTCATCTCAAATTGTATTATCCTGGTGGTGAGAAAGGGAACTGTTGAGAGGTGATTGTCTCATGGGGGCAGTTCCCCCCAGGCTATTCTCATGATAGTGAGTTCTCATGAGATCTGACAGTTTCATAAAAGGCTCTTCGCCCTTCACTTCCTTCACAAGCTCTCTCACCTGCTGCCATTAAGACACGCCTTCTTCCCCTTCCACCATGATTGTAAGTTTCCTGAGGCCTCCCCAGCCATGTGGAGCTGTGAGTCAATTAAACCTCCTTTCTTTATAAATTACCCAGTCTTGGGCAGTTCTTTATAGCAGTGTGAGAACAGACTAATACACAGACCAAAAGAAAATTAATAGAAAGGGGCATGGCTGTGTTGAATGGAACTGCTCATTACAGAAGACCAGACATCTATCAGAACACCTGCCCAATGCCGTAGCTAATTCCAAAACTAAAGATTAATCCAGCAAAGCCAAAACGTACTTCCAACTCTTGGCAGTTCCAAATGAGGTCAGCATTTAATAATGGCAGCCCCAACCCCTAGCAGGAGCAGAGCAGTAACACAGATGAAAAGTGCAGGTGACGGCCTTCACTAAGGACACATTTACTCACCTGAATGAACAAGCAGTGGGACCCTTTATACCCAGTCACTTGGGCTCAAGAAATAGCTGGATTCTCCCCATGGAGGCTGCCCTCCTCCCCCTCCCCCACTTCCCCGATTTAAGGTTGAAGATGGTTGGAATGCACCGCACCTATGAAGACCAGTGGACATGGCTGGGGTTAGAGCCAGAACAAGCCCTCAAAAGAACACAGGCCATACTGGAGACTTGGGACAGCCAAGTGGAACCAGAACAGGACATAAAGTGAGCTTGTACATCCAACAGCCATGAGTAACATCGAAAAGGTTGTAGCCTAGCCAACACGGCGAAACCCCATCTCTACAAAAAATACAAAAAGTAGTTGGGCTTGGTAGCATGCACCTTTAATCCCAGCTGCTTGGGAGGCTGAGGCAGGAGAATCACTTGAACCCAGGGGGCAGAGGTTGCAGTGAGCTGAGATCATGCCACTGCACTCCAGCCAGGGTGACAGAATGAGAACCTGTCTGAAAAAAGAAAAAAAAAAGACAGGTTGTAACCCATCCTCCAAGATACCCCCCATACATCTAAAACAATTAGATTAAACAGACTAAACATGTTTCTGTCCTCTGTCTCATGTCTCTCAGGCAGCAGGGCTTCCCATGTATTTTATGCTAGCAGGCACTGTCCCACACCCTCCTGAAGCCACGGTGTCTTAAGGCTTCTTCTGTCATAAAACGTGCCTTTGGATCCACTACCAACAACTTCTTGACAAGGTCCAGAGCTAAAGCAACAATTGGGCAAATCACAGTGAAAAGTATAAATATATTATCAGTAATAGTATGCCAGAATTAACAGGTCACCATCCAGAAAGAGCAGAGAGGGTCTGAGATCATCAGGGAGTCAGCAGACAGGGCCCCCTAATCTTCCTCATTCTCTGTATTCAGAGTACTGTGAGAAGGCCAGGAATGATAATGACACTCCCTGTCTCCTGCTGCTGGGACATCATTCACGACCTCTTCACCGCCTGTTCCCTCTCCTGTTGCTAGACTCAAGGTCAAACTAATTAAAGCTAAACTTCTACCCAATTCTAAGATACTTGGGATGCACAGCAAACTCTCCCTGACAGATGGATGGGTGAGAGTTACTCAGCCAGGGAGAGGCTCCCTGGAACTGCAGACTTGTCAGAAATAAAACTTGACTACTCCAGCAAGCAACAAATGCACGCTGGCCTGTAAATTACAACATAATTATTCCTTAAATATTCTGACATTTAACACAATCACCTATGTTATGTTATTTAACATTCAAGACCTAGAATATTATATAGGCTAGTGAATATTATCCTTCATCTCTGGAGTATGAAAAGGAGCGTAACTGGTGAAATTGCTGGTTTTTTGTTATCTGACTAAGTGTATTAACCAAATCCAGTGAACGTTTCTGTCTGCATCGTATTCAAGATCTTTGCAGCTTTTGACGCCAATGATCACTCTCTTATTGAAACACTTGTCTTTTTTTTTTCTAATTCTGAGGCACTACTTACTGGTTTTCTTCTTCCCTCACTGCTTCTTCCTTTCTTGTCTTCCATATTCCATTCTTCTTTTCCTAACTTCTAAATATGAAATATCACTCAGGACTTAGACCTGAGCCTTTTCCTCTTTTCCTTTTATATAGTTTGTCTATGTGGTCTCTTCAATATCCAAGATATCATATTTATGCATGCAACATTCTAATTCAAACATTATCTGGCCAGGCACAGTAGTTCACGCCTGTAATCCCAGCACTTTGGGGGCTGAGGCGGGCAGATCACCTGAGGTTGGGTGTTTAAACCAGCCTGGCCAACATGGTGAAACCCCATCTCTACTAAAAAATACAAAATTAACCAGACATCATGACATGCACCTGTAGTCCCAGCTACTCAAGAGGCTTAGGCAGGAGAATCGCTTGAACCCAGGAGGCAGAGGTCGCAGTGAGCCAAGATTGTGCCACTGCACTCCAGCCTCAAAATATAAATATATATATATATATAAAATCATTATAGATATAGTTGAAGCTTCCTATGTACTATTTTCCAACCTCATTCCTCTCCTTTTCCTGGAGGTACCAGCTATGCAGATAAAAGCAGAAATTAATGTCAGTAGCAGTGTGTTCATCATGTGTCTATGCCTTCATGACAAAGGAAGTTTAAAAACTTGTGTTCCTGGCTTCTGCATTGGGAAAGTAGTATTAATAATGTTAGAAATTCTCCAAACATGGGGTGACTTATTAAAACCTGCTCAGGCCAGGTGCCATGACTGATGCCTGTAATCCCAACACTTCGGGGCACCAAGGTGGAAGAATCATTTGAAGCCAAGAGTGTGAGGCTAGCTTGGGCAACATAGTGAGATTTCATCTCTACAAAATAAAAACATTTTAAAATTAGCTAGGCATTGTGGTGTGTGCCTGTAGTCCCAGCTACTCAGGAGGCTAAGGCAGAGGTTCCCTAGAACCCAGGAGGTCAAGGATGCTGTGAGATATATGATCGTGCCACTATTCCAACCCAGGCAACAGGGCAAGACCTTGTCTCCTTAAAAATAATAAAATAAAATAAAAGCTGCTTGGGCAAACTGTTAAACGTTTGCTTCTATTCCTGAGATACCCAACTGGTCCAGAATTATTTTAGAATACATTACTAGATTTACTATTATTTTATTTTAGATGTTTGTATCTAAGCTTAGTTTGGCCTCCAATTTTCTTGGATTATAATGATCTTAAATATTTATATTGCATTTATGTTAGCCTCACAAAATGAATTGAAGGTGTTCCCTCTTTTTCCATACTCTGAAATTATTTTGATATGATAGTGCTTATTTATATGTTCTTTGAATGTTTGGTAGAACTTTCATATTAAAGTATCTCATACTAGTGGGTGTTTTCTATGAGAAAGTATTTACTGATTGAATTTTTAAAAATAGATACATGAATATTCATGTGTCCCATTTCTTCTTGACTAAGTGTTTATAAGTTATAGTAGCCAACGAAGTTGTTCATTTCACTTATGTTTTTAGACTGTTGTCATATAGTCATTTATAGTATTCACTTTATTATTTTTTCACTCATATTTTATCTTACACTTCATTTTTTATTCCTAATATTGCTTATTTACACCTTCTCTTTTTAATTAATCAATGTTACCAGAAGAGTGCCTATTTTATTATTCTTTTCAAAGAATCAGCATTTGGTTTTGTGAATCTTGCCTATTGTTTCTTTGTTTTATAGTTTATTAATGTCTATTTCTACTTTTAGCCTTATTTCCTTTAATTTATTTTATTTAGGTTTACTCCAATTTTTTTTTTTTTTTTTTTTTAGACAGAGTCTTGCTCTGTTGCCCAGGCTGCAATGCAGTGGCCCAATCTCGGCTCACTGCAACCTCTGCCTCCCTGGCTCAAGCAATTCTTCTGCCTCAGCCTCCCGAGTAGCTGGGATTATAGGCACCCACCACCACACCCAGCTAATTTTTGTATTTTCAGTAGAGACAGGGGTTTCACCATGTTGGCCAAGCTGGTCTTGAACTCCCGACCTCAGGTAATCCGCCCTCCTTGACCTCCCAAAGTGCTGGGATTACAGGCCTGAGCCACCATGCCCAATCTCTTTTTCTCTTTCTAAACTTCCTAAGGTGGACACTTAACTAATTTTCAGCCTATTTTTCAATATAAACATGTAAACATATAAATTACCCTTTCAGTACTGCCTCAGCTCTATCTCAGAAGTTTTGTTATGTAGTATTTCACATCCAAATATCTTCTGATTTTCATTTTCATGTCTTCTTTGACTGAAAAATTATTTAAGGTATGCCTTTAGTTTGAAGATGAAAGAAATTTACATTTTTTTCTCTAATAAATTGCATTTTGGTTACAGAGTATAGGCCACATGTTATAATGTTTGTTTATTTGTTGTGATTTGATTCATAGGCTAGCATAGGTTCAGTTCTCCTAAGACTTTATCAGGCTTCAAAGTATATATATATTCTCTAATTTGAGCATACAGCAGTCTATATATTTCCTTTACATTAAGCTTTTTAAATACAGTGGTAAAAATCTGAGATAATCTTACTACATTTTGATTATCATTGACTCAGAGGTTTAAGTTTCTTCAAAGTTGAGGATTTAGCCATTTTTCTTTGTAATTCTGCCAATTTGTGCTTCATATATTTTACGGTTGAATTGTTACATGCATACATGTCTTTACATAATGACTTTTATTCCTCAGAATGTTTTTTTGTCTTAAATTATAGTTTTTGATATGAAAATAGCTATATCAGCCATATATTGGTTAATATTTGTTTTATTTATCATTTACTCATCTCATACCTTCAGAATTTTGTGTCTTCATGTTTTTAACTATTACGGGTTATACCTGGATTTTCACATTTTTATCCAGTCTTCAAGTGTCTGTCTTTAACTAATTTAGATGATTTAAGTTTATTGTGGTTATGGATAAATTTATATTTACTTCTGTCATCATATATTGTGCTTTCTGTTAACCATATTATTTCTCCAATTCTTTTCCCCAATGCATTCTATTAGATTGATCAAGGTTTTTCCCCTTTATTTGTTTAAAAGTTGTATGTTCTAGTTCTATTCTATTCACAATTACCCTTGAAATGTAATATGTGTACTTGAATTAACAAGTAATTTAAAAAACTAATTGTAAAATTAAAATCACTAGTTTCATCTTGAAGGATGCATTAATTTTGATCACCCTCATTCATCCCCAACTTACTGTTTTCCAGTACTTTTGTTCCAATTTATATTTTATCAGCTTTTTTGAGGTATAATACACAGCGCACAAAATTTATTTATTCTAAATGCACATTTCGATGAGTTTTGGCAAATTTATAGAGTTGTACAACAATTACAAAAATTCAGTTTTTGAATACTTACATAATCTCAAAAAGTTTCCTCTGCTTATTTGCATTAAATCCTCACTCCCACCTACCCAAGTCCCAAGTAACAAATGATCTGCTTTCTTTATAGATTTGCCTTCCATGAAAAGTTACATAGATTGGCTGGGCACAGTGGCTCATGCCTGTAATCCTAGCATTTTGGGAGGCCAAGGCGAGCAGATCACCTGAGCCCAGGAGTTCAAGACTAACCTAGGCAACATGGTGAAACCCCATCTCTACTAAAAACACAAAAATTAGCTGGGCATGGTGGCGCACCTGATAGCTACTCGAAGGCTGAAGTGTGATGGATTACGTTAATTGATTTGCGTATATTGAACCAGGCTTGCATCCCAGGGATGAAGCTGACTTGATAGTGGTGGATAAGCTTTTTGATGTGCTGCTGGATTCGGTTTGCCAGTATTTTATTGAGGATTTTTGCATTGATATTGATATTGGTCATCAGGGATATTGGTCTAAAATTCTCTTTTTTTTGTTGTGTCTCTGCCAGGCTTTGGTATCAGGATGATGCTGGCCTCATAAAATGTGTTAGGGAGGATTCCCTCTTTTTCTATTCATTGGAATAGTTTCAGAAGGAATGGTACCAGCTCCTCTTTGTATCTCTGGTAGAATTCGGCTGTGAATCCATCTAGTCCTGGACTTTTTTTGGTTGGGAGGCTAATTAATTATTGCCTCAATTTCAGAGCCTGTTATTGTTCTATTCAGGGATTCGACTTCTTCCTGGTTTAGTCTTGGGATGGTGTATTTGTCCAGGAATTTATCCATTTCTTCTAGATTTTCTAGTTTATTTGTGTAGAGGGGTTTGTAGTATTCTCTGATGGTAGTTTGTATTTCCATGTGATCAGTGGTGAAATCCCCTTTATCATTTTTTATTGCATCCATTTGATTTTTCTCTCTTTTCTTCTTTATTAGTCTTGCTAGTGGTCTATCAATTTTGTTGATCTCTTCAAAAAACCAGCTCCTGGGTTCATTGATTTTTTGAAGGGTTTTTTGTGTCTCTATCTCCTTCAGTTCTGCTCTGATCTTAGTTATTTCTTGCCTTCTGCTAGATTTCGAATTTGTGTGCTCTTGCTTCTCTAGTTCTTTTAATTGTGATGTTAGGGTGTCAATTTTAGATCTTTCTTGTTTTCTCTTGTGGTTATTTAGTGCTACAAATTTCCATCTACACACTGCTTTAAATGTGTCCCAGAGATTCTGATATGTTGGGTCTTTGTTCTCGTTGATTTCAAAGAACATCTTTATTTCTGCCTTCATTTCGTTATTTACCCAATAGTCATTCAGGAGCAGGTTGTTCAGTTTCCATGTATTTGTGTGGTTTTGAGTGAGTTTCTTAATCCTGAGTTCTAATTTGATGGCACTGTGGTCTGGGAGACAGTTTGTTGTGATTTCTGTTCTTTTACATTTGCTGAGCAGTGTTTTACTTCTAACTATGTGGTCAATTTTGGAATAAGTGAGATGTGATGCTGAGAAGAATGTACATTCTGTTGATTTGGGGTGGAGGGTTCTGTAGATGTCTATTAGGTCTGCTTGTTGCAGAGCTGAGTTCAAGTCCTGGAAATCCTTGTTAACATTCTGTCTCATTGATCTGTCTAATATTGACATTGGGGTGTTAAAGTCTCTCATTATTACTGTGTGGATGTCTAAGTCTCTTTGTAGGTCTCTAAGGACTTGCTTTAAGAATATGGGTGCTCCTGTATTGGGTGCATGTATAGTTAGGATAGTTAGATCTTCTTGTTGCATTGATCCCTTTACCATTATATAAAGGCTTTCTTTGTCTCTTTAATCTTTGTTGGTTTAAAGCCTGTTTTATCAGAGACTAGGATTGCAATCCCTGCTATTTTTTTCTTTCCATTTGCTTCGTAGATCTTCTTCCATCCCTTTATTTTGAGCCTATGTGTGTCTCTGCACGTTAGATGGGTCTCCTGAATACAGCACACTGATGTGTCTTGACTCTTTATCCAGTTTACCAGTCTTTGTCTTTTAATTGGGGCATTTAGCCCATTTACATTTAAGGTTAATATTGTTATGTGTGAATTTGATCCTGTCATTATGATGTTAGCTGGTTATTTTGCTCATTAGTTGATGCAGTTTCTTCCTAGGATTGATGGTCTTTACAATTTGGCATGTTTTTGTGTGGCTGGTACTGGTTATTCCTTTCCATGTTTAGTGCTTCCTTCAGGAGCTCTTGTAAGGCAGGCCTGGTGGTGACAAAATCTCTCATCATTTGCTTGTCTATAAAGGAGTTTATTTCTCCTTCGCTTATGAAGCTTAGTTTGGCTGGATATGAAATTCTGAGTTGAAAATTCTTTTCTTTAAGAATGTTGAATATTGGCCCCCACTCTCTTCTGGTTTGTAGGGTTTCTGCCAAGAGACCTGCTGTTAGTCTGATGTGCTTCCCTTTGTGGCTAACCCGACCTTTCTCTCTGGTTGCTCTTAACGTTTTTCCTTTCATTTCAACCTTGGTGAGTCTGACAATTATGTGTCTTGGTGTTGCTCTTCTTGAGGAGTATCTTTGTGGTGTTTTCTGACCCTAACATCACAATTAAAAGAACTAGAAAACCAATAGCAAACACATTCAAAAGCTAGCAGAAGGCAAGAAATAACTAAGATCAGAGCAGAACTGAAGGAAATAGAGACACAAAAAACCCTTCAAAAAATTAATGAATCCAGGAGCTGGTTTTTTGAAAAGATCAACAAAATTGATAAACTGCTGGCAAGACTAATAAAGAAGAAAAGAGAGAAGAATCAAATAGACACAATAAAAAATGATAAAGGGTATATCACCACTGATGCCACAGAAATACAATCTACCATCAGAGAATACTACAAACACCTGTACACAAATAAACTAGAAAATCTAGAAGAAATGGATAAATTCCTCGACACGTACACCCTCCCAAGACTAAACCAGGAAGAAGTTGAATCTCTGAATAGACCAATATCAGGCTCTGAAATTGTGGCAATAATCAATAGCTTATCAACCAAAAACAGTCCAGGACCAGATGGATTCACAGCCGAATTCTACCAGAGGTACAAGGAGGAACTGGTACCATTCCTTCTGAAACTATTCCAATGAATAGAAAAAGAGGGAATCCTCCCTAACTCATCTTATGAGGCCAGCATCATCCTGATACCAAAGCCTGGTAGAGACACAACCAAAAAAGAGAATTTTAGACCAATATCCTTGATGAACATTGATGCAAAAATCCTCAATAAAATACTGGCAAACAGAATCCAGCAGCATAGCAAAAAGCTTATCCACCATGATCAAGTAGGCTTCATTCCTAGGATGTAAGCCTTGTTCAACATATGCAAATCAATAAATGTAATCCAGCATATAAACAGAACCAAAGACAAAAACCACATAACTATCTCAATAGATGCAGAAAAGGCCTTTGACAAAATTCAGCAACACTTCATGCTAAAAACTCTCAATAAATTAGGTATTGATGGGACATATCTCAAAATAATAAGAGCTATCTATTACAAACCCACAGCCAATATCATACTGAATGGGCAAAAACTGGAAGCATTCCCTTTGAAAACTGGCACAAGACAAGGATGCCCTCTCTCACCATTCCTATTCAACATAGTGTTGAAAGTTCTGGCCAGGGCAATTAGGCAGGAGAAGGAAATAAAGGGTATTCGATTAGGAAAAGAGGAAGTCAAATTGTCCCTGTTTGCAGATGACATGATTGTATATCTAGAAAACCCCAGTGTCTCAGCCCAAAATCTTCTTAAACTGATAAGCAACTTCAGCAAAGTCTCAGGATACAAAATCAATGTACAAAAATCACAAGCATTCTTGTACACCAATAACAGACCAACAGAGAGGCAAATCATGGGTGAACCCCCATTCACAATTGCTTCAAAGAGAATACAATACCTAGGAATCCAACTTACAAGGGACATGAAGGACCTCTTCAAGGAGAACTACAAACCACTGCTCAATGAAATAAAAGAAGATACAAACAAATGGAAGAACATTCCATGCTCATGGGTTGGAAGAATCAATATTGGAAAAAAACTACTTTAAAGTTCATATGGAACCAAAAAAGAGCCCACATCGCCAAGTCAATCCTAAGCCAAAAGAACAAAGCTGGAGGCATCACACTACCTGACTTCAAAGTATACTACAAGGCTACAGTAACCAAAACAGCATGGTACTGGTACCAAAACAGAGATATAGATCAATGGAACAGAACAGAGCCCTCAGAAATAATGCCGCATATTTACAACTATCTGATCTTTGACAAACCTGACAAAAACAAGCAATGGGGAAATGATTCCCTATTTAATAAATGGTGCTGGGAAAACTGGCTAGCCATATGTAGAAAGCTGAATCTGGATCCCTTCCTTACACCTTATACAAAAATTAATTCAAGATGGATTAAAGACTTACATGTTAGACCTAAAACCATAAAAACCCTAGAAGAAAACCTAGGCAATACCATTCAGGTTATAGTCATGGGCAAGGATTTCATGTCTAAAACATTCTCCCCATCACTTTCAAGTACACCAATCAAACTTAGATTTGGTCTTTTCACATAGTCCCATATTTCTTGGAGGCTTTGTTCATTTCTTTTTACTCTTTTTCTCTAAACTTCGCTTCTCACTTCATTTCATTTATTTGATCTTCCATCACTGATACCCTTTCTTCCACTTGATTGAATCAGCTACAGAAGCTTTTGCATGCATCATTTAGTTCTTGTGCCATGGTTTTCAGCTCCATCAGGTCATTTAAGGTCTTCTCTATGCTGTTTATTCTAGTTAGCCATTCATCTAATCTTTGTTCAAGGTTTTTAGCTTCCTTGCAATGGGTTCGAACATCCTCCTTTAGCTCAGAGAAGTTTGTTATTACTGACCTTCTAAAGCATACTTCTGTCAACTCATCAAAGTCATTCTCCATCCAGCTTTGTTCCATTGCTGGCAAGGAGCTGCAATCCTTTGGAGGAGAAGCGGCGCTCTGTTTTTTTGAATTTTCAGCTCGTCTGCTCTGGTTTCCCCCCATCTTTGTGGTTAGATCTACCTTTGGTCTTTAATGATGGTGACCTACAGATGTGGTTTTGGTGTGGATGTCCTTTTTGTTGATGTTGTTCCTTTCTGTTTGCTAGTTTTCCTTCTAACAATAAGGACCCTCAGCTGCAGGTCTGTTGGAGTTTGCTGGAGGTCCACTCCAGACCCTGTTTTCCTGAGTGTCACCAGTGGAGGCTGCAGAACAGCAAATATTGCTGCCTGATCCTTCTTCTGGAAGCTTCATCTCAGAGGGACACCTGGCTGTATGAGGTGTCAGTAAGTCCCTACTGGCAGCTCTGTCCATTCTCAGAGTTCAAACTCCATGCTGGAGAACCACTGTTCTCTTCAGAGCTGTCAGACAGGGATGTTTAAGTCTGCAGAAGTTTCTGCTGCCTTTTACTCAGCTATACCCTGCCCCGAGAGGTGGAGTCTACAGAGGCTGCCAGGCCTCATTGAGCTGCAGTGAGCTCCACCTAGTTCAGGCTTCCCAGCTGCTTTGTTTACCTACTCAAGCCTCAGCAATGGTGGACGTCCCTCCCCCAGCCCAGGCTGCCACCTTGCAGTTCGATCTCGGACTGCTGCACTAGCAGTAAGCAAGGCTGTGTGGGCATGGGACCTACCAAGCCATACATGGGATATAATCTCCTGTGTGCCGTTTGCTAAGACCACTGGAAAAGCACAGTATTAGGGTGGGAGTGTCCAGATTTTCCAGGTACCGTCTGTCACGGCTTCCCTTGGCTAGGAAGGGAAATCCCCGACCACTTGTGCTGCTTCCCAGATGAGGCAACGCCCTGCCCTGCTTTGGCTCACCCTCTGTGGGCCGCACCCACTGTCCGACCCGTCTCAGTGAGATGAACCAGGTACCTCAGTTGGAAATACAGAAATCACCTGTCTTCTATGTCAATTATCCTGAGAGCTGCAGACAGGAGCTGTTCCTATTCGGCCATCTTGGAACGATCCTCTCTTTTCATTTATTTAAGAAATATTTGAAAAGCAAAGATTTCATCATTTTGGTGAAGTCCAATTTATCTGTTTTTCTTTTATGGAACATGTTTTTGATATTATATCTAAGAAACCTTTTCTTAGTCTGAGGTCATAAATATTTTCTCCTATTTTTTTTTCCTAGAAGTTTTACAGTTTTAGCTCATACAATTAGGTCTATGATCCATTTTAGTTAATTTTCGTATATGACCTAAGGATCTAGGTTTAGTTTTTGTAAATGAATAACCAGTTCTTATAGAATCATTTGTTGAAAGAACATCTTTCTCCTATTGAATTGTCTTAGCATCTTTGATGAAAATTAATTGACTATTTATGTGGGTTGGATTCTGAACTCCACTTAGTTCCATTGATCTATCTATCTCTCTTAATGTGGATTCTACACTGTCTTAACTACTGTTGCTTTACACTGAATTTTAAAATAAGGCAGTATTAAGTACTCTAACTTCATTCTTACTTAGCAAGATTGTTTTGGCTATTCTAGGTATTTTTGTATTTCTATATAATTTTAAAATCAGCGTGTCAATTTTTCCAATCTTTCTAGACTTTTGGCAGGAATTTCAGTTAATTTGTAGATCAATTGACATCTAACAATATTGAGTCATCTAATCCATTAACATGATATATCTCTCCATTTATTTAGGCATTTATCTGAGTGATGTTTTTTAGTTTTCAGTGCAAAGGTTTCACACTTATTTTGTTAAATTTATTCCTAATTATTATTGCTATAGTTTGAGTGTCTCTACCAAAACGCATGTTGGAACGCTTAAGAGGTAGGGCCTATTGGGAAGTGTTTGGGTCTTGGGAGCTCTTCCTTTGTGGGAAGCTTGGTACTATTCTTACACTGGTGAGTGAGTTCTCACTCTTGTGAGATTAGTTCTCTCAGGAATGGATTAGTTACCATGAGAATGAATTGCTATACGGTGAGGTCAGGCTTCATGCTTGGCCTCCTGGTACTTGCCTACTCCCCTTTGACCTTATTCTAACATGTTGTGACACAACACTAAAGCTTTCACCAGAACCCAAGCAGATGCCAGTGTCATTCTTTCCAGCCTGCAGAACTGCAAGCCAAATATACCTCTTTATAAATTACTCAGTCTCCGGTATTCTGTTACAGCAACACAAAACGGACTAAGACAGAAAATTGGTACTGAAAGTGGGATGTTGCTATTTAGATTTTCAAAAATGCAGAAGCATCATTGGAACTGGGTAATGCGCAGAAGTTGGAAAAGTTTGAAGGAGCAGACTAGAAGAAGACTGTATTGCCATAAACAGAGCATTAAGGATAATTTCAGTGAGGGCTCAAAAGACAACAAAAAGATGAGAGAAAGTTTAGAATTTCTCAGAGATTGGTTAAGTAGTCATTACCACAATGCTGATAAAAATATGGACAGCAAAGGCCATTCTAATGAGATCTCAGATAGAAATGAGGAACAAGGTATTAGGAACTGGAGACCAAGTCATCCTTGTTAGACCATAGCAAAAATTTGGCTGTGTTGTTTCTAAGGCTTTGTGCCCTAAGGTTTTGTGGAAGGCCAAACTTAAGAGTGATGAACTAGGGTACCTGGCAGAAGAAATTTCTAAGCAAAATATAGAGCAGCTATGTAGTTACTCCTTACTACATTCAGTGAAATGCAAAATGACAATGGAAGCAAACACAAAAATTTGAAAATTAATAGCCTGGCCATGTGGAAGAGAATGAAAGAGCATTTTCAGGTGAAGAATCCAAGGGTGCAGCAGAACAACCAATACTAAAGAGATTAGCACTGAGAGAAGAAAACCAGTTGACAATTATTGAGACAATTTTTTTAAAGGCCCTGAAGACATTTCAGAAATTTTTGAGGTTGCCTCTCCAGAGGTCTAGGAGGACAGAATGGTTTTAAGAGACAGAACCCATGCATCACTGCCCTGTGCTGTTTTGAGATCCTGCTCCCCAAATTCTGGCACAGCCCTCAGCAGCCACCCAACCCATGGCACAATCATACTCAGGTGTGGCTCAGGCTGCCATTCCACAAGATACAAACCATAAACCTTGGTGACACACAGTCATGGATCAAGCAGCCTCAGATACAGCTCATGACAGCACTCTGGAGGGTGCAAGCGGTAAGCCTTGATGGCTTTTACAACCTTGTGGTACTATTTTTGCAGATGTGCAGAATACAAGAGAAGTGGAGGCATGGTGGCTGCCACCTAGATTTTAAGGAATGTACTGAAAAGACTGGGAGCTCAGGTGGAGACTTGTTGCAGGGCCAGAGCCACTGCAGTGTACCTCCCCTAGGGCAAAGCTGAGGAGAAATGTAGGGTTGGAGCTGCCACAAAGAGTCTGTACCAGGGCAATGCCCAGTGAATCCACGAAGTGGACCACCACTGGGACTCCAGAACTATAGAGCCATTGCCACCATGCAACCTCAGCCTGGAAAGGCCACAGGTATCCAACTCCAACCAGTGAGAGTAGCCATGTGGCTATGCCCAACAAAGCAATGGAGGTGGGGCTGCCCAAGGCTTTAGGGATAAAAACTCCCCACTGTGCCCAGGAGGTAGCACATAGAGTGGAGAATTATTCTGGAGCTTTAAGATTTAGTGTATGCCCTGCTGAGTTTTGCACTTGCTCGAGGTCTGTCACCTCTTTCTTCTTTTGGCTTATTTCTCCCTTTTGGAATGGGACTGTCTGCCATATGACTATTCCACCATTGTATCTTGGAAGTAAATAACTTGTGTTTTTTTATTTTTATTTTTATTTTACAGGCTCATAGCTAGAAGGAATTTGCTTTGAGTCTTATATGAGACTTTGGGCTTTGACCTTTAAATTGTTACTGGAATAAATTAACACTTTGGGGACCATTGAGATTGAATAATTACATTTTGTAGTGTAAGAGGGACATGAGTTTGGGGTTCCAAGGGTGAAATGCCATGGTTTCCGTGTTTCTGTCAAAAATCATGTTGGAACCTTTAAGAGGTAGGGCCTAATGGGAGATGCTTGGGTCATGCGGGCTCTGCCATTTTAAGCAGCTTCGTGCAGTCCTCATATAGTGAGTGAGTTCTTGCTCTCATGAAACTGGATTGGTTCCTGTGGAAATAGATTAGTTGCCCTGAGAATGGATTGTTATAAAGCAACCCATTGTACAAGGTTGTACCTTGTGTTTGGCCTCTTGGCACTTTCCCACTTCCTCTTTGGTCTTCTGCCATGTTGTGATGCACTGCTAAAGCCCTCACCAGAAGCTAAGCAGATACTGGTGCCATGCTTCTTGAACTTCCCAGTCTGGAGAAACATGAGCTAAATAAACCTCTTCGTACAGTCTCAGGTATTCTATTATAACAACATAAAACAAACTAAGACATTTATTTTTGATGCTATTGTGATTGGAATTGTTTTCTTTATTTCATCTTTGTATTGTTTGTTGCTACTATATATATAACCAATTTTTGTATATTGATCATATACTCTACAAACTTACTAAGCCCCCCTCTTAGTTCTAGTAAGTCTGGGAGGGGGTGTGGTATGTGGGTGTGTGTGTGGGTGTGTTCCTTAGGATTTTCTGCATACAAGGCTAACAATAAAAAGAGTTGTCTTTTTTCCATACCTTTTTTCCTTGACTATTGCACAAACTAAGACCTGTGGTGCATTGTTAAATAGAAGTGGTAAACACAGATATCTTTGCATGTTTCCTAATCTAGAGGGAAGCACATTCTTACCATTAAATATGTTGGCTATAGGCTTCTGGTAGATGCCTTGATCATTTGAAGAAGTTCCCTTCTATTCATAAGTTGATGAGATTTTTTTTAATGTATGATTGTTGAATTCTGTCAAATGCTTTTCTGCATCTATTGAGGTGATCATATGGTTTTGTCCTTTATTCTGTTAATATAGTTTATTACATTGATTTTCGGATGTTAAGTCAACCTCACATTCCTGAGATAAACTTCATTTGATTATGGTATAAAATCCTTTTCATATGTTGCTCAATTACATTTGCTAATATTTGGTTAAGAATTTTTATGTCTAGGTTCACAAGGGATATTGGTATATAGCTGTGTTTGCTTGTAATGTCTTTGTCTTGTTTTGATATCAGGGTAATATTGATATCAAATGAAATAAGGTTAGTTGGGAAGTTTCCTTCATCCTCTATTTGCTGAATAAAGTTTTTGTAACATTGGTATTATTTCCTCCCTTAGTAGTTTGATAGAATTCACCAGTGAAGTATATTTTTTCTCTATAGGAAGATTTGAAATTACTGATGCAATTTCTTTACTTGATATTGGTATTTGTTTTTTTTTCTTTTTCCTTGAGTCAGTTTTGGTAATTTGTGTCTTTCAAGGAATTGTTCTATTTTATCTAAGTTGTCAAATTTTTTGCCTTAAAGTTATTATGCTATTTTCTTAACATCCTTTTAAGGGTAGGGTCTGTGGTGATATTTCTCTTTGATTCTTGATTTTGGGATTAGTGTCTTCTTTCTTTTTTCTTGGTCAATTTAACTAAATATTATTTATCTTCTTGACTTTCTGAAATAAGCAATTTTGGGTTTCTTTGGTTGTTTTTAACGTTATCCTGTTCTGTATTTCTCGTTTTCCACTGTGACATTTTTATTTCATACATCCTACTTACTTTCGGCTTGGTTTACTCATCTTTTTCTAGAGTCTTAAGATGGAAGTTTTGATTATCAATTTTAGATTATTTTTTCTTTCTGTTTTTAAAGCTATACATTTTCCTCTATACTCTGCTTTAATTGCATCCTGTAAATATTGCTATGTTTTTGGTTTTTTGTATTTTAAGTTTATAACATTTTATTTATAAAAATAGGCTGGGGGAAAAGGATTTATACCACTGCATTCTTTCCTGGGGGAGAACTATTTTGGGCCATTTTTGAAATTTTTTTTCCTCTTAACAATTTTCAGAGTCACATTTGAATTCCTTCAGAATGGTATTTGTCAACAAAAAAGTTCAAGTGAAAAGGAGGAGGGAAACTGGGGAAGCATGAAGAAAGGGAGTGAGAGAAGAAGGAGTGGGCATACAACAGTCAACACATAAAGAAATGGTTTTTACTGAAATGACTCTGCCCTGTGCCTCATGCACTAGGTGATGCAAGCATGCTGCTCAGACATCAACACCAAATGTCATTTAGAAATGGTAGTCTTCTCTGGGTTCTGAAGGACACTCATTCCCCAACATGACACTATTAAATGATGCTTTCAAGGCAGACACTAAGACATTACTCCAAAGAGAAGGCTCTGGTGGCAGATGCTGGGGCCATATTCTTTATAGTCCTTCTTGGTGTGACAGACCTGAAATAACTCCAGAGTTGAGGCTAGCATTAAGCTTCCAAACCATAAGGCATAGTGCTGCATGTGACGGATTACCACCCGGACCTCTGTAAGCTTAGGTTTGATTATCCTGCCACTGAGCTCCTTACTGAGTTTTAATCTGGCATGTACCACTCTTCAAATCTCTCTGTAGTTGAGATTCATATCCCTGAATATGGCCAAACCCCTTGAAAGAACAACATTCTTATACAGTGGACAATGCACATCAATGGGACAGTTTTGTATTCATCAACAATATTCAAGATGGATTCCATAAAGTCTGGGTTGGCAAACTCTGGGTAAAAAAATATTTCAGGTTGCAGGAGCCTTTTGTAACCAACGTCTATTATGAACTTCTCCTGGTTGATCACATTGATACCTGTGTACTGTTTGATCCACTTCCAGGGATCCACATCATACTTAGCAAATTCCTTGACTATATCAGGGCAAAAGTAACAGTATTTCTCCTTAATGGCTTTTGTGGTCTCCAGTGACTGCTCAAGAGGGATTCCTACCTCCCTCTCCCTTAGCAGTTGTTGAATGAAATACACAGTATCACCTACAATCAGGATGTGATTGATGCAGCTCTCAATTACATAACCTTCTACAACTGGGAGAACAAGGGTGACTCCATCTCCTTTGTCAATGACTGTACTCATTAACATATATTCACCCACTTGTTGAGATGTCCAAGATACTTCCAAGGCTAGTACATCCTGAACTGCAATGTAGAATCCTGGTACATTAAATAGTTCAAACATAATTTCTGCAAAAATGCTCTGTATTTTCTAGTGTATTCAGTGGAAGTTCTGTCATTAAAAAATAATGGTCCTCAGATTCTGCTCAAAGATATTTAAAAACCACTTGCTCCATGAACCTTTCCATAATATCCCAGTCTTCAGTGATTCCATGTCATATTGACCACTTTGTAGCATACATATTTATCAATGGCTTCATCCTGTATGAAAAAGTCAAGGTCATCAACTCCCTTCAACATTCTCCCTTGGGCTTTGTCAACTACCTTTGCTGACTCTCTGATAGAAATGCATAAAAGAATAGTAAACTATGGCTCAGTGTTGCCTGCATAGCCAAGCTCAGAATATCTACTGAGGTGATCACAGGGCTGAGACCCAGAGCAGTGGGTACAACTCAATCTCCAGGTGTGGGCTGGATGTCAGGGGCTGAGAGCAAGGCAATGGAGGAGCCAGGGTGGGCACTGAGTGGCTCTTACCTGATGCCACAGTCTGCCACACAGGAAGGCAGGAACCCCGCCATGCTTGGAATACACAACACTTAGCCCCACTGGCCACCCTGGAGCACCCTGCCACCATCCACTTGGCAACCCACTCACCCCATACACCCTGTCTCCTGTGTGTTTCCACTTTTATTCATTTTAAGATATATTGTAGATAGGTGCAGCAAACCACATGGCACGTGTATACCTATGTAACAAACCTGCACGTTCTGCACATGTATCCCAGAACTTAAAGTACAATAAATTTTAAAAAAGGAATATTTTAAAGGATCAACCTACTATTTGGCAGTCATGGAAATAGTGAATGGGAATTAAAGGGAAAAAATAAGTAAGCAAAGGAAGGGAGGAGGAAAGGGAAAAAGAAAGGAAAGAAAAGGAAAAGGGAAATACAAGAAAAGGAGACAAATAAATAAATAAATAAACAAATAAGTGACTGAAAGTCTGAGAGTCGGCAAATACTATTCAGACAACACCGACAAAATAGGCCTCTTGCTAAAAATAGCAGAATGCACAAAGTACAGGAGCATCCTGTCTGTCCTGAGAGGCTGGGGAGGTTTAGGAAAAGAGGCTGGGGAGATTTGAGACAGGTCTGAAGTATGTAGTCAGTTTTTGCTTAGTGGAAAAAGTAATCATGGGTGATTCAGAAAAAGGAAGATACTTACATAATAATTGTTTTGTACCTTTTTTTAGTCTTCTATTACTTTCATAAAATTATCTTTGCATCAAAAATTATTAACACTTTCAGGACTCCTTGTATGCAAAATTCTTTGAATTGCATTTCTTAATTTGTGATCACACTGGTAATTTATCTAGCACAATGAACTGAATGTGTGTCTTTACGTTTAAAGGGAAAAATAAAATTCAAAACAGCATATTTGATATAATTTATGATTAGATAATAGAGAAATATAAATTTTAATATAATTTTTAGAAAGTAAAACTTAGACCAGTCACGATGGCTCCTGCCTGTAATCCCAGCACTTTGGGAGGTTGAGGCGGGTGGATCACCTGAGGTCAGGAGTTCAAGACCAGCCTGACCAACATGGAGAAACCCTGTCTCTACTAAAAATACCAAATTAGCCAGTACTAACGATTCATGAGAAATCTGCCCCCATGATCCATTCACCTCCCAGCAGGACCTATCTCCAACTTTGGGGATTACAATTCAACATGAGATTTGGGCAGGGACACATATCCAAACTATATCAACAGAGTTTCATTGTGTTGCTCGGGCTAGTCTCAAACTCCTAGCCTCAAGCAGTACTTCTATCTCAGCCTCCCAACTACCTTTGGGGATTATAATAATCAATCATCTTCACTTTTTACAATCTACTTTGGTTTAGTAATTTTTACTTAATTCCAGTGTTATATAGCAACTTTGATCAATGTATCTCTTATATGCTATGAACTCAGCAGTATTGTTATAGTTATTGCCTATAATAATCAGATGATTTTTTTAAAAAAAGAGATGAAATCAGAATACACACACACACACACATACAATCTTTTTTTTTTTTTTTAAGACGGAGTTTCGCTCTGTCGCCCAGGCTGGAGTGCAGTGGCGCGATCTCGACTCACTGCAAGCTCTGCCTCCCGGGTTCACGCCATTCTCCTGCCTCAGCCTCCCGTGTAGCTGGGACTACAGGCACGCGCCACCATGCCCGGCTAATTTTTGTATTTTTAGTAGAGACGGGGTTTCACCATGTTAGCCAGGATGGTCTCGATCTCCTGACCTCGTGATCCGCCCGTCTCGGCCTCCCAAAGTGCTGGGATTACAGGCGTGAGCCACTGCGCCCGGCCCACATACAATCTTTTATACTTACAAATTTATTTACCATTTCCCGTGCCATTTATTCCTTATAGGTTCAAGTTGCCATCTGGTGTCATATCCTTTTATCTTAAAAGCATTTTCTTTAGTGTTTCTTTAGCAAGGATAAGTTCTCTTTATTTTTATTTATCTGGAAATGTCTTTATTTCAGCTCCATTTTTGAAGGATCATTTAAATGGATACAGAATTTTTAATTGACAGTTATTTTTCCCTCCACTTTTGAAATGTCGCTTCATAAGGCCTCCATTTTTTTCAGATAAAAATGCCAGTATTGATAATATTATTGTTCCCCTGTATGTGATAAGTCATCCCTTGCTACTTTCATGATTTTCTTATTATCCTTGGTTTTCACCAATTTGACAAGGATGGCTCTAGGTGTGAATCTCTTTGTGTTTATCCTACTTGAGATTTGTTGGACTTCTTATATCTGAAGATTAATGTTTTTCGTAGCATTTTTGAAGTTTTCAGACATTATGTTTTCAAATATTTTTCTGTCCTCTTATCTCTCTCTTCTCCTGGAATTCCCATTATGCATATGGTAGTGCTCTTGATGGTATCCCATAAGTTTCTGAGGATCTCTTTATTATCCTTCATTCTTTTTTCTTTTTGTTCTTCAGATTGATTAACCTCTACTGGTCTATCTTCAAGTTCACTGATACTTTCTTTCACAAGGTCAAATATGCTATTGAACCTCGTTAGTGATTTTTTCACTTTAACTGTTGTACTTTTCAATTCTAGATTCTATTTTTAAACATATTCTGTCTCCTTATTCATATTCTCTATTAGACAGCACATTATCATATTTTTAATTTGAACATATTTATAATATATACTTTCAAAACTTTCTTTCTAAATCCAATATCTGAATTGAGACAGTTTCTATTCACTGCTTTTTTTCCAGAGTATGAGCCATATTTTCCTGTTTCCTTACATGTCTGATAATTTTTAATTGAAAACTAAACACTTTAATTACACATTATAGCAAATCTGGATTTGGTTTTTATTTGTTATTGTCTTTGTTGTTGTTATGTTTTGGTAATTGGCCTATACTTGTGCTGTGTAATCCTTCTGCCCAGTGGTTTTCAGCATTGATGTCTTTTATATTGTGTTGTTGTTGTTATTGTTGTTTTAGCCTGTCTTTCTAGGGATTTCCTTTGTGTCTGTTGCATAGCTTGATTTTTGAGAGACATTATATTAAAGCTAGTAAGGCTTCCACTCTCTGCCAAATAATCTGTGGGTGGGTGGGTGAATGCATTCAAAGTTGCAATTAATACTCAAGTCTTACTTCATTTTTACTTTTTGTCATACTATCTTGAGTCTTTCCTGCACTTCCATACTTTTCCAATCGGCAATACGTGTGGAGAACTTTTCTCAAACTTTTTATGATTCTCTCCTTTCCAGGATTTCTCTCTCTCTCTCTTTTTTTTTTTTTTTTTAGTAATACTCAGGTTTTTAATTTATTATAGTGAATGGATACAAAGCAAAATTAGCAAAGGGAAAAAGTTGTATGTGGTAAAGTCTGGAGGATACCAGGCATGAGCTTCCTGGAATCATCTCCTGTGGAGTTACAAGGATGTGTTTCTCTTTCCCAGCATGAAATTTTGACAGCACATGTGCAATGTCATCTACCAGGACCAGAGTCTCATTAGAGACTCAGTTCTCAGGATTTTACGGAGGTTACTCTCCTTCACATGTACCAGAATTCCAGACTCTCAGAGGAAAAGCAGCTGTTCAGAGTAAACCACATTGTTTGTATAAACAGTTTAGGCATAGTGAGCCACTCTTCTCAGTGAGAGAATTGGAACTTGGAACTGGAAAACTCTAGCCTAGCATGTGGGTCTTTCTTTTCTTTCTTTCTTTCTTTCTCTTTCTTTCTTTCTTTCTTTCTTTCTTTCTTTCTTTTTTCTTTCTTTCTTCTTTCTTTCTCTCTTTCTCTCTCTCTCTTTCTTCCTCTTTCTTTCTTTGTTTCTTTCTCTCTTTCTTTCTTTCTTTCTTTCTTTCTTTCTTTCTTTCTTTCTTTCTTTCTTTCTTTCTTTCTTTCACTTTGAGTTCCAGGATACATGTGCAGAACATTCAGGTTTGTTACACAGGTATACATGTGCCATGGTGGTTTGCTGCATCTATTGACCCTCAGGATCTCTCACTTAAATTTTTGTCTTGTCTTCCACTTCCCCAGTTGAAACTGCAACCTCAGACTAGCAAATCTGCAATTCTCTCTGTTCATTCCCAAACCACTCTGCTATATTTAACTGGCAAAACCATTGATTTCTTCCCTCTGCTCCATACCAAATCCACCCGTGCCCCCAGCCCTAACAGGAAAGCTGCTGGGTTTTACATCCAGCTTCAAACTGGTAAAACTACAGTTTTCCCCAACTGAGCTTGGGGGTGAGAAGAGAGATGGGAGTGTATTAGTCTGTTTTCATTCTGCTAATAAAGACATACCCAAGACTGGGAAGAAAAAGAGGTTTAACTGGACTTATAGTTCCAGGTGGCTGAGGAGACCTCAGAATCATGGCAGGAGGTGAAAGGCACTTCTTACATGGTGGTGGCAAGAGAAAATGAGGAAGTTGCAAAAGCGGAAACCCCTGATAAAGCCATCAGATCTTGTGAGACTTATTCACTACCACGAGAACAGTATGGGGGGGAACCACCCCCATGATTCAATTATCTCCCACGAGGTCCCTCCCACAACACATAGGAATTATGGGAGTATAATTCAAGATGAGATTTGGATGGGGACACAAAGCCAAACTATATCAGGGAGAAACCCCCGTCAGGAAGGGCTCAGACTTTTACCAATCCTACCCAAAACCCTAACACTTTTTTCAAGAATAAATGCTTCTTAAATTTGATAACTGCCTTTGATGAGTTTTCAGGGTCCTGAAATTATTGTTTTTGGTATTTCTGCAATTTTTGGGGGGAGTTTTGGTGTGGAAATAAATTGCCAACCTTTTCATGTCACTTCCCAACCTTATCTTTATATCCTCTGATTAACAATTTTCATTAGTAATGTGTTACACAACAAATACTTGTTTAGACTAACCTACATTTTACCAATTTCTTTGCACATTGTTCCATCTTTTCTGGTTCTATGTCATATTTCTAAAGCATATCTTTCAGTAGATTTTTCCCTGGTAAAAAATGGCATATGTTCTTAAATGTATTTGTTTGACAATATCTTTCATTTGTCTTTTGTTCGAGTGACAGTTAACTGGCTACAGAATTCAGCACTGAATGTTTTATTTATCTCTGTACTTTGAAGACTTTATTTAATTATCTTCCAACTTCTATTGTTGCTAAGAATTGAGAATCTGCTCTATTGTTTATTCAATTATGATTAATCTCTCTTTCTCTGTCTAGATTATTTAAGATTTTATTTTTGCCTTTGGTAGTCTATAGTTTCTCAACATTTTATCTAAGTATCTATTTTTACTTAATCATGATTAGAACTCATTTGACTTCCTGTGTCCAAATCAATAAAAACCCTAATCAATTCTGTAAAATTTGAAGCCAGTTTTCTTCTCAAATATTATATCTTCTTCATTCTTTCAATGGATGTTTCTGAAACTACCATTAGTTGTGTTTTAGATCTTTTCCATAATCTAAATCTCTCATTTTCCACCTCGTTTTTTTGTGTGTGTGCTATGCTCTTAAATAATTTCCTCATATCTACTACTTTGCTGTGTTCTCTCTTCAGCTTTGCCTAGATTGCTATTTGGGTACTTAGTGGGTTTTTTTCAGTTGAGTAAATTTTAAAGTTTTTTCTAGATGTTCTATTTAATTATTTTACAATACTTTCAAGTAATTTCTTCTTCTCATGTCTCCAATTTTTAAAAATTTTCTCTAGTCCCTTAGAAAATACATATTTTATAGTGTCTATCTAGTGGTTCTATTAGCTGAGGTTTTTAGACATCTAATCCCATTCTTTATTGTATCTGTTAACTTTTGCTCATGGGATATTTCTTCTTATTTTAAGTTCAGATTCACTTGGCTTTACCTTTGAGACTTTATGCAGTCTGGGATCAGGTGTGTCTATTAGAGATTTTTTGAATTAGCATCTACTAAGTTTTCTAGGGATACTTCAATGCAGGGACACTTTTATGGTAGGTTTAGAACTTTGGGATCCCTAACCTGTGCACGTAATGTAATTTGAGCCCTACGCATAAGTTGGATGAGGCCAGTTTTACATATGAATTCTCAAAAAAGACTTTGCCACCCAGAGACCAGCTAAGACAAACTGCCTTGTCTTCTCAATTTGTCAGTAGGATGACATTTTCTGGTCCGTGTTTTTTATTTTTGTTTTTTGTTTTGTTTTGTTTTCTTGAGATGGAGTTTTGCTCTTGTTACCCAGGCTGGAGTGAAGTGGCGCCATCTCAGCTCACTGCAATGTCCGCCTCCTGGGTTCAAGCAATTCTCCTACCTCAGCCTCCCAAGTAGCTGGGATTACAGGCATGCACCAACAGGCCAGGCTAATTGTCTCTATTTTTAATAGAGACGGCTTTTCACCGTGTTGGTCAGGCTCATCTTGAATTCCTGACCTCAGGTGATCCACCCGCCTCGGCCTCCCAAAGTCCCGGGATTACAGGCGCGAGCCACCATACCCAGCCTGGTCCATTATTTTAGTAAGAGTTTAGCTCTCCAAGGCTTCCAGTTTTGCAGGATGACAATAATCAGAGGGGAGGAGGAAAAAAACTTTGTTCTAACTTTCTGCCTGGAGTGAGTCAAAATCCTCCTCCTCTACCCTGGCAAATTCTATACAGCCAGAAAGGGTCCATAGCTAAAAAGTTCATGTAAGCTGTTTTAAGAATATTAAAAGCATTAGCAATTATGATTCATAGCAAATAAAGGTAGCCATTTAATTAGCAAATGGAAATTTACCATGTTATTGTCTGTCCTTTACAGAAACCTGTGGATTCCTCAGTGAGTAGCACCTAGTTGTCAGAAACAAGATGTCTAGTAACTTATACCTACTCATCTTAATCTACCTCTACCTCCTACACATAATCTAAAATACTTTATATTTATTCCCACAAAATCTAGGTTCATTTCTTCCAGCCATTTCCTCCTATAATACATTTATGCCAAATATCAGTTGAATTATCCTTTCAATAAAAAGATTTAGCAGGTTCCTGTTAAAAGATTTGGCACCTTGACACTGTGATCTTCAATAATGTTGTGAATTCTTATCACAGCCAATCATCCTCTTATTTTCCATCCTGATGAAAAAGCTATTTTAAAATATAAAATGAAGTAAATCTCATCATATTGCCATGATGTTTTTAACTATCATATATTATAAGTTAACATTTTCAAGAGTTCACATATAGGTTTTTTTAAATTTTTTTAATTTTTTTATTGAGACTGAGTCTCACTCTGTCACCCAGGCTGGAGTGCAGTGGCACAATCTTGGCTCACTGCAACCTCCACCTCCTGGGTTCAAGCAATTCTCCTGACTCAGCCTCCCATATAGCTGGGATTACAGGCACGCACCACCACGCCTGGCTAATTTTTGCATTTTTAGTAGAGACGGGATTTCACTGTGTTGGCCAGGCTGGTCTCAAACTCCTGACCTCATGTGATCCAGCCCACCTCAGCCTCCCAAAGTGCTGGGATTAAGGCGTGAGCCACTGCACCTGGCCCACATATAGTTTTTAAATATTTTTAAAGTGAAAACACTTTGTTTAAAACCTACTTCATAAATTGACAGGTTATTTGGAATATATGTTAAGCAGATATCTCTTTCACCAAACTAGTAAGCAATGTTGATCTATACCATGTATCATTTTATAGAACTGGCTATTAGTATATATGATAAAAGAGAATTGATCATTTGTTTGTATACATCTATGTGTATATAGATATATAGCTGTACACTTTTTTGTATTTCAGGAGTTACACTGTTTGTGATATGGTGTATGACCTGGTCAATCTTAGGCTCTGAAGCTCTCCCTAGTGGAAATTTATTTGGATTGTTAATTATTTTTTATAGTGCCATTATTGGGGGAAAAATTTTACAACTCATTAGAATACCTTTAGTGCCTCCACTTCCACCTCTTCTTGGTAAGTATATAATTAGCTCTCTTTTCTTTATTATTGATTATATGCAAATTTTGAACATTTTCTTGTTGAATTAGTTATAATTCAGAAATATTTCAATGTAGTATGTTTTATATAGTTTCTTCATGTGTGTATTTGCTGTATGTGTGTGTGTGTGTGTGTGTATAGCTCTTTTATAGGGGCATTTATTTCTCTCTCTGTCTACATATATACACACACAAGTTTTATCCAAAATTTATTTTAAAAATAAATTTAATATCCTTAGTACATTATTCCTGTTGCTTTATTGTTTAATAGAATCTTTAAAAATTTTAGATTCACGGAGTACATGTGCAGGTTTGGTACATGGATATGTTGCATAATGGTGAGATTTGGGCTCTAGTGAACCCATCATCAAACAGTGAATACTATACCCAATAGGAAATTTTTCAACCTTAACTCTCCAACCCTCTCTCCTTTTGGACTCCTCAGTGTCTATTATTTCCATCTTTATGTCCATATGTACCCATTGTTTAGCTACCACATATAAGTGAGAACATGTGGTATTTGAGTTTTCTGTTTCTGAGTTATTTCACTTAGGATAATGGTGTTCAGCTCTATCCATGTTGCTACAAAGGATATGATGCCATTCTTTTTTATGACTGCATAGTATTCCATGGTGTATATGTAACACATTTTCTTTATTTAGTCATTTAAGTTGATTCCATGTCTTTTTATTGTGAATAGTGCCACAATGAACATATGTGTGTATATGTCTTTATGGAAGAATGATTCACATGTTGAACCATCCTTGTATTTCTGGAGTAAAACCCACTTAACTATATTATCTCTTTGATGTACTATTGAATTGATTTTGCTAGTTGAGAATTTTTGCATCTCTGTTCATCAGGGATATTGACCAGTAGTGTGTGTGTGTGTGTGTGTGTGTGTGTGTGTGTGTGTGTGTGGCTTTGCCTGATTTGGGTATAATTGTGATACTAGATTCGTAGAATGTGTTAGGGAGGGAGTCCCTCCTTGATTTTTTTGGATTAAGTTTCAGTCACCTTTGACCCTGAACTAGTATTCTAGTGGATTGTACAATGACCCTGAACTAGTGGATTGTACAATGAATAAATGAATGAATATAAATTATTGCAAAATAAAATTTTGTTAAGTATATGATAACCATACAAATGCAAGACAATAAACAATGTGATGTGAAAACTCTCAGCCAGCCTACCATATTTGTGTTTGTTTTTGAACTGTATAGTGGGAGGAGGTGCTCCTTACAATTTTCACTTTGTAAACATTTATTCTTTGATTTTAACCATCACTGCTATAACCACCGTCACTCGTGGATTCATCAAAAATTAAGTAAAGAATTATCTTATTTATTTTATAAAACTTTGTAAAATGTATGTAGAGCTCAAATTTATTTCATTGTTTAATACTAGAAGTGTTTTGGATCTTTATTTAGAAGTTTGATGATGTTTTGTGACCAGAAATATGCTGTAGGAAATTGACTCTTGTTCATATCATTTAGACTATGCTAAAATTGGTTTTATTATATACCATTTTACTCAAAGTTGCCATTTCCAATCACCTATCGACGATGCTGAGTGAGAACTTACTGTATTCAAATATATCTAAATATTCAGTACAGTGGGCCAGGCATGGTGACTCATGCCCATAATCCCAGCAGTTTGGGAGGCCAAGGCAGGAGGATCACCTGATCCCAGGAGTTCAAAACCAGCCTGGGCAACATAGCAGACCTTGTCTTTACAAAATATTAAAAATTTTTCTGGGTCTCAGCTACTCAGGAGGCTAAGGCAAGAGGATCACTTGACCTCAGGAGGTTAAGCCTACAGTGAGCCATGTTTGCATCACTGCACTCACCTTGGGCAACAGAATGAGACCCTGTCCCCAAAAATAAATATATATTCAGTACACTGTCAGTAGAGATAATCTCTACATCTTATCCCTGCTGTCCCTTCTGTATCCACAGTTTTCTTGCAGCACCTTCTAAGTATTTATTGAATCATTTTCCTCCTCTCCAAACTTTCTCTTTTGCTCTAGCTTAGGCTATTTGTTTCCAACTTTTGCGTGGACTGTGACGGAGCCTTCAATTTGGTCTCTGTCTCCAGTTTTATCCCTAACTAATTCACCAAGACCCTCATATAAAAATCGCAAGACTCATTATATTACTTCCTGCCTAAAACCTTCCCATGGTGCCTTACTTTGCCAAAGTGGGGGGAGACCTTTCTATGATCTGGCCCACCAAGCTCATTCTCCTCCCTCCTTTCCTTGCCCTGTATGTTCCAGCAACACTAAATTACTTGTTGAACCCCATTTAGGTGTATTGTTTATCGCCATTCCTTTATTCATGCTGCCTTCTCTACTTGCTTGTAACCTGCCCTTTACCAAAATAATGAGAGACATAGTGCATTAGAAAATAAAGTAAACATTTCTGTTTTCTTTCTCAGAAAAATGAACTGTCATGTATGTTTATTTTCTTTCTTTTAAGGGATGTTACTGGCTGGATTTACAATTAGGAATGTTCCATTCATCAGTGAACACGTCCATGTTCCTAACGCATGGTCTTCAATTTTAAGAAGCATTGCCCTTAACATTATTCTAATACGAGCTGGGCTTGGACTCGATCCACAGGTAGATTTACAATTACAAATCGAGTAAGGTTATTTCAAATATTAGAGGATGGTGAGAAAGAAAAAGAAGCAAAAATTGTATTTACCTGTTCCAAGTGGAGTCTGTAAACAAACCTAAGATAAAGAAAAAAAGGCCGGGCATGATGGCTCATGCCTGTAATCTACAAAAATTAGCCGTGCATGGTGGCATTTACCTGGTAATCCCAGCTACTCGGGAGGCTGAGGCAAGAGAATCGCTTGAACCTGAGTGACAGAGGTTGCAGTGAGCTGAGATAGTGCCACTGCAATCCAGCCTGGGGGACAGAGTGAGACTCCGTCTCAAAAAAAAAACAAAACAAACGTTTTATAAGAAAAACTTTATACAATTCTTTTTCTTTTTTTAGGGAGATTAAGGATTTCAGTAATTTTTTATGACGTTTTCTCTACAGGATTATGTTCCTGATTATCTTTGCATTATTGTAAAATCTAATCTTTTAAAGCATTTCTTAAAATATTACATGCTAGGGATCATAAATCCCATCTATAAGAAGATGACTATTCATGAATGTGACAGCCACTCAAATAAATGTGGCAAATGTGGTTTAATAGAAATAGCTCAAGAGCATAAATAATTATAGCCAATGAGATTATATTCTCCAGCAGAAAGTATGAACCAAGGAGAAAATTGAAAAGTTCTCCCTTTTAAAATGAATTATGCAGTTTTTAAGTTATTTTCTTTGGCATGTTAGTGTTGTATTTATACTTATTAAGTTAATCAAAGAGTTCATATCAAAAAGTTAATGGGAAAACACTACAAGGACACTATTATTATACTATGTATTAGGAAAGTTCAGGAAGGTAGCATTAGCTATTTAATCACAGTAAAATTAATATTTTAATAATTAAAATACAATAATATTTTATAAAAGATGAAATTGTTTATAATCCAACATATGATGACTTATAAAATATAATAGAGATCAAAGTCCAGTGGGGCAATCTGTTGAAATGAGATTTTGTTTAGTGAAAGCTTCTTATGAAAAAAGACTTTATAGTCCAACATTTGTTAAAATAATTTTCTTGTTGGCCACTGTAAATGCATCAAATGTGACTGTTTTGTGTTTCAGGCTTTGAGACATTTGAAGGTGGTTTGTTTCAGATTGGCTGTAGGTCCATGCCTTATGGAGGCAAGTGCAGCTGCTGTTTTTTCCCACTTCATTATGAAATTTCCCTGGCAATGGGCAATTCTATTAGGGTAATTTCTTTCTCATTTTTTCTTATGAAAATATTCAATTAAGGATGCTTGTTTAAAACTGTTAAAACATTCAGAATATTGTATAGAAAATCTCTATTAAAATTCATTTCACAGTGTTAAAATCCTTGGAAAGCAGTTGATTAAAAGCAGAGAATGTCCCAAATTGCACGAAATTTTTTTAACAAACATTCATAGCCCCTAAATGTTTATCATAAAGAAAATTCACGTGATCAATTTATTCCTTTTCATCTGTATTATAACATATCTGTATGTTTTAGTCTATCTAATGGCCTCTTCCTCATAGCTATATGTAAATACAGTTGCACATTTCATATATATGTATGTGTGTATATATATATTTGAGAAACATTTTATATAGACATAGGTGTATAAATATAAACTCTCCCATTTTAAAGAAAGCAAGCAAACAAAATCTCTTGCCGTATATCCAATGCCCCATCCATCTTTATTTACCATCCATTTATCTTATGTTTGAATTCCTCAAAATAAGTCTATAACTACTGTCTCTAGATCCTAACTCCTTTTCATTTCTTAATTCATCAACTTTTGTCTCTGCTTATCCATTCCAATGACACTCATAGCAAAGTTCATCCATTACATAGTTACTACAAAATCCAGTGAATTTTTAAATTAATGTTTATGATTAAATACTCAAATGCACTTTTATTTTAAAAATTAGAACTTTATAAATAAAGGAGGAATGACCTTAAACTATGCCTTCAAATCATAATGCCTGTAACTCTACCCAAAGTGACAACTCTTAGGAGTTTTTTTCTTCTCCAATTTTTATTTTGGCTCAAGGGGTACATGAGCAGGCTTGTTATATGGATAAATTGCATGTCACAGGGATTTGGTATGCAGATTATTTTGTCACCCAGGTTGTAAGTATAATACCCAATAGGTAGTTTTTCTATTCTCCCCCTCCTTCCACCCTCCACCCTCAAATTCACCTAGTGACGATTGTTCCCTTCTTTCTGTCCATGTGTACTCAGTGTTTAGCTCCCACTTATAAGTGAGAATATGGGATATTTGGTTTCCTGTTCCTGTGTTAATTCACTTTGCGTATTGGCCTCAACTCCATCCACGTTGCTCCAAAGGACATGATCTCGTTCTTTCTTATGGCTGTGTATTATTCTATGGTGTATATGTGCCACATTTTCTTTATCTAGTTCACCATTGATGGGCATTTAGGTTGATCTCTTGTCTTTTTTATTTTTTTCATTAGTTTTTAAGGAACAGGTGGTGTTTGTTTACATGGAAAATATTTTTAGTGGTAATTTCTGAGATTTTGGTGCACCCATCACCAGAGCAGTGTACACTGCACCCAAGGTGTAGTCTTTTATCCCTCACCCTCCTCCTACTCTTCCCCCTAAGTCCCCAAAGTCCATTGTATCATTCTTATGCTTTTGCATCCTCATAGCATAACTCCCACTTATAAGTCAGAACATACAATGTTTGGTTTTTTCATTCCTGAATTACTTCACTTAGAATAATGGTGTCCAACTCCTTCCAGGCTGCTGTGAATGCCATTATTTCATTCCTTTTTATAGCTGAGTAGTATTCCGTCCATGGTCTGTGTGAGTATATATATACACACATACACACATATACACACATATATATGTGTATATACACATATATACATATATACACATATATGTGTGTGTGTATATACACATATATATATACACCACATTTTCTCTATGCATTCATTGATTGATGGGCATTTGAGCTAGTTCCATATCTTTCACAATTGCAAATTTTGCTGCCAAAAACGTGTGTGCAAGTGTTTTTTTCATATAATGACTTCTTTTCCTCTGGGTAGATACCCAGTAGTGGGATTGCTAGATCAAATGGTAGATCTACTTTTAATTATTTAAGAAATCTTCATACTCTTTTCCATAGTGGTTGTACTAGTTTACATTCCCCCCAGCAGTGTAAAAGTGTTCCCTTTTTACCACATCCATGGCAACATCAATTTTTTTTAATTTTTTGATTATGACTCTTCTTGGAGGAGTGAGATGGTATCGCATTTTGGTTTTGTTTGCATTTCCCTGATAATTAGTGATATTGAGGATTTTTTCATGTTTCTTGGCCATTTATATCTTCTTTTGGGAAGTGTCTATTCATGTCCTTAGCACACTTTTTGATAGGATAAATTGTTTTTTTCTTGCTGATTTGAGTTCCTTATAGATTTTGGATATTAGTACTTTGTTGGATGCATAGTTTGTAAAGATTTTCTCCCACTCTATAGGTTGTCTTTTTACTCTGCTGATTATTTCTTTTGCTGTGTAGAAGCTTCTTAGTTTAATTAAGTCCCATCTATTTATCTTTGTTTTTGTTGCCTTTGCTTTTGGGTTCTTGGTCATGAAGTCTTTGCCTAAGCAAATGTCTAGAAGGGTATTTCCAATGTTACCTTCTAGAATTTTTATAGTTTTAGGTGTTAGATTTAAGTCTTTGATCCATCTTGAGTTGATTTTTGTATAAGGTGAGAGATGAGGATGCAGTTTCATTCTTCTACATATGGCTTGCCAAATATCCCAGCACCGTTTGTTGAATATGGTGTCCTTTCCCAACTTTATGTTTTTGTTTCCTTTGTTAAAGATCAGTTGGCTTAAGTATTTGGCTTTATTTCTCGGTTCTCTATTCAGTTCCATTAGTCTATGTGCCTATTTTTATACCAGTATTATGCTGCTTTGGTGACTATAGCCTTATAATATAGCTTGAAGTCAAGCAATGTGATGCATCCACATTTGTTCTTTTTGCTTAGTCTTACTTTCATTATGCGGACTATTTTTGGCTTCCACATGAATTTTAGGATTGCTTTTTCTAGCTGAGGGAAGAGTGATGATGTAGATTGCTTTTGGCAGTATGGTCATTTTCACAATATTGATTCTACCTATCCATGAGCATGTGATGTGTTTTTATTTGTTTGTATCATCTATGATTTCTTTCTGCAGTGCTTTGTAGTTTTCACTGTAGAGGTCTTTCACCTCCTTGGTTAGGTATATTCCTAAGTTGGTTTGCTTGGGGTTTTTTTCTTTGGTTTTGTTTGTTTGTTTTGGTTTTTTTGTAGCTGTTTTAAAAGGGGTTGAGATCTTGATTTAATTCTCAGCTCAGTCACCGTCAGTGTATACCAGTGCTACTGATTTGTGTACATTGATGTTGTATCCTGAAACGTTACTGAACTCATTTATCAGATCTAGGAGCTTTTTGGATGAGTCTTTAGGGTTTTCTCATTATATGATCATATCATCAGGAACAGCAACAGTTTGACTTCCTCTTTACTGATTTAGATGCCCTTTATTTCTTTCTCTTGTCTGATTGCTCTGGCTAGGACTTCCAGTACTATGTTGAATAGAAGTGGTGAAAGTGGGCATCCTTGTCTTTTTCCAGTTCTCAGGGGAATGCTTTCAACTTTTCCCCGTTCAGTATAATGTTGGCTGTGGGTTTTTCTTTCTTTCTCTTTCTGTATTTTTTTTTTGAGATGGAGTCTTGCTCTGTTGCCCAGGCTAGAGTGCAATGGCCCAATCTCAGCTCACTGCAACCTCTGCCTCCCAGGTTCAAGCAATTCTCATGCCTCAGCCTTCCAAAGACCTGGGAGTAGCTCCCCAAACTCGCCAGCATCTATTACTTTTTGACTTTTTAATAATAGCCATTCTGCCTCCTGTGAGGTTGTATCTCATTGCACTTTTGTTTTGCATTTCTCCAATGATTAGTGATGTTGAATATTTTTTCGTATACTTGTTGACTACGTGTTTGTCTTCTTTTGAGAAGTGTCTTGTCCTGTCCTTTGCGCATTTAATGAGGTTGTTAGATTTTTGCTTGTTGATTTTTCTAAGTTCTTTTTGGATTCTGGATATCAGACTTTTGTCGAATGCATGGTTTGCAAATATTTTCTTCCATTCCATAGGTTGTTTGTTGATGATATCTTTTGCTGTGCAGAAGCCCTTTAGTTTAATTAGGTCCCATTTGTCAATTTTTGTTTTTGTTGCAATTGCTTTTGGCATCTTTGTCATAAAGTGTTTTCCAGAATTGAAATTTCCTAGGATATGTCCAGAATGGCCTGTATCCAGAATGGTATTTCTTAGGCTATCTTCCAGGGTTTTTATAGTTTTGGGTTTTACACTTAAGTCTTTAATCTACCTTGAGTTGATTTTTGTAAACAGTGAAACGTATGGAGTCCAGTTTCAATTTTCTGCATACGGCTAGCCAGTTATCCCACCACAATTTCCAAGTAGGGATTCCCTTCCCCATTGCTTGTTTTTGTCAAGTTTGTTGAAGAGTAGATGGCTATAGGTGTGTGGCTTTATTTCTGCGTTCTGTAACTTGTTCCACTGGTCTATGTCTGTTTTTGAGTTCCTTATAGATTCTGGATATTAGTACTTTGCTGGGTGCATAGTTTGTAAAGATTTTCTCCCACTCTATAGGTTGTCTTTTTACTCTGCTGATTATTTATTTTGCTGAGCATAACCATGCTGTTTTGCTTACTGTAGCATTGTAGTACAGTTCGAAGTCAGGTAGTGTGACGCTTTTGACTTTGTTCTTTTTGCTTAGGATTGCTTTGGCTATTTGGGCTTTTTTTTTTTTTTGGCTCCAAATGAATTTTAGAATGCTTTTTTTTTAATCCTGTGAAAAATGTCATTGGTGTTATGATAGGAATAGCATTGACTCTGTAAATAGCCTTAGACAGTATGGCCATTTTAACAATATTGCTTCTTCCTATCTGTGATCATGGAATGTTTTCCTTTTGTTTCTGTTGTCTCTGATTCTTTGAGCACTCGTTTGTAATTTTCATTTTAGAGATTTTTCACCTCCCTGCTTAGCTGTATTCCAAGGTATTTTGTAGTTTTTTTTGTGGCTACTGTGAATGGGATTGCATTCTTGATTTGGCTGTCAGCTTGGATGTTGTTGCTGTATAGAAATGCTACAGATTTGTGTACATTAATTTTTGTATCCTGAAACTTTGCTGAAGTCATTTGTCAGATCTGGGAGCTCTCGAGAGGCTACTATGGGGTTTTCTTGGTATAAAAGTGTTTCACCCAAGAAGAGGCATAGTTTGACTTCCATTCTTCGTATTTAGATGTCTGTGTTTCTTTCTCTTGCCTAATTGCACTGGCTAGGACATCCAGCACTATGTTGAATAGGAGTAGTGAGAGTGGGCATCCTTGTCTTGTTCCAGTTCTCAAAGGGAATATTCCAGCTTTTTCCCATTCAGTATGAAGTTGGCTGTGGGTTTGTCATAAATGGCTTCAATTATTTTGAGGTATGCTCCTTCAGTAACTCATTTGTTGAGGGTTTATATCAAGAAGGGATGTTTTTATTTTTAGTTCTATTTTATGATGAATCACATTTATTGGTTTGTATATCTTGAACCAAACTTGCATCCCAGCAATAAAGCTTACTTGATCATAGTGGACTAGCTTTTTGATATGCTGCTGGATTCAGTTGGCTTGTATTTTGTTGAGGATTTTTGCATCTATGATTATCAGTGATAACTGTCCTGAAGTTTTCTTTTTTGCTGTGTCTCTGCCAGGTTTTCATATCTGAATGATGCTGACCTCATAAAATGAGTTAGGGAGGGATCCTTCCTCCTCATTTTTTCAGAATAATTTCAGTAGCATTGGTACCAGCTCTTCTTTACACTTCTGGTAGAATTTGTCTGTGAATCTGTTGGGTCCTGGGCTTGCTTTTTTTTTTTTTTTTTTTTTTTTTTTTGGCTCAGAGACTTTTTATTACTCATTCAGTTTCAGAACTCATTTTTGGTTTGTTCAGGATTTCAATTTCTTCCTAGTTCAATCTTGGGAGGTTGTATGTTTCCAGAAATTTACCCATTTCTTGTAGGTGTTCTACTTTGTTTGCATAAACATGTTCATCTTAGTCTCTGAGAGTTTTTTGTATTTCTGTGTGGTTGGCGGTAATGTCCACTTTACCATTTCTGATTGTGTTTTTTGTATCTTCTCTTTTTTTTTCCTTATTGGTCTAGCTAGTGACCTATCAAATTTATTTATTCTTTCGAAGAACCAGCTTTTAGTTTCATTTATCTTTTGTATGGCTTTTCATGACTCAATTTCATTCCATTCTGCTCTGATTTTGGTTATTTATTTTCTTCTGCTAGCTTTGGGTTGGTTTCCTCTTGTTTTTCTGTTTCCTTTAGGTATGATATTAGGTTGTTAATTTAAGATCCTTCTAACTTTTCAATATGGGCATTTAGCACTATAAACTTTTCCCTTAACACTGCTTTGCCTGTGTCTTAGAGAGCCTAGAATATTGTATCTTTGTTTTAATTAGTTTCAAAAAATATATTGGTTTCTGCCTTAATTTCATTGTTTACCCAAAAGTCATTCAGGCACAGGTTGTTTAATTTCCATGTAATTTTATGGTTTTGAGAGTTCTTCTTAGTGTTGACTTCTATTTTTGCTACACTGAGCGGTCCAAGAGTGTGGTTGGCATGATTTCAGGGGCTTCTTTTAATTTATTGAAAATAATTTTAGACTGATAGTGTGATCAATTTTACAATATATGCCATGTACAGATGAGAAGAAGATATATTCTGTTGTTGTTGGGTGGAGTGTTCTGTAGATGGCTGTTAGGTCCATTTAGCCAAATGTTGACTTCAAGTCCTGAATATCTTTGTGCATTTTCTGTCTCTATGATCTGTCTAGTACCATCAGTGAGATGTTGAAGTCTCCCACTATTATTCTGTGGTTATCTAAGTCTCTCTATAGGTCTCTATGAACTTGTTTTACAAATGTGAATGCTCCAGTTTTGAGCACATTTATCTTTCAGACAGTTAAGTCTTCTTGTTGAATTGAACCCTTTATCATTACATAGTGCCCTTCTTTGTCTTTTTGATTGTTGTTGGTTTAAAGTCTATTTTGTCTGAATTAGAATAACAATGCTTACCCTTTTTTGTTTTGCATTTGCTTGGTAGATTTTTTTCCATCCTTTTACTTCAAGCCAATGGGTATTGTTGCATATGAGCTGGGTCTCTTGACAACAGATACAGTTGGGCTTTGCTTCTTTATCCAACTTGCCATTCTGTGAGTTTTAAGCAGGGCATTTATACTGTTTACATTCACAGTTAATATTGGTATTTATAGCTTTGGTCCTGCCATTATGTTGTTAGCTGGTTATTATGGAGACTTGATTGTGTAGTTACTTTACAACGTCAATGGTCTATGTACTTAAATGTATTTTTGTGGTGGCCATTAGCAGTCTTTCACTTCCACGCTTAGCACTCCCTTAAGGACCTCTTGTAAGGCATGTCTGGTGGTAACAGATTCCGTTAGCATTTGTTTGTCTGAAAAGGATCTTACTTCTCCTTCACATATGAAGTTTAGTTTGGCTGGATATTAAGTTCTTGGTTGAATTTTTTTTTTTTTTTTTTTTTTTTGCAACAGAGTCTTGCTCTGTCCCCAGGCTGGAGTGCAGTGGTGCTATCTTGGCTCACTGCAACCTCCACCTCCTGGGTTAAGTGATTCTCTTGCCTCAGCCTCCCGAGTAGCTGGGACTACAGACATGCACCACCATGCCCAGGTAATTTTTGTATTTTTATTAGAGATGAGGTTTCACCATGTTGGCCAGGATGGTCTTGATCTCTTGACCTTGTGTTCTGCCCCCCTCAGCCTCCCAAAGTGCTGGGATTACAGGCATGAGCCACCATACCCGGCCAAGTATTTTTTTTTTTTTAAGAATGCTGAAGGCTGGGCGTGGTGGCTCACACCTGTAATCTCAGCACTTTGAGAGGCTGAGGTGGGCAGATCACGAGGTCAGGAATTTGAGACCACCCTGGCCAATATGGTGAAATACTGTCTCTACTAAAATTACAAAAAATTGCCAGGTGTTGTGGTGTGCACCTGTAGTCCCAGCTACTTGGGAGGCTGAGGGAGAAGAATTGCTTGAACCCGGGAAGTGGAGGTTGCAGTGAGCTGAGATAGCACCAGTGCACTCCAGCCTGGGCAACAGAGTGAGACTCCGTCTCAAAAAAAAAAAAAGAATGTTGAATATAGGCTCCCAATTTCTTTTGGATTGTAGAGTATCTTATAGTTCCACTGTTAGTCTGATGGGATTCCCTTTGTATGTGACCTGCCCCTTCACTTTAGCTGCCTTTCATATTTTTTTATTTCATGTTGACCTTGGGGAATCTGATGACTCTCTGTCTTGGGGATGGTCATCTTGTATAGTATCTCACAGGATTCTCTGCATTTCCTGGATTTAAATGGTGACTTCTCTAGCAAGATTTGGGAAATTTTTGTGGGCAGTATCCTCAAATATGTTTTCCAACTTGCTTGTTCTTTCTCCCTTTCTTTGAGTGATGCCTTGAGTCATATGTTTGGTCTCTTTACATAATCTCAGATTTCTCAGAGGTTTTGTTCATTCTTTTTTGTTGTTTATTGCCATATGACTGAGTTGATTCAAAGAAGTGGTCTTTGAGATCTGGGATTCTTTCCTCAGCTTGGTCCGTTCTACTGTTAGTACTTGTTATTGTATTATGAAATTCTTGAGGTGCATTTTTCAGCTCTATCAGTTTAGTTTGGTTCTTTCTTAAAATGCCTATTTCATCTTTCAGCTCTTATGTCATCTTATTGGATTCCTTAGATTATTTGGATTGGATTTTGACTTTCTTCTGAATCTCAATGATCTTTGTTTCTATCCAGATTCTGAAATCTATGTCTGTCATTTAGTCCTGGTTAACAACCATTGTTGGAGAGTTAGTATGATTGCTTGAAGACAGGAAGACATTCTGGCTTTTTACATTGCCAGAGTTCTTGCACTGGTTCTTTCACATCTGTGTGGGCTAAGGTTCCTTTAATGTTTTGACTCACTGTCCTTTGGATGGAATTTTTTCCTTTTTTATATTCTTTAATGCCCTTGAGGGTTTGACTGTGGCACAAGGTAGTTTCAGTCAAATGGCTTCATTTCTGGAAGATTTCAGGGGGCAAAGGCTCAGCTCAGCACTCCTGAACTGCATGCTCTAACTTTGCAAGGCTGGTACCATACCCACAGATTTGTTGTCTGGCCCTTCAATGTTAAGCACTAAGGTGTTCCCAGTCCACTGGCAACAACACTCTGATGGGGTGTGCCAGCCAAAGTGCTTCACTGTAGTGATTGTAGCAAGGTCCCCACTCACACATATGTGCCAGCAGCAGCAGCACACAGCAGGTATGCATGTGTTGGCAGGGGTGCAGTGCCGACAGGAGTGGGATGGGGGTGTTCTGCATACTTGCACATGCCAGCCGGGGCAATGGTGCTGTGGGGTGCACTCATGTGCCGCTGGAGCCAGAGTGGCAGCATCTTCATGAGTTTTATGTTATCATTCCAGAGCTTTAAAAATAATGTTCTGGACTTCTAACAAATGTATTTGTGAACCCAGAGAAAAAGAGTATTATTTTGTGCATTTTTACGTAATCATACCCAAGAAAATTTTACTTTACAATTTGTTCTTTTCACTCAACAGTAGTCTCGAGGTTTATCCATCTCAAGATGGATACACATGTAGTTGATTCCTTTTAATTGTATAAGATTACATTGTATGTCAACAGCAGATTTTATTTACAATGTTATAACAAAAATGGCATTTTATTTGTCTCATTTTACATAAATATAAGTTTGTCTAGAATAGTTACCTGGGTTACATACATTTTTAGTTTGATGTATACAGCCAAAATCCTTTCGGTATGGCCACTTTAATTTGCCCTAATACCAGTAGCTTATGAGCATACCTGTTGTTCCTGAAAATCCTTGCAAATCCTTGATATTATTACATTTTATAATGTTTTCCAGTCTGATAATTGAAAAAATGGCATATTTTTGTTATTTTAATTTGCATTTCTGTGATTATTCACAAGCTTGAATATCTTTTATATATGTGTTGTCCTTCAGCTTTTCCTTATCTGTAACTAGCCTGTTCATATCTTTGTCCATTTTTTTGTTGAGTTGGTCTTCTGTATTAATTATATCTGTTATATGCATTTGTAAATTATATGTACTGCAAATATCAGTAGATATTTAATTTTGTTTGTGATGATTTTTTTCACTCTAAGAAGTGTATTTTGTTATTTTCAACAGACAGAATTGCGAATACACAACACCGTTCACTTGACTTTGAAAATGAAAAAGAGAAAAAGGGGGAGAAAGAGCAGAATTGCTTTTGAAGTAGTACTTTATTATAGTAGTTTTGAAGTTGCTTTTGAAGTACTACTTTAATATAATTGAATGTATCAAAATCTCTTTTTATGTCTAATGCCTTTGTATGTATCATTCAAAAGGTCCTTTTTACCTCATGATCACAAATATATTATTCTACATCTTTTTGTTGTTGTTGTTCAGAGTCTTGCTGTCACCCAGGCTGTAGTGCAGTGGCATGATCTCAGCTCACTGCAACCTCCACCTCCCAGGTTCAAGTGATTCTCCTGCCTCAACCTCCCAAGTGGCTGGGACTACAGGCATGCACCACTGCACCCAGCTATTGGTTTTGCCATGTTGGCCAGGCTGGTCTCAGATTCCTGATCTGTCCGCCTCAGCCTCCCAAAGTGCTGGGATTACAGGTGTGAGCCGTCACGCCTAGCCCACTACATTTTCTTATTACTACTTTTCCTTTTGAGCTTTTAACAGTTATTATGTGTAAGGATCTATCTATATTCCTTTCCACATAAATAGTTATCTCAACACCATTTGTGAAAGATTTCTTTCTTTCTCCCACTGATTTAAAATACCAATTTATGATGTAACAAATCCCATAGATTTGTTTCCACACTTTGTATTCTCTTTTCTTCCAATTTATTTTGTCTATTTATATGTCACTATTATTCAGTTTTAACTATTTCACCTTTACAAAAACAGTATCTGGTTTTCTTAAGTTTACTTGATCTTTCGTTCTAAGGTCTTATTCTTCCAAATGAATTTTATAATCAGCTTGTCAAGCTCAGTAACAATCCCTGCAAAGATTTTGATTGGTGTATCTCTGATTAATTCATTTGGGGGAGAGATTACATCTTTATATTATTGAGGCTTTGGCTGGGCATGGTGGCTCACACCTATAATCCCAGCACTTTGGGAGGCCAAGGCAGGCATATCACCTGAGGTCAGGAGTTCAAGACCAGCCTGGCCAAAATGGCGAAACACTGTATCTACTAAAAACACAAAAACTAGCCAGGCGTGGTGTTGGGCAATGGTAAAATTGGGGCTTTTTAGTTCACACTTGTGAAATGTCTCTCTAAGTATTCAGGTATTATCTTAATTATTATATTATTATATTCACAATTTTTATAAAAGTATAGACTGTCTTCACAGTTTTGTTCTTAGATACTTTATGTTTTTAATTGATGTTGTGGATTAAATTCTCTTTGATCACTTATTCCTGGGGAAGCCAGCTGCCATGTCCTGAGGCAGCCCTGTGGAGAAAACCCCATTGGAAAAAACTGAAGCCTGCAATGGCTACATGAGTAAACTTGGAAGCAGATCTTCTCCACCCCACCCTACCTCATGGGAAAACTTAAGTCAAGGCATACAGCTAAGCCATGCCCAGATTCCTGACCCACAGAAGCATAAGACAATAAATATTTGTTGTTTTAAGCTGCTATGTTTGGGGATGACTTGTTAAGCAAAATGAGAAAAATAATACAACAGGTGATTACAATGTGCAGCAGAGTTCAGGAACCACTGAACTAGACCAGTATGTGGTCTTAGAGAAGTCTAGTCTCTTCTTGAGCCCACAGGGAAATCTGTAGCATAAACTGTGCCATAGAGTTGTACAGCCGGAAGCAAATCTCACATCAGTCCGTCATTGGCAGATGCTGCCTGGAGGGAAAGTAGAGGGGTGCACAACCTCTCTAGTATTCCCAGGTAGGTGCTTGTCAGCAGGACAAGGGTTCTAGAAACCTGCAGATAATAGCAGCCAACAAGAAGCACTGGGAGATGTGTTCATTGACCTGGTAAATGGATTCTGGCAGGAGCACCAAAAGCATTTTTACACAGGATATACTTCACACTTTATAAAGTAAATGTAGAAGAGATGAGGTGAAATTCTGGATAAGATATGCCAATAGAAGGTATTCTGAGCAGGAGCCTCCCCATTCCTCATGGGTGTCATCAACCACTCCAGAAATGTTCTCATTTGCCTTTGTAACTTAGGTGGCCACACTTGTTTTTTTGGGCAGACAACTCTGTTCCTTCCTTCCTTACTTACTTATTTACTCAAGAGGTAGGAAATGTGTGGAAGGTAGATTTGTCTGACCATTCTTACAGTGCTACTCCAAATAATCAACTATTTGGTTTCCCCGGAGGTCTCTCCTGCTCCCAGCATCTGTCATTTCAGGGCTTGGACCACTTTTAGAAGCACATGTATCTTTTGAGGCAATCTTATTTACACACATTTTGGTTTATGGTTTCCTTTTTTCAATGCTAAATTGTCTGTCACTTATCTTTCTGGCATATACTTAGTTTCTTGTCCATTGATGATTCACCTTTTGCTTTCTAGTTAGGTTATGAATTTTTCTATGACTTTACATCTTCACTTCAAAGGATTTAGGAATGGAGGGAGAGGCTGCAACCTGTGCTCAGCCCAACATTTTAAACCACGTCTGTATAAAATTTTAGCCAGCACTAAACAATGCATGAAAAGTTTTATCACCATTAAATTGCATTCACTCAAATTTGAAATTCTTCTAAACAATGTTTGTTATACATTTATTATAAACTACTTGTACTTATAAAACACTACTTGATTAAAAAGATGCTTTTAAATTAATTTTCATTCTTTCTTTCAGTTTTGTTCTAGGTGCTGTCTCTCTTGCTGTTGTTGTCCTTTACACGATGGTGTTGCAAGAAAATGGATATGGTGCTGAGGAAGACATTCCAACCTTACTAATGGCTGCTAGCAGTATGGATGACATTCTGGTTATCACTGGATTCAATACATGCTTGAGCATAGTCTTCTCCTCGGGTAAACAAGAAAATATAACAACCACCAGATCATTCATGACCTTTTTTGTTAGTTCTTTAAACAGGGTTTCTGGCTTTGCTTCTTCATTTATTAACCAAGACTGTTCAATTTAACATCTTTTTAATCTCCATAGAAAGCTCATTCCAGACCAAGGAAGATATTTCAGTGGCTTAAGATACCACTACTTAACACACATGATCTCACTTTAATAATCATGTGACAATTAATTTGATAAACCATATTATTACTATTTATCTGCTTATGTTGCTTTTGAATTTTATCAGTTCTCACTAGAAAAAATTAAGCAGCAGTATTATTTGTACTACTAATATTTTAATAGGCATTTTTGAAATGTGCCTTTTTGGCCATCCTAATAAACAAATGGTTGCTCTATTATAAGACGACATAAACATACAGAGCTGGGACAACCATATGCCTTTTTAGTAGTGTTAGGACAAGATCCTGCACCAGTTCTGATTCCCAAGGTGATATCTGGTCTTGAATATCACTACAGAAATTGTGAAACTAAATATTTCCACATTAAGTAATGCTTTAATTATCTGCAATGTTTGAGTCTTCTGTATTATTGAAGCACTAAACTATTTTTAAGTTGAAAAGTAATATATATAGTTTTATAGTTTCTCTTAAAATAAGAAAATATAAATAAATAAGAAAAAGAGGAAAAGTTAAAAATCAAATCTGCAATAGTCACATCCAGAAGAAAAGAATCATTTCCTTCTGAACCTTTTGATATAAACCCACCCATATTCCCTTCCCTTCCCTTCTTCCCTTCATCCCTTCCCTTCCCTTCCCCTCTCCTCCCCCTTCCCTTCCCTTACCCCTCTTTCTCTGTCAAATATTCTTATAAAAATCAGTGAATATTGACCAATATGTTCTTTTATTTTTTTTTTTTTGAGGCGGAGTCTTGCTCTGTCACCCAGGTTGGAGTGCAGTGGCACAATCTCAGCTCACTGCATGCTCTGCCTCCCGGGTTCATGCCATTCTCCTGCCTCAACCTCCCAAGTAGTTGGGACTACAGGCGCCCACCACCACGCCCGGCTAATTTTTTGTGTGTTTTTAGTAGATCCAGGGCTTCACCGTGTTAGCCAGGATGGTCTTGATCTCCTGACCTCGTGATCCACCTGCCTCGGCCTCCCAAAGTGCTGGGATTACAGGTGTGAGCCATCACACCCAGCCTAATATGTTCTTATAACCTGAATTGTTTTACACTTAACTGTATATCACAAACATGTTTCTTTTCAGTAAATGTATTTGTATATCATTTTAAATAGTTGTTTAGCTTAATGAAAGAGTATTCAATGTGCTGCATCATGATTACTCATCCTGTTCAAAATTAAAGTTAACTCCAATATTTACTATTAAAATAATGCTTAGTTGTGCTGCTATAAAAATATTTTTTTAAATTAAAAAATTGGCCGGGCATGGTGGCTCACACCTATAATCCCAGCATTTTGGGAGGCCAAGAAGGGTGGATCACTTGAGGTCAGGAGTTCAAGACCAGCCTGGCCAACCAACATGGTGAAACCCCGTCTCCACTAAAAATACAAAACTTAGCCGGGCATGGTGGTGGGCATCTGTAATCCCAGCTACTCAGGAGGCTGAAGCAGAAGAATCACTTGAACCCAGGAGGCGGAGGCTGTAGTGAGCTATCCAGCCTGGGCAACAGAGTGAGACTCTGTCTCAAAAAGTTTTTTTTACTTAAAAAAATAATACTTAGTTGAACATATAGAGAAATATTTGTACCTAATCTTCATATTTTCTTAAGCTTAAAAGTGCAATTGTTGATCTAAAAGGTGTATATGTTTATGAGTGTTCTGAAACATATTGCCACAATATCATGTCCTACCAGGGTACATAAACTTGTCATTTCCTCTCACCTCTCTTCAAAACTTGGTATTACTAGCCTTTTTCATCTTTGCTAATTTGATAGGTGAAGGAGGGATCTCTGTAAATGAAGTACTTTGAATACTAGTGATGTTAAATATCCATGTTTATTAGTCATTGGCATTTTGTAAACTGCTTTTCTTGAAAGTTTTTTGCCTATTTCTTTTAGGTGGGTTCACCTTTTTTTCTTTTTGATTTGTCAAGATTCTGCATTAAATTGAGAATGAAAACCTTTGTTTTATATACTTTAGTTTTTTCAATTTGTAATTTGGCTTTTAATTTTCTCACTCTTTTTACCATTCAGAAGTTAAAGTTTTTTATTGTCATTTGTCAAAATCTTTTCCTTCATGATTGGTATCTGTCATTCTTTCAAAAAATATTGTTATCAGTCATGTTTCAAAAAAATATTTCCAGGCTGGGCCCAATGGCTCACGCCTATAATCCCAACACTTTGGGAGGCCAAAGCGGGTGGATCACTTGAGGACATGAGTTCAAGACCAGCCTGGCCAACATAGCAAAGCTCCATCTCCACTAAAAATACAAAAAGTTAGCTGGGTATGGTAGCACAGGCCTGTAATCCCAGCTACTCAGGGGGCTGAGGCACAAGAATCACTTGAACCCAAGAGGCAGAGGTTACAGTGAGCCAAGATCACACCATGGCACTCCAGCCTGGGTGACAGAGGGAGACTGTCTGAAAAAAATAAAAAAAAAAAAATCCTCTTCCTTTTGCTGGCTACTATGCCAAACACTGAGAATGAACAGTAGACAACAACATTAGCTTTTATTGAATACTTGCTTGGCTCTTGTTCTAAGTTCCATATATGTCACCACTCATTTACAGGTAAGGAAACTGAGAAAGATGTTAAGTAATTTACTCAAGGACAGAGATCCAATAAGTAGGGGAGCCAAGATGCAAATCTGACAGTCTCACTCCACACCCACACATTTAACTCTTCTCTTCTCCACTGCCTCCCAACACAACAGAGAGACAAGATCAAATGGTGCATGTTCTCAACGAGCTTGTATATTAAAGAAAAATTACAAATGGGATGAATATTACATTGTGAAGTTTAATATTAAGTAAGTGTCAACTTGATTGGATTGAAGGATCCAAATTATTGTTCCCGGTTGTGTCTGTGAGGGTGTTGCCAAAGGAGATTAACATTTATTTAGTGGACTGGGAAAGGCAGATCCACCCTCAATGTGGGTGGGCACCATAAAATCAGCTGCCAGCATGGCTCGAATAAAGCAGGCAGAAGAAGGTTAGGAGAAGCTGACTTGCTGAGCCTTCTGGCCCTCATCTTTCTCCCATGCTGGATGCTTCCTGCACTCAAATATCAGACTCCAGGTTCTTTGGCTTTTGGACTCTTGGACTTACTCCAGTTGTTTTCCAGGGGCTCTCAGGCCTTCATCCAGAGACTCAAAGCTGGCCTGTCGGTTTCCCTACTTTTGAGGTGTTGGGACTCGGACTAAGCCAATACTAGATTCCTTGCTCCTCAACTTGCAGACGGCCTGTTGTAGGACTTCACTTTGTGATGGTGTGATTCAATTCTCCTTAATAAACTCCCTTTCATATATATATATATATATATATATATATATATATATATATATATATATATATATATATATATATATATCTCCTACTAGTTCTATCCCTCTAGAGAACCATGACTAGTACAGATTTTGATACTGAGGTAATGGAGTATTGCTATAAGATACCTGAGAATGTGGAAGTGACTTTGGAACTGTGTAATGTGCAGAGTTTGGAACAGTTGAGAGGACTCAGAAGAAGACCAGAAGATGTGGGAAAGTTTGGAACTGCCTAGAGACTTGTTGAATGGCTTTGACCAAACTGCTGATAGTGACTTGGACAGTGAAGTCCAGGCTGAGGAGGTCAGAGATGGAGATGAACAACTTGTTGGGAACTGAAGTAAAGGTCACTCCTGCTATGCTTTAGCAAAGAGAATGGTGGCATTTTGCCCCTGCCCTACAGATTTATGGAACTTTGAAAATGAGAGAGATGACTGAGGACATCTGGTAGAAGAAATGTTTGTTGTTGTTGTTGTTGTTGTTATACCTTAAGTTCTAGGGTACATGTGCACAACGTGCAGGTTTGATACATAGGTACACATGTGCCATGTTGGTTTGCTGCACCCATCAACTCATCATTTACATTAAGTATTTCTCCTAATGCTCTCCCTCCCCCAGCCCTCCACCCCCCAACAGGCCCCAGTGTGTGATGTTCCCAGCCCTGTGTCTAAGTGATCTCATTGTTCAATTCCCATCTATGAGTGAGAACATGTGGTGTTTGGTTTTCTGTCCTTGTGATAGTTTTGCTGAGAATGATGGTTTCCAGCTTCATCTATCTCCCTGCAAAGGACATGAACTCATCCTTTTTTATGGCTGCATAGTATTCCATGGTGTATATGTGTCACATGTCTTAATCCAGTCCATCATTAATGGACATTTGGGTTGGTTCCAAGTCTTTGCTATTGTTAATAGTGCCACAATAAACATACATGTGCATATGTCTTTATAGTAGCATGATTTATAATCCTTTGGATATATATCCAGTAATGGGATTGCTGGGTCAAATGGTAATTCTAGTTCTAGATCCTCGAGGAATTGCCACAATGTCTTTCACAATGGTTGAACTAGTTTACACTCCCACCAACAGTGTAAAAGCATTCCTATTTCTCCATATCCTCTCCAGCATCTGTTGTTTCCTGACTTTTTAATGATTGACATTCTAACTGGGGTGGGATGGTATCTCATTGTGGTTTTGATTTGCATTTCTTTGATGACCAGTGATGATGAGCTTTTTTTCTTGTGTTTGTTAGCTGCATAGATGTCTTCTTTTGAGAATCGTCTATTCATATGTTTGCCCACTTTTTGATGGGGTTGTTTTTTTCTTGTAAATTTGTTTGAATTCTTTCTTTGTCAAATGGGTAGATTGCAATTTATCTCCCATTCTGTATGTTGCCTGGTTCATTCTGATGGCAGTTTCTTTTGCAGTACAGAAGCTCCTTAGTTTAATTAGATCCCATTTGTCAATTTTGGCTTTTGTTGCCATTGCTTTTGGTGTTTTAGTCATGAAGTCCTTGCTCATGCCTATGGCCTGAATGGTATTGCCTAGGTTTTCTTCTAGGGTTTTTATGGTTTTAGGTCTAACATTTAAGTCTTTTATCCATCTTGAATTAATTTTTGTATAAGATGTAAGGAAGGGATCCAGTTTCAGCTTTCTACATATGGCTAGCCAGTTTTCCCAGCATCATTTATTAAATAGGCAATCCTTTCCCCATTTCTTGTTTTTGTCAGGTTTGTCAAAGATCAGATGGCTGTAGATGTGTGGTCTTATTTCTGAGGCCTCTGTTCTGTTCCATTGGTCTATATATCTGTTTTGGCACCAGTACCATGCTGTTTTGGTTACTGTAGTCTTGTAGTATAGTTTGAAGTCAGGTAGTGTGATGCCTCCAGCTTTGTTCTTTTTGCTTAGGATTGTCTTGGCAATGCAGGCTCTTTTTTAGTTCCATATGAACTTTAAAGTAGTTTCTTTTTCCAATTCTGTGAAGAAAGTCATTAGAAGCTTGATGGGGATGGTATTGAATCTATAAATTACTTTGTGCAGTATGGTCTTTTTCATGATATTGATTCTTCCTATCCATGAGCGTGGAATATTCTTCCATTTGTTTGTGTCCTCTTTTAATTCATTGAGCAGTGGTTTGTAGTTCTCCTTGAAGAGGTCCTTCACAACCCTTGTGAGTTGGATTCCTAGGTATTTTATTCTCTTTGTAGCAATTGTGAATGGGAGTTCACTCATGATTTGGCTCTCTGTTTGTCTATTAATGGTGTATAGGAATGCTTGTGATTTTGGCACGTTGATTTTGTATCCTGAGACTTTGCTGAAGTTGCTTATCAGCTTAAGGAGACTTTGGGCTGAGATGATGGGGTTTTCTAAATATACAATCATGTCATCTGCAAATAGGGACAATTTGACTTCATCTTTTCCTAACTAAATACAATTTATTTCTTTCTCCTGCCTGATTCCACTTTTCAGAACTTCCAACACCATGTTGAATAAGAGTGGTGAGGGAGGGCATCCTTGTCTTGTGCCAGTTTTCAAAAGGAATGCTTCCAGTTTTTGCCCATTCAGTATGATATTGGCTGTGGGTTTGTCATAAATAGCTCTTATTATTTTGAGATACGTCCCATCAATACCTAGTTTATTGAGAGTTTTTAGCATGAAGGAGTGTTGAATTTTGTCAGAGGCCTTTTCTGCATCTATTGAGATAATCATGTGGTTTTTGTCTTTGGTTCTGTTTATGTAATGGATTACATTTATTGATTTGCATATGTTGAACCAGCCTTGCATCCCAGGGATGAAGCCCACTTGATCGTGGTGGATAAGCTTTTTGATGTGCTGCTGGATTTGGTTTGCCAGTATTTTACTGAGGATTTTCGCATCGATGTTCATCAGGGATATTGGTCTAAAATTCTCTTTTTTTGTTGTGTCTCTGCCAGGCTTTGGTACCAGGATGATGCTGGCCTCATAAAATGAGTTAGGGAGGATTCCATATCGTTCTTTTTTTTTTTTTTTGGATGAAGAAAGAACTGTTTAATTTTTTTGATGTTTTCAATGTTGATATTTTTTCCAAGAATTAGAGAAATATCTCTGGATGGTTATCTAAAATTTATAATTTTTGTACAGATATGGTATGTAGGAGAGTGTCATAGTTTTTCTATTATTATACTTTAAGTTCTAGGGTACATATGCACAATGTGCCGGTTTGTTACATATGTATACATGTGTCATGTTGGTGTGCTGCACCCATTAACTCGTCATTTACATTAGATATATCTCCTAATGCTATCCCCCCTCCCCCCACTCCATGACAGGCCCCAGTGTGTGATGCTCCCCACCCTGTGTCCAAGTGTTCTCATTGTTCAATTCCCACCTATGAGTAAGAACACATGGTGTTTAGTTTTCTGTCTTTGCGATAGTTTTCTCAGAATGATGGTTTCTAGCTTCATCCATGTCCTTACAAAGGACATGAACTCATCCTTTTTATGGCTGCATAGTATTCCTTGGTGTATATGTGCCACATTTTCTTAATCCAGTCTATCGTTGATGGACATTTAGGTTGGTTCCAAGTCTTTGCTATTGCGAATAGTGCCGCAATAAACATATGTGTGCATGTGTCTTTATAGCAGCATGATTCACAATCCTTTGGGTATATGCCCAGTAATGGGATGGCTGATTGAAATGGTATTTCTTGTTCTAGATCCTTGAGGAATTGACACACTGTCTTCTACAATGATTGAACTAGTTTACACTCCCACCAACAGTGTAAAAGCATTCCTATTTCTCCATATCCTCTCCAGCACCTGTTGTTTCCTGACTTTTTAATGATCGCCATTCTAATTGGTGTGAGATGGTATCTCATTGTGGTTTTGATTTGCATTTCTCTGATGGCGAGTGATGATGAGCATTTTTTCATGTGTCTGTTGGCTGCATAGATGTCTTCTTTTGAGAAGTGTCTGTTCATATCCTTTACCCAATTTTTGATGGGGTAGTTTGATTTTTTCATATAAATTTGTTTAAGTTCTTTGTAGATTCTGGATATTAGCCCTTTGTCAGATGGGTAGATTGTAAAAATTTTCTCCCATTCTGTAGGTTGTCTGTTCACTCTGATGGTAGTTTCTTTTGCTGTGCAGAAGCTCTTGAATTTAATTAGATCTCATTTGTCAATTTTGGCTTTTGTTGCCATTGCTATTGGTGTTTTAGTCATGAATTCCTTGCCCATGCCTATGTCCTGAATGGTATTGCCTAGGTATTCTTCTAGGGTTTTTATGGTTTTAGGTCTAACATTTAAGTCTTTAATCCATCTTGAATTAATTTTTATATAAGGTGTAAGGAAGGGATCCAGTTTCAGCTTTCCACATATGGCTAGCCAGTTTTCCCAGCACCATTTATTAAATAGGGTATCCTTTCCCCATTTCTTGTTTATGTCAGGTTTGTCAAAGATCAGATGGTTGTAGATGTGTGGTATTATTTCCGAGGGCTCTATTCTGTTCCATTGGTCTGTATCTCTGTTTTGGCACCAGTACCATGCTGTTTTGGTTACTGTAGCCTTGTAGTGTAGTTTGAAGTCAGGTAGCGTGATGCCTCCAGATTTGTTCTTTTTGCTTAGGATTGACTTGGCAATGCAGGTTCTTTTTTGGTTCCATATGAACTTTAAAGTTGTTTTTTTCCAATTCTGTGAAGAAAGTTATTGGTAGCTTGATGGGGATGGCATTGAATCTATAAATTACCTTTGGCTGTATGGCCATTTTCACGATATTGATTCTTCCTTTCCATGAGCATGGAATGTTCTTCCATTTGTTTGTGTCCTCTTATTTTGTTGAGCAGTGGTTTGTCGTTCTCCTTGAAGAGGCCCTTCACATCCCCTGTAAGTTGGATTCCTAGGTATTTTATTCTCTTTGAAGCAATTGTGGATGGGAGTTCACTCATGATTTGGCTCTCTGTTTGTCTGTTATTGGTGTATAAGAATGCTTGTGATTTTTGCACATTGATTTTGTATCCTGAGACTTTGCTGAATTTGCTTATCAGCTTAAGGAGATTTTGGGCTGAGATGATGGGGTTTTGTAAATATACAATCATGTCATCTGCAGACAGGGACAATTTGACTTCCTCTTTTCCTAGTTGAATACATTTTATTTCATTCTCTTGCCTGATTGCCCTGGCCAGAACTTCCAAGACTATGTTGAATAGGAGTGGTGAGAGAGGGAATCCTTGTCTTGTGCCAGGTTTCAAAGGGAATGCTTCCAGTTATTGTCCATTCAGTATGATATTGGCTGTGGGTTTGTCATAAATAGCTCTTATTATTTTGAGATACGTCCCATCAATACCTAGTTTATTGAGAGTTCTTAGCATGAAGGGCTGTTGAATTTTGTCAGAGGCCTTTTCTGCATCTATTAAGATAATCATGTGGTTTTTGTCTTTGGTTCTGTTTATATGATGGATTACGTTTATTGATTTGCATATGTTGAACCAGTCTTGCATCCTAGAGATGCCAACTTGATCATGGTGGATAAGCTTTTTGATGTGTTGCTGGATTCAGTTTGTTACTATCTTATTGAGGATATTTGCATCAATGTTCATCAGGGATATAGGTCTAAAATTCTCTTTTTTTGTTGTTGTGTCTCTGTCAGGCTTTGGTATCAGGATGATGTTGGCCTCATAAAATGAATTAGGGAGGATTCTGTCTTTTTCTATTGATTGGAAAAGTTTCAGAAAGAATGGTACCAGCTCCTCTTTGTACCTCTGGTAGAACTCAGCTGTGAATCCATCTGGTCCTGGACTTTTTTTTGGTTGGTAAGCTATTAATTATTGCCTCAATTTCAGAGCCTGTTATTGGTCTATTCAGAGATTCAACTTCTTCTTGGTTTAGTCTTGAAAGGGTGTATGTGTCCAAGAATTTATCCATTTCTTCTAGATGTTCAAGTTTATTTGTGTAGAGGTGTTTATAGTATTCTCTGATGGTAGTTTTTATTTCCCTGGGCTCAGTGGTGATATCCCCTTTGTCATTTTTATTGCATCTATTTGATTCCTCTCTCTTTTCTTCTTTATTAGTCTTGCTAGCAGTCTATCAATTTTGTTGATCTTTTCAAAAAACCAGCTCCTGGATTCATTGCTTTTTTGAAGGGTTTTTTGTGTCTCTGTCTCCTTCAGCTCTGCTCTGATCTTATTTTTTGCCTTCTGCTAGCTTTTGAATGTGTTTGCTCTTGCTTCTCTAGTTCTTTTAATTTTGATGTTAGGTGGTCAATTTCAGATCTTTCCTGCTTTCTCTTCTGGGCATTTAGTGCTATAAATTTCCCCCTACACACTGCTTTAAATGTGTCCCAGAGATTCTGGTACATTGTGTCTTTGTTCTCATTGGTTTCAAAGAACATCTTTATTTCTACCTTCATTTTGTTATTTACCCAGTAGTCATTCAGGAGCAAATTGTTCAGTTTCCATGTAGTTGTTCAGTTTTGAGTGAGCTTCTTAATCCTAAGTTTGAATTTGATTGCACTGTGGTCTGAGAGACAGTTTGTTGTGATTTCTGTTCTTTTACATTTGGTGAGGAGTGCTTTACTTCCAATTATGTGGTCAAATTTAGAATAAGTGAGATGTGGTGCTGAGAAGAATGTATACTCTGTTAATTTGGGGTGGAGAGTTCTGTGGATGTCTATTGGGTCTGTTTGTTGCAGAGCTGAGTTCAGGTCCTGGATATCTTTGTTAACCTTCTGTCTTGTTGATCTTTCTAATATTGACAGTTGGGTGTTAAAGTCTCCCATTATTATTGTGTGGGAGTCTAAGCCTCTTTGTAGGTCTCTAAGGACTTGCTTTATGAATCTGGGTGCTCTTGTATTGGGTGCATATATATTTAGGATAGTTAGCTCTTCTTGTTGCATTGATCCCTTTACCATTATGTAATGGCCTTCTTTGTCTCTTTTGATCTTTGTTGGTTTAAAGTCTGTTTTATCAGAGACAAGGATTGCAACCCCTGCCTTTTTTTGTTTTCCATTTTCTTGGTAGATCTTCCTCCATCCCTTTATTTTGAGCCTATGTGTGAATTTGCGCATGAGATGGGTCTCCTGAATACAGCACACTGATGGGTCTTGACCCTTTATCCAATTTGCCAGTCTGTGTCCTTTAATTGGGGCATTTAGCCCATTTACATTTACAGTTAATATTGTTATGTGTGAATTTGATCCTGTCATTATGATATTCGCTGGTTATTTGCCCATTAATTGATGCAGTTTCTTCCTAGCATTGATGGTCTTTACAACTTGGCATGTTTTTGCACTGGGTGGTACCAGGTGTTTCTTTCCATGTTTAGTGCTTCTTTCAGGAGCTCTTGTAAGGCAGGCCTGGTGGTGACAAAATCTCTCAGCATTTGCTTGTCAGTAAAGAATTTTATTTTCTCCTTCACTTATGAAGCTTAGTTTGGCTGGATATGAAACTCTGGATTGAAAATTATTTTCTTTAAGAATGTTGAATATTGGCCCCCACTCTCTTCTGGATTGTAGGGTTTCTGCCAAGAGATCAGCTGTTAGTCTGATGGGCTTCCCTTTGTGGCTAACCTGACCTTTCTCTCTGGCTGCCCTTAACACTTTTTCCTACACTTCAACCTTGGTGAATCTGACAATTATGTGTCTTGGAATCGCTCTTCTCAAAGAGTATCTTTGTGTTGTTCTCTGTATTTCCTGAAGTTGAATGTTGGCCTGCCTTGCTAGGTTGGGGAAATTCTCCTGGATAATATCCTGAAGAGTGTTTTCCAACTTGGTTCCATTCTCCTCATCACTTTCCGGTACACCAATCAAATATAGATTTGGTCTTTTCACATAGTCCCATATTTCTTGGAGGCTTTGTTCATTTCTTTTTACTCTTGTTTCTCTAACCTTGTCTTCTCACTTTATTTCATTTATTTGACTTCAATCACTGATACCCTTTCTTCCACTTGATTGAATCGGCTATTGAAGCTTGTGCATGAGTCATAAAGTTCTTGTGCCATGGTTTTCAGCTCCATTGGGTCACTTAAGGTCTTCTCTACACTGTTTATTCTTGTAAGCCATTCGTCTAATCTTTTTCAAGGTTTTTAACTTCCTTGCAATGGGTTCCAACATCCTCCTTTAGCTCGGAGAAGTTTGTTATTACCAACTTTCTGAAGCCTACTTCTGTCAACTCATCAAAGTCATTCTCTGTCCAGCTTTGTTCCATTGCTGACAAGGAGTGGTGATCCTTTGGAGGCGAAGAGGTGCTCTGATTTTTAGAATTTTCAGCTTTTCTGCTCTGGTTTATCCCCATCCTTTTGGTTTTATCTACCTTTGGTCTTTGATATTGTTGACCTACAGATGGGGTTTTGGTGTAGATGATCTTTTGTTAATGTTGACACTATTCCTTTCTGTTTTTTAGTTTTCCTTCTAACAGTCAGGACCCTCAGCTGCAGATCTGTTGGAGTTTGCTGGAGTTCCACTCCAGACACTGTTTGCCTGGGTATCACCAGTGGAGGCTGCAGAACAGCAAATATTGCAGAATAGCAAATAGTGCTGCCTGATCCTTCCTCTGGAAGCTTTGTCCAAGAGGGGCAGCTGCCTATATGAGGTGTCTGTCAGCCTCTACTGGGAGGTGTGTCCCAGTTAGGCTACACAGGGTTCAGGGACCCACTTGAGGAGGCAGTCTGTCCATTCTCAGAACTCAAACGCCATGCTGGAAAAACCACTGCTCTCTTCAGAGCTGTCAGACAGGGACGTTTAAGTCTGCAGAAGTTGCTGCCTTTTGTTCAGCTATCCCTGCCCACAGACGTGGAGTCTAGAGGCAATGGGCCTTGTTGAGCTGCGGTGGGCTCCACCCAGTTCAAGTTCCCTGGCCGCTTTGTTTACCTACTTAAGCCTCAGCAATGGTTGACGCCCCTCCCCCAACCAGACTGCCACCTCGCAGATGGATTTCAGACTGTTTCGCTAGCAGTGAGCAAGGCTCCATGGCTGTGGGACCTACTGAGTGAGGCACAGGAGAGAATCACCTTGCCTGCTAGTTGCTAAGACCTTGGGAAAAGTGCAGTATTTGGGCGGGAGTGCCCTGTTTTTCCAGGTAGTCTGTCACAGCTTCCCTTGGCTGGGAAAGGGAAATCCCCCAACCCCTTGTGCTTCCCGGGTGAGGCGACGCCCCACCTTGCTTCAGCTCACCCTCTGTGGGCCTGCACCCACTCTCCAACCAGTCCCAATGAGATGAACCAGGAACCTCAGTTGGAAGTGCAGAAATCACCCGTCTTCTGTGTCGATCATGCTGGGAGCTGCAGACCGGAACTCTTCCTATTTGGCCATCTTGGAACCCATCCAGAACATCTGGTAGAAGAAATTTGTAAGCAGCAAAGTGTTCAATTTATGACCTGAGTGTTCTTAAAAGTGTTCAGTTTTATGCATTCACAAAAATATGGTTTGGAATTAGAACCTATGTTTAAAAGGGAGCAGAGCATAAAAGTTTGGAAGATTTGCAACCTGATGATGTGATAGAAAAGAAAACCCATTTTCTGGGGAGAAATTCAAGCTTACTGCAGAAATTTGCAGAAGTAACAAGGAGCCAAATGTTAATTGACAAGATAATGGGGAAATTTTCTCCAGGGCATGTCAGAGTTCTTCACGACAGCCCCTCCTGTCACAGGGTTGGAGGCCTAGGAGGGAAAAAATGGTTATGTGGGCCAGGCCCAGAACTTTGCTGCTCTGTGCAGTCTTGGGACTTGGTGCCCTGTGTCCCAGCCATGGCTAAAAGGAGCCAACGTACAGCTCAGGCTATTGCTTCAGAGTTCAATCCCCAAGGCTTGGCAGCTTCCACGTAGTGTTGGGTTGATATGCTAGTTGGCCATTTGTATTTTTTTTTTTTTTTGGAAAAAATGTCTATTCAAGTCTATCTTAGTCCATTTCTGCTGCTATAACAAAATACCTTAGGCTGGTAATTTATAAACAACAGAAATTTATTTCTTGCATTCTGGAGTGTGAAAAGTCCAAGATTTAGGCTACAACAGACTCAGTGACCGGTGAGGTCACTACATTCACTATACATAGCACCTTCTCTGTGTCCTCACATGTTCAAAAGGGAAAACAAACTCCCTTAAGCCTCTTTTATAAAGGCCCTAGTCCCATTTCTGAGGGCTATGACTTCATGAACTAATCATATCCAAAATGCTCCACCTCTTAATATTATCACATTGAATATTAGGCTCCAGCATATGAATATTGGGAGAACATTTGGACCATAGCAAAGTCAACTGACCATTTCTCATTTAGGTTGTTTTGTTATTGAGTTGTTGTTCTGTATATATTTTAGATATTAACCCCTTATCAGGTATTTGGTTTGCTGGGAGGTTTTTGATTCCTGATTCACTACTAGTTATAGGTTTATTAAGATTTTTTATTTTGTGACTTAGTCTTGGTAACTTGCATGTTACTAGGAATCTGTTCATTTCTCCTAGGTTATCCAACTAGTCAGTATATAATAATTCATAGTAGACTCTTAGAATCGTTTTTATTTCTGTAAATATCTGTTGCAGTGTCTTCTCTTTTGTTCCTAAAAGAAGTTGAGTCTTCATTATTTTTTTTCTTAAATATTCTAGCTAATGATTTGTCAATTTTGTTGAACTTTGAAACGACTACTAGTTTCATTGGGTTTTTTCTATTCTCTAGCCTTTTTTTTTTTGAGATGGAGTTTCACTCTTATTGCCCACGCTGTAGTGCAATGGCGTGATCTCCGCTTGCTTCAACCTCCGCCTCCCAGTTCAAGTGACTCTCCTGCCTCAGCCTCCAGAGTAGCTGGGATTACAGGCATGCACCACCATGCCCGGCTAATTTTGTATTTTTTAGTAGAGACAGGTTTCTCCATGTTGCTGAGGCTGGTCTTGAACTCCCGACCTCAGGTGATCCACCTGCCTCAGCTTCCCAAAGTGCTGGGATTACAGTCATGAGCCACTGCACCCGGCCTTCTGCTCTAGACTTTATTATTTCCTTCCTTTTGCTAACATTGGGTTGAGTTCTTCTTTTTCCAGTTTCGTGAGGTGTAAAGTTAAGTTGCTGATTTCAGATCTTTCTTCTTTTTTAAGGTAGGTAGTTAGATATATAAACTGTCCTCTTCATATTCATTTTGCTGCATCCCACAAGCTTTGGAATGTTGTGTTTCCATTTTTATTTGTCTCAAGACATTTTCTAATTTTCCTTGTGACTTGTTCTTTGACTATGTATTAATCAGAGTTCTCCAGAGGGTCAGATCCAATAAGAAATAGATATAGATATAGATATAGATATAGATATAGATAATAGATAATAGAGATACATATACATGCATCTAAAAGAGAATATATTTACATGTATATGAAATATAATTTATTAAGGAGAATTGGCTCACATAATTACAAAGGCAAAGTCCCACAATAGGCCATCTATAAGCTGGAAAATGAGAGAAGCTTACAGCATGGCTCCCAAGGAAGCCAGTGACATGGCTCAGTCCAAATCTGAAAGTCTCAAAACCAGGGAAGCTGACAGTGCAGCCACTAGTCTGAGGCCCAAGGCCTGAGAGCTCCCAAAAGGCTGCTGATGCAAGTCCCAGGGTCCAAAGGCCAAAGAACCTAGAGTTTGATGTGCAAGGGCAAGAGGAGAAAAAGGCATACTGCTCTGGAAGAGAGAGAAAGTGCATAAAAAAGAAATCCAAGCAAGCTGAATGTTCCCATTCTTCTGCCTTTTTGTTCTAGTCACACTTGCAACCAATTGCATGATGCCTACCCACAGTGAGGATGGGTTTTTCTCTCTCAGTCCACTAACTCATCCATCATTCTCCTGTGGCAACACCCTCACAGATATACCCACACACAGTGCTTCATCAGGCATCTGAGCATCCCTCAATCAAATTGACAATTAATATTAACCACACAGACCAATTGGTAGAGAGTATATTTTTGTAATTTCCACATATTTATTACTTTTCCTTTTTCCTTCTGCTATGAATTTGTAATTTCATTTAATGTGGTCAGAAAAGATATTTGGTATGAGTTCAGTTTTCTTAAATTTTTAAAAACTTGTTTGTGGACTAGCATGCCATCTATCCTGGAAAAGTCTTGGTATGTACTTGAGAAGAAAGCATATTTTGCTATTATTGGGTGAAGTGTTCTGTATATGTCAGACAGGTCCAATTGGTCTACAATGTTGTTCAAGTTCTGTGTTTTCCAGTTGATCTTCTGTCTGGTTATTGTATCCATAATTGAAAGTGGAATATTGAAGTTTTTTGTTATTATGATGTTGTTATCTATGTTACCCCTCAATTCTGTCTACGTTAGCTTCATATATTTAGATGCTGTACTGTTAGTTGCATATACATTTATAATTGCTATATCTTCTTGGTCAATTGGCCCTTTTATTATTATGTAATATCCTTGTCTCTTGTGCTATTATTTGACTTAAACTCTATTTTGTCTAAGTATGGCCATCCTTGTTCTCTTTTGGTTACCAAATGCATTGAATATCTTTTTCCATCCTTTCACTTTCAACCTTTGTGTGTGTTTAGATCTAACATAAGTCTCTTGCATATAGTATATATTTAGATTTTTTTAATCCATTCGGCCAATTCTTTGTCTTTTGATTGGAAAATTAGCCTATTTGCATTTAAAGTAGTTACTGATAGGGAGGGGCTTACTATTGTCATTTTGTTCACTGTTTTATACATGTCTTGCAGGTATTTTTTTCCACTTTTCCTCTCTTTCTGCCTCCCTTTATGTTTCACCGATTTCTTTTTTTGGTAGGGACGTGCTTTGGTTCCTTTCTCATTTTTATTTGTGTATCTTCTGTAGGTCTTTTCTTTGTGGTTACTGTAGAATTACATGAAAACATCTTATAGTTATAATAATCTATTTTAAATTGACAACAACTTAACTTTAATAACATACAAAAACTCTACTTCTTTACACCTCCTTCTCACTTTGTTATCAATGTCACACAATATATATTTTATATTGTTTATTCACATAATTTAATACAGTAATATTATGCTTTTACCTTTTAAATTCTATGCTTCAATTAAAAGTGAATTACAGGCTGGGTGTGGTGTCTCACATCTGTAGTCCCAGCACTTTGAGAGGCCAAAATGTGAGCATCGCTTGAGCCTCGGAGTTTGAGACCAGCAAGGCCTTATCTCTGCTAAAAATTTAAAAATATTATCTGAGTGTTGTGGTGCATGTCTGTAGTCCCAGCCACTCGGGAGGCTGAGGTGGGAGGATTGCTTTAGCCTAGGACTGCAAGGCTGCAGTGAGCCATGATCAAACCGCTGCACTCCAGCCTGGGCAGCAGAGCAAGACTTTGTCTCAAAAAAAAAAAAAAAAAAAAAAGTAAAGGAAAAAAAGTGTTTTGCTTACCACCATTAGAGTATTAAAGGATTCTATGTTCACTCATATATTTACCTTTACCAAAGAAGTTTATATTTTGTATGCTTTTGTATTTCTATCCAATGCCTTTTCATTTCCACTTGGAGGACTCCCTTTAACGTTTTTTGTAAGGTAGGCCTAGTGGTGATCAACTCCCTCACCTTTTACTTCTCTGGGGAACTCTTTGTCCTTCATTTTTGAAGTACAGTTTTACTGGCTATACAGTTCTTGGTTGACAGTTTTTTTTCTTTCAGCCCTTTTAATATATCATCCCATTCTCTTCTGGCCTGTAGAGTTTTTGCTGAGAATTCCATTGATAACCATATGGCATCTCCCTTGTATGTGACAAGTTGCTTTGATCCTGTTCCTTTCAAAATTCTAATGTGTCTTATTGTAGGTCTTTTGCAAATTATCCAACTTGGAGTTCTTTGAGCCTCTTGGATTTGTATGTCCATTTCCTTCTTTAAGTTTGAGAAGTTTTTGGTCATTACTTTTTTAACTGGCTCTCTGCCCCTTTATTTTTCTCTTCTCCTTCTGGTACTTTCATAATGCATACATTGGTCTGCTTGATGGCATCCTGTAAGTCTCTTAGGCTGTCTTCACTCTTCACTCCTTTTCCCGTTTGCTCCTCTGACTCCATAATTTCAAATGACTAGTCTTCTGTTTCACTGATTCTTTCTTCTGCTTGATGTTATTGAAACTGCCTTTGCAAAAATTATAACTGAAGAAATTATGACAGCAAAAGATATCAGACTTAATCAACTCCATCTTGCTTCTAGCATTTAAACTGTCCTTGTTCATTCCTGGCAGTAGGATGAACTAATTTTGGTAAGGTATTCAGTTCATGGTTTGACTCTCAAACCAAGTTGATAATAGCCATTTCCCAAAAAGATCCCCTTCTTGCCTGGAACCAGTCTGCCTTTGCGGGATAAACAAATTAGCTATAACATTAGAAATTACAGTTGAGGGGTTATGCAGCCTCTGGCTCCAAGAGTCTGAACCTCTCCAAATTGCTCCTGGGGATAACATCACTATTGTAAAACCTAAAATCAGTGCTTGAGATATTTTGCAGACCCTGCACTGGATGAATCAGCTGACACCACCCAGACTGGTAATATGGCTCAACTGGTTCTGCCACCCCACCCACAAACAGAAGACAGCAAGAAAACGTCATCACTTCAACCCCGTATGATTTCATCTCCAACCTGATGAATAAGCAGTTCCCACTTCCCAAGCCCCTACCTGCCAAATTATCTTTAAAAGTTCTGATCCCCGAATGCTCAGGGAGACTGATTTGAGTAATAATAAAACTCTGATCTCCCGCACAGCCAGCTCTGCCTGAATTACTCTTTCTCCATTGCAATTCCCCTGTCTTGATAAATCAGCTCTGTCTAAGCAGGGCACGAGGTGAACCCATTGGGCAGTTACACAGTCTATTGGTGATTTCCGATAGTGAATTTTTCAATTGAGCTATTGTATTCCTTAGCTCCAGAGTTTCTGTATGGTTCCTTTTTGTTTTTTTAGTTTCTATCTCTGTTAATATTTTCATTTTGTTCATGAATTATTTCCTGCTTTCACTTAGTTGTCTATTTCTGTTGTCACTGGGCTTCATTAAGAGAGTTAATTTGGATTCTTTGTCAGGTAACTCATTTACCTATTTCTTTAGGGTTGGTTTCTGGAGATTTATTTTGCTCCTTTAATTTAGTCATCAGGTTTCTCTCTTTCTTCTTATGTCTTGTTATTTTTTATTTTTTATTTATTTTTGCCAATATTTGGGCGTTTGAAAAAACTGCCACTTCTCCCAGTTTTTATCAGCTGGCTTCATACGGAAGACCTTCATACCTGAATCAGCATGGCTATAGGTTCCAGCAGCCTCTCAAACTCTTTCTGGGAATGCATCTTCTTTGGGTTTATACATTGCAACATCCCAAGTAGAGGTTTGCCAGTTTCTTTTTCTGGAGCTGTTGCTCCTTCTGGTATCTGTCTGTGGTACTGCAGGTTCCCTGGTGCTGCATCATCTCTGACCTCTCCTTTATTCCCAGTGGCTCCCATGCATCCAAAGTATGCCAGTTGGGCGTCAAGTTAGAGAGAGTGAGAGAGCTTCAGGTAACCTCATAAAACTATTCCGTTTCAGTCTTCTCTTTCCCTGCTAACGGAGAAGCTGCAAGTTGAGTGCTTCCCAGCCAAACCAACCTGTTCGAGCTTGGGGAAGGGGTATCATCAGTATAATGCAACAGCTTTTCTTATCTGTTCAATGCCACTATTCTTGGCTTTGCACTTGTCTGTACTACTACAACTTCTTAATGGTTTATGGAACTCCATAAAGGCTTTTAGACCATATATTGTTTTTCAGTTGGTATCTTTATGGAGAATCAAGGTTTGGAGCTTCCCATTCCACCATCTGGCTGACATCACTCTGTTTATATTATTTTTTATTTTTATTATATTTTATTTTCTTGAGACAGGATCTTGCTCTGTCAGCCAGGCTAGAGTGCAGCCTCGAACTCCTGATCTCAAGGGACCTCCTCCCTCAGGCTACTGAGTACTTGGACTATAGGCACACACCACATACCAGGCTAATTTCTTATTTTCTTGTGAAGATGGGGTTTCACTCTGTTGCCCAAGTTGGTCTCAACTCTTGGGCTCAAGCAATCCTTCTGCCTTGGCCTCCCAAAGTGCTAGGATTAAAGGTGTGAGCCCACCATGTACTGCCTGTTATATTTAGTAGAAAATATATCTAAAAATATACTTACGTACTATATTGAATCCACTACCCAGAGCTTAACTGAACTATTTGTGTGACTCATTCTGTTTTTTTATTTTTTGCTTTTTACTTATTACAATGAACTACAAGTATGGATATATTAATATTAATTAATATAAAATATACTGGAATATTTTGTATTTTTTTTTCTTTTTTCTTCACCAAAAGCAGAAACTTAAATACACTGAAATCTTAAATGACCCTTGAATGTTTCTAGGACTGACCCTGGAACAAAATTTTTTATGTTGTTATTACATTGTTCTTTTCATGTTAAAATCATTTGTTTTTTTTCATATAGTACGTCAAAGAAGAATTGTTAATATAGCCCTTACCAGCCATATGCTAAGTGCCACAAGTGTTTCGGTCTCTCTCCATTCTTGTACCTCACTTAGTCTTTTTTTTTTTCTTTTGGAGGTGTAGCCTCAGTCTTTCACCCAGGCTGGAGTGTGGTGGCAAAATCTCAGCTCACTGCAACCTCTGCCTCCCGGGTTCAAGTGATTCTCCTCCCTCAGCCTCCTGAGTACCTGGGACCACAGTTGTGTGCCACCATGCCGACCTAATTTTTGTATTTTTAGTAGAGATGGGGTTTCATTATGTTGGCCAGGCTGGTCTTGAACTCCTGACCTCATGTAATCCACCCTCCTCAGCCTCCCAAAGCGCTGGGATTACAGACATGAACCACTGCGCCTGGACTACCTCAATCTGTCTTTTAAATTGGCTATGTAAGGGGAGCATCTTGTGCTTGTTAAGTCTTTGTTTTCTGGCCTATTTATATAATGAACATTTCTGAGTTGTGTGTATATATTAAATTATTTGAGAGTATATAGTTAATGTACTAAATAGATCTATGTGTTTTCATACATGTCACTATAAAAAGACCATTTGCACATATTTGTTCTATCAAATGCTTACTTTTCTTCATGAACCACCTAGATTTGCTTTTCTGATGTGTAGTGTATGTGAAAATATTTCTTTGTGAATTTTTTTTTATTGTGTGCCCCTACAGGTGGTATGCTTAATAATGCCATAGTCTCTATAAGGAACGTATGCATTAGTCTGCTGGCAGGAATTGTTTTGGGATTTTTTGTTCGATATTTTCCAAGTGAAGACCAAGTAAATACAAAATCTATTTTATAGAAGTATAGTATTAGACATTTTTTTCAAAATATTAAACTTTGGTAAGATCCATGAAATTTAATACTTAACTCTATTTTTCTAAAACTAGCCTCCAATGCCTACTCTGTATTTAAAACTGAGCACAGCAGTGATTGATACAGGTCAATGGCTTTGATTAAAGTCTCTGCTTCCTGATTTGGCAAATAAGGAATGTCAAAAAATATACTTGATGCAGAGTATCCCTCTGAATTATACTTTCCCTTTCTCTACTAAATTGCCTATTGATGTTTGATAATTTCCCCTTAAACATTTTAGGGGGAGATAGGTTCCCATTTATTTCTGCATATTTTCTGACTGAAATTCACTCCTGCTATCCTTTGACAAAGGCAACACTCAAACTTAGCCATTTCCTGCCTTAAAGGAAAACATGACATTACTTTTGTATTTCTGTAATTTCCATCCAAATTTAGCTGTAACATATTGACCAAAGAGTAATTCAAATATTTTTTAAGAATTCATTGGATATGTTATATGAAACTGGAGATTTTATGGGTCTCTTTTCTTCTTCACTTAAAGTAATACTTAAACCATTTTACTGATACTAGTATCAGAGATGTGGCAGAAGATGAAACGTTACTAATTGGAAATTTTGTTACTTGGTAGTAAGTCTACTAAAATGTATGGTGAGAAAGAAAATCAAAATTTTAGACATTTAATATAACATTTAAAGACATAATATCAAAAGGTCAAACATATATAATAGATAATGTCAAATCTTGTATTATATATTTAATATAAACTAATTTCTAAATATCTATCTAATTCTAGAAAAAACTTACATTGAAGAGAGGATTCCTTGTTTTGACTACGTGTGTTTCTGCTGTCTTAGGCAGCCAACGTATTGGTTTACATGGATCTGGAGGATTATGCACACTAGTGTTGAGTTTCATTGCAGGGACAAAATGGTCCCAAGAAAAGGTGAATATTTTTAATATGCTATATTTTAAAAGCTAAGACAACTGAATTTTTTACATATATTTAGGAAATCCCCTCATTCTGGTTGGAAAATATTCCAAAAGATTTGCTATCCTCAAGAAAGTGTATGAATCAATTGAGGAAATAAAATATTTAGGAAAAGCAGCTGGATATATACTAATATGGAATCAGAAGTTGCGTTAATCACATCAGGTTTCTCTTTTTCCCAAGTTTTATATAATATTATTATATTACTTATATCAATCTAATTATTTTATTCATTGAAATTTTAATTATACAATTAATCCATGAAGAATGTTTGTAAAAGGCCAGGCACGGTGGCTCATGCCTGTAATCCCAGAACTTTGGGAGGTCGAGGTGGACAGATCACCTGGGGTCAGGAGTTTGAGACCAGCGTGGCCAACATAGTGAAACCCCATCTCTACTAAAAATACAAAAATTAGCTGGGCATGGTGGCGTGGTGGTGGGCACCTATAATTCCAGCTACTCAGGAGGCTGAGGCAGGAGCATTGCTTGAACCCAGGAGGCGGAGGCTGCAGTGAGCTGAGATCATGCCATTGCACTCCAGCCTGGGCAACAAGTGCAAAACTCCATCACACACACACAAAATAATAATAAACAAACAAATAATAAAAATAGAAATGCTTGTAAAAGAATAAAACATATAGAATAAAATGTAAAAGATTTCTTTATTCCCCACCACTGTCAAATATCGAACCCCTTTACATTTTTTTAAGTAACCAGTATTCTATTTGTAGACATTAAGATCGTTTCCACTTTTTGTTATTTACAAACAGTGCTGTCATAAACAGTGTTGTTCATGTCTTTTTTTTTTTTGAGACACAGTTTCACTCTTGTCACCCAGGCTGGACTGCAGTAGCATAACCTTGGCTCACTGCAACCTCCACCTCCTGGATTCAAGTGATTCTTCTATTTCAGCCTCCCTACTAGCTGGGATTACAGGCACGCACCACCACGCCCAGCAAATTTTTGTATTTTTAGTAGAGACGGGATTTCACCATGTTGGCCAGGCAGGTCTTGAACTCCTGACCTCAGGTGATACTCCTGCCTCGGCCTCCCAAAGTGTTGGGATTACAGGTACATCTGTAGGAATAGAGTCCTAGAAATGATTTTTTTTTTTGAGACAGAGTCTCTATCTATGTTGCCCAGGCTGGTCTCAAAATCCTGAGCTCAAGGAATCCTCCCAACTTGACATTGCAAAGTGCTAGGATTACAAGCATGAGCTACCACACCTGGCTGGAAATGATCTGTGTTTTATTTTGATGGACACTGCTAAATTATCCCTTCAAAAATTTTGGTTATTTACACTCTGCCAACAGTGCACAACAATATCTAATACCTTAACTCATCAACAGCACTTGATATTATCACTAGTTCTATTCTTTTTACTATTAAATGACCTCACCATCCAATTCTTATAGTTTCTTACAATTATGTGGTGTTGTTATTCTTTATTTACATTTCTCTGATTAGTAGTATAGTAAGCTTCTCTTCATATATTCTTTTTAAAATACCTATGATCTTCTTTGACCATTTTTATTGGGTTATTTATTTTTTTGTTTCTAATTTATAGTTTCTCTTAGTGTTAGGGCTACTGATCCTTTGTTATGTATATATTGCATATATTTTTTGCTTATCTTCAACTTTGTTTATGGTGTCTGGTGTATGAAAGTAAAATTTCCTATGACCAAACCTATTGGGTTTTCCATTTTTGATTTTGGATTCTGCATCTCATTTAAGAAGGACTTTCTCACTGAAGATTATAACATATAAACATTACAAAGATATACTATTTTGTGTATTATCATTTAATATTTTGGTAGTTTTTGTTTGATTAATTTGTTCTTTCATTTAGTCTTTTAATCTATCTGGAATTTATCTTTGTGAATTCTGTGAGGTAAGGTTATACATATATACATATGTGTATCTTACAAACTATATATATATACACACACACACACATACAGTTTGTAAGTTAACTGAACAGAGATAGAACTACATCATGCCTGATGTGTGTGTGTGTATAGATATATATATATATACACACACACACATAAATATACATACATATTCAGACACACATATATACTTGCATGTGATGAATATGTACATACATATATATGCACATAATCTAGACAGTCATTTTTTGCCAAATTGTTTATTTATTGACCAATTCATTAATAATTCAGTTTTTTAACATGAACTAAATTCTCCCATATATATTAATTCTGAAGTCTATTTAATCCTACTTCTCTATTTCTATGCCAACACCACTGTTTTAAATCACTGCACTTTTATGTGTCAAAATCTAATATAGATTTTACTTCTTTTTAAAGTATTTTTTGGCTGTTCCTACACATATTCTTTCTTAGATAAATTTTAGAATCAGCTTGAGAAATTCCCTAATCAAAAATCATAGTGGCATTTTGCTTAGTATTCTTATATAATCATAATTATAAAAGAAATGAATGAAATGCAAATCAATAAATAAAATTAAAACTGCTAGAATTTTTTTAAATGGTAAAAGACACAGAACTAAAACAAGTTTTAAAGATTAAAAGTAACAAACAGGATAATTATGCTGTAAAGAGTAGTAACATCGTTTTTCTTTGTTTTTCTTTTTTTAAACTATAATAAGTGGGGATCAGAAAACACAGTCATAAGGGAAATAGTTATAAAGATAGTTTATGCCTCAAGGAAGAGACATCAAAGTTCTTATGTATCTTCTGTTTAAAAAAAAAATTAAACCCAGACTGAGACTGAAATCTCTTCATCCAAATTCCTGGAGAAGAGCCAGAGTAATGTAGGCCAATAGGGGGCCTTTCCTGTAACCTTTTAATTGGGGAAGTAGTACTGGGAGGCATTCGTTTTCAGAAAGGGAAGCCGGATAGGCAGCTAAATGAGAATCTAATATATGTTTTCTTTTGTTTTGAGGAAAAAGTAACTTTAAAGTATTCAACACGGGTTCTTTGGAAGCAGGCCTAGTAGACTTCCAAATTGTTTTTCCTAGTAGTATATGCTATATATATCAGGATTCACTTTAATGGGATTGAGTTCCAGGATGGTTGTTAGTGGAAGGCTTCCCAACCTCCTTCTGAGATCCCAAATGTTTGCATGAACTGGGTATGTTCTCATCAGGCATGAGGTAGTTCTATCTCTGTTCAGTTAACTTAGAGACAAAATCTGGAACTCATACGAAACATGGCTAGAACCCTAAGGACATCACTTATTCTGTGACAAAATGGCCAAATAGTATTGTTTTATTGCTTTGTAAGTTTCTTTTAATCAAATTCTACCTAAGTGTTTAAGTAAAACTATTGAAGTGCTCAGTTTTTATTAATTAAGTTTAACATTTTTATTAAAATAAAGTGTATTAAATTTATTAAATGTTAAGTGACTTTAGGCCAGGCATGGTGGCTCATGCCTATAATGCCAGTGCTTTGGGAGGCCACAGCCAGAGTCCACTTGAAGACAGGAGTTCTAGACCATCCTGGGCAATATAGCGAGACCCCGTCTCTATAAACAATTTAAAAATTAGCCCAGCATGGAGGTACACACCTGTAGTTCTACTTGGGAGACTGCGAGAGGATCACTTGAGCCCAGGAGTTCAAGGCTACAGTGAGCTAAGATTATGCCACTACACTCCAGCCTGGGCAACAGAACAAGACCCCATCTCTAAAATACTTAAAAAGTGAAAAAAAAAAAGGTGAGGGAGAACTTAACTTTCTGAAATATATTTATGTGCCAAAATAATTATAAATGTATTTCTCTTTTCTATAGATGAAAGTCCAAAAGATTATTACAAATGTATGGGATATTTTTCAACCACTTCTTTTTGGTTTAGTTGGAGCAGAAGTATCTGTTTCATCGCTTGAATCAAATATTGTTGGTAAGAATAAATAGAGCACAAAAAATATGAAATTCAAAAATATTTAAGAAAATTATAAATGCATTTATTTTTATTTACAATATATCTTTGAATGGCTACAAGGACCTTCTTCAGAAACACATGTTGATACAGTGTCATATTTTCATATTGCTCTTCCTTTACACTGTGTGCTCTTTCTTTTTTAAACCAGGGACAGCCCTGAATATCTTCCCTGAGTTATCTAAGGAAATAAATATAAGATTTCTTTCCTGAGGGAACATATTTGATACGATCAGCACTTTTTGAGTACTTTCATTTAAAACTATTGGCTGGGTATGGTGGCTCATGCCTGTAAACTTAGCACTTTGGGAGGCCGAAGCGGGCACACTTCTTGAAGTTAGGAGTTCAAGACCTGCCTGGCTAACATGGGGAACCCCATCTCTCCTAGAAATACAAAAATTAGCCAGGTGTGGTAGTGCGCGCCTATAATCCCAGCTACTCAGGAGGCTGAGGCAGGAGAATCACGTGAACCCGGGAGTCGGAAGTTGCAGTGAGCTGAGATTGTACCACTGCACTCCAGCCTGGGCGACAGAGCAAGAATCCTTCTCAAAAAGTAAATTATTATTAATAATAATAAAAGTATTCAAAAAAAGTCTATTAGTTCAGAATTGTATAAATGTCATCTGTCTTATTTTTCATGGAACCTCCACCATCAGATACTGTCTTGCACTTTACAGAGAATCCTCCATCATATTCATTTTTTATTATCATTATTTTATGTAAAAATTAAACACATGAAGAGACAATAGCCTTAAAATGCTTTCGAAAGTTTTAGAAATCATATTCCTGGGCATAAAGAACACTTCTTCACAAATATTTTGTTATTTATGTTTGTTTTCATCTGTTGTAGGCATATCTGTTGCCACTCTTGAGTTTGGCATTATGTGTTCGAATTTTAACCACATATCTATTGATGTGCTTTGCTGGTTTTAGTTTTAAGGAGAAAATATTTATTGCTTTAGCATGGATGCCCAAAGCTACAGTACAGGTAAGAACATATTAAGCCTATTGCTTAATGCTTTTGTTTTGATGCTTTTAAAATTTAAAATGAAAAATGTTACTCCAATCACAAAATATGAGCTATTGTCCTTACTTTTTAAATGTTTGATTGATCATAACTATTCATTAAAATTAACGTAACCAGTCCCAGCTACTCAGGAGGCTGAGATGGGAGAATCACTTGAACCCAGGAGGCGGAGGTTGCAGTAAGCTGAGATGGCACCACTGTACTCCAGTCTGGGTGACAGAGCAAGATTCAATCTCAAAAAAATAAATAAATAAACAAAAACAAACAAAGAAACTCAATGTAACCTTTTTCTATTTTTATTTTTATTTTCATTTTGAGACCAGGTCTCACTCTGTCACCCAAACTGTAGTGCAGTGGCATGATCACGGCTCACTGCAGCCTCAACCTCCTGGGCTCAAACAATCCTCTCACATCAGCCTCCTGAGTAGCTAGGATCACAGTCACCTGCCACCATACCCAACTGCTTTTTTTCAGATTTTTTTTTTTTTTTTGAGACAGTCTTACTCTGTTGCCCAGGCTGGAGTGCAGTGGCATGATCTCAGCTCAATGCAACCTCCACCTCCCAGGTTCAAGCGATTCTCCTGCCTCAGCCTCCTCAGTAGCTGGGATTACAGGTGCACACCACCACACCCAGCTAATTTTTGTATTTTTAGTAGATATGGGGTCTCATCATGTTGGCCAGGCTAGTCTCAAACTCCTGACGTCAAGTGATCTGCCCACCTCAGCCTCCCAAAGTGCTGGGATTACAGGCATGAGCCACTGCACCTGGCCTTTTCTTTCTGATTTTTTTGTAAAGAGGAGGTCTTGCTATGTTGCCCAGGCTGATCTTGAACTCCTAGGTTCAAGTGATCTTCCTGCCTCAGCCTCCTAAAGTTCTGGGATTACAAGCATAACCCACTGGGCCCAGCCAATGTAACCTTTTGAAATCTCAGTTTTAAAAGCAATTATTTTGAAATCAAAAAGTATTCTTTCAATAAGTACTTCCTAAGTTTATGAAAATATGTTTTTTATTTTCCTAAAATATATAATAAGAATATATCTGAAAATTGGAGTTTTTATATTTTGCTGAATATAACAAAGCTAAATGTTATGATTTTAAAAAGTAGAGACACAGGCCAGGCATGGTGGCTCATGCCTGTAATCCTAGCACTTCGGGAGGCTGAGGCAGGCAGATCACTTGAGCTCAGGAGTTCAAGACCAGCCTGGGCAACATGGTAAAACCCCCGTCTCTACAAAAAATACAAAAAAATTAGTCAGGTGTGGTGGCACGCACCTGTAGTCACAGCTACTTGGGGGCTGAGGAAGGAGGATTGCTTGAACTCAGGAGGTTGAGGCTGCAGTGAGCTGAGGTCACGCCATTTCACTCCAGCTTGGGTGACAAAGTGAGACCCTGTCACAAAAAAAAGTAAAGTAAAATAGAGACACATTGATTTTTTTAAAAAATACTTTTCCTACCTTGCCACTCACTCCATCACACAAATGCACATATATTTTTTTAATTACACATTTATTTGTATACTATTTGGTTAATGGCTAAATCCCTGCCCCCGCCCCCTTGATAGACTACGTAAGGACAGGGACAGTGTCTGGTTGTTGCCGTTGTTTTTCATTATTTCTCCCTGGCACTTAACACAGTGCCTGACATGCAGGAGGCAAATACGTATTGCATGCCTGCAAGGATGAATGAACGGAAAGGGAAACCTTGTAATTTTGCCCTGTTATTCAAGGATATTCTCCTCCTACTAAAATATATTGCTACTTCTTGTTAGACTGTTTAACTTGGCAGCATAATATACCTTAATTTCCTGTGACTCTTTTCTTAGTTGTTATTCCAAAACAGAAGCTCCTAAATTTTCATGCAAAAAAACCTCTATTATCATGTTAGAAAAGCAGGTTCATAGGGCCAGACTACCTGTTTTGAATACCATGTTACTTGCCTATAACCTCAGGAAAATTATTTTCTAGTCTCTCAGTCCTTCAGTGTTCTCATCTTACAATGAAGTCTATGACTGTATCTGTTTCTTAGCAGTGTTGTCAGGATTCAATGAGATAATCCATGTAAAGTGCTTAGCACTCTCTCTGGCATATGGTGGTGCTCAGTTAAAAAACAATGCTGTTATTTTATCTTACCTTCAAGAAATATAAATAATAACTTTTTATTTTTAATGTCTACTCTAGGGAATAATAAATCTGCAAAAGGAGTATCTGTTCTCTCTCCTTCCAACAATACTCTTGCAATTTTGTTTCATTATTTCATAATTTTCATAAAGCAGGGAAAAAAGAAAAGCTGGTATGAGGAAAGAGACCACTCACTCGAGTCCTGCAGTATTATTCTGCTTCTGCCTATTCCTGTCTGCTGGCTCCAGGCTAGCTTCTACAAAAAGAATATCAGGCTGGTTCCAGGAACTGGCAAGACATAAAAAATTAATTATTTATACAAGTAGAGTCACAACAGCAATAATAGATAACAATAATGTCACAAGTAAATACGATCAACAAATATTTAAATTTCAATTTTAAATTATTTTCACCTTTATCCTCTTCCGCCGTTCTCTGCTGCTAAAATAAAATTGGCTAAGGATCATCTTTCTCTTGTTCCTTAGTTTTGAGTTACTGATAAAAATTAGACTGGAAAAATAGAAGCTATTAGGAGAGTAAATAAATAATTTAATTTACAAATGTAAGATCAGCTTGGCAATTGGATTTTTTAAAAGAAATAATATTAAATCTCAGTCACTAGGAGGAAATCATTTATCATCTAATAAAAGTCCTCACATAATAAGGTTGTCATAAGAATTAAATGAATTGATAAATGGAAAGCTTTAAGAATGATACCTGACATATGATGAATGCCATATAACTATAAAAATATTATTTCTAGTTTCACCATTATCGTCATCATCTCTTAAAAGTCAATGGGTTTGGTTTTTGTTTTTGTTTTTTCTGTTGGCAGTTCTTTTATGTTCAAATCCTCTTCTAAACTGTAAGATTCTTTCAAGGTGGTTTTCTGCATGATTATTTTTTTCTCCCTAGCATCCTCCAGCATACTGGATCATGTTCAGTACATTGAAAGTTATGATATAAAAATAATACCATTTTAAATTATTGATTTAGGATATAGAAATTGATCTTAAATTGAGGGGTTCTTTTGCCATAATGTTCCATATCAGAGGTAATGTTTCTACTATTATGTTGTTACTTTGCAACTCCATCGAAAATATGTTATATATTGGTATTTAATTCCCCCAAATTTTAAGGCAATTTCATGCCTAGTTATTAAACACAAGGAAAGAGAGTTAGCAAGAAATTTGCTTTATGTTATTAAAAATAATGTGGTAGAAGGTAACTAGGGAAAAAAACCTGTGACCCAGTAGAGTCATTCTAAAACAAAAACTTCAAAGGAACTCAATCTCTGACCTGGCAGGGGATGAGGAGTGAAGGAGAAAGAAACTTACTACTATCTGAATACCTACTCTGTGCCAGGTATTCTTCACATCCTAATATTTAATTTTCACAACCGTCCAGTAAGATAAGTATTTTGTTCTTCGTTTTACACGTAAGTAAGTAGAAGGTTAGAGAGTGTGAGTCATTTGTACAAGGTCACTAGCCTGGTTGAAGCAAAAATAGAATTCAAACCCAGTTTGCTAGATTCCAAGCCTGCTGTCAGTTCTGCTATAACCCAGTGCCCCCTGAATAAGGACAACAATGAGAAGAAGGGCAACAAATCCTAGAGAACCAGAAGAAAACTTAATATTTTATTTTGTCTTCTTGTAGTCAAAATCCACTGGTACACGATAAAGGCAACTAAGCAAAACCAGTTTCGTTAGAACTCCTGGTGTTATGAGGGCAACACTCAAAAGAGATATTTGAATAGAGGAACACTGAGAGGACAAGAGTGCAAAATCAGCCGAAAAATGTTTGCATGCTGATTTGTCACTATTGTACTCTTCCTCCACATATATTTGCTAGGAAGAACATGGAACTGATGAGTAACTTATGAAAATTACTGAGTACTTTTTTTTTCTAATAGTCTAGTACTAGATTTTGTTTATTTTAACAGAGCCATTTACATTATATATTAACTCAGTTTAATATTTTTCTTTATGCCCCATTTTTACCCCTAAATGTAGGCTGTGTTAGGTCCTCTGGCTCTAGAAACAGCAACAGTCTCCGCACCCCACTTGGAACCATATGCAAAGGATGTGATGACAGTAGCATTTTTAGCCATCTTGATCACAGCTCCAAATGGAGCTCTACTTATGGGCATTCTGGGGCTTAAAATGCTCACACGCCATTATGATCCAAGCAAAATAATACTGCAATTGCCAGCATTAGAACATCATTAAAAAGTTTACCTGTCATCATCTGCCTACTTCTTTTAATGAATTATTTCACATGACAGAAGAATTTTAAAGTAGAAATATGTAGAAAATCCAGGATTTCGGTACAGGGCTTTTCTTGGACTTTTTACTCCAAAGTTAATTTAATAAAAATAATATTAAATGGAATGCTGTCTTGGTATTTACATACTGTAAGAACAAATTAAATCTGTAAATACCCTAGGAAAGTTTAAAGTAATCCCTCAGGCTGAATTTGATATCATAATGCAAACTGAGCTTAATATAAAATTAAACAAACTTAACGGCAGAAAGAAAAACTGAATGTTGAACTTGGTAAGATAGCCTAAGTTTCCAAATAGGAGGAGTAGAACTCCCTATGATATCCAGTAATTCAGTTAAAAAGATCACTACAAAAAGAAAAAAAAGGGAGTAAAACACATCAACTTTAAATGGGTTAACCGAATAGATTTTAAATTCTGGTTTTGGTGACTACCTGAATAAATAATATGTTAAGTAATAGAACCAAGTTAGTCTTTCCTTATTTCTGCCATGCCCTTAAAATGAAAGTCTGGTTTAGCGGTTTTTAGTTGAAACACTATCTATATTTTTATTTATAGAAATAAAATTAAATCACAAATGGAAGTAAACTATATTTTTTTCAATTAGTATTTTAAAATCTAGACATAAAAGGCAGCCTCCAAAAATGAAAGACTTGGAGACTACTGTCATGTGGCAGTTTCTTCTCCTTAGTAATATAAAATTACCTTTTAATTCTGGCTGATTAAATCTGCCATGTTAATGTAGAACCCATCACAAGCAAAGTGAGTTTTAGTTAACTTCAAGACTCTTTATTTTAAAGTTATAAGAGTCATATAAACACTTCTAAAATGGCCTTATTGAATGGCATTTTAGAAATTCTTTAGACTTCTTTGGCAAAAGCTCAATGCAAGGACTGAATATTACTTTCATTCCTCTTTTTCCTCTTCTCACAAGCAAGATATTAAAATACCACAGAATATGAAATTTACACATACATTTGCCAAGTGAAGCAATTAAAATTTAAGGCAATCAAAACTATGTGTTATCCCTATTAAGACTAAGGGCCTTTACAGAATATATCACCGAAACTGCCAAAAGTTCTAAAACCGTCTGGGAAACAACTCTTAGAAAATACACTCTGGGAGAATAACTCTGGGAAAAGATAAAATAGCTACTGTTTTAGTGACATTTTCTCTTTATAGTTTTACAACAAAGTACAGACTCCATTTTCAAATATTGTAATTCTAGTACTCAAATTCTAAAAATTTAAACTGTGCCAGTGTTTTGACTACTATTTAAATCATGAGGACATCTCATTGTCACTTATAAAAAAATAAAAATATAGGCAGGGTGTTGTGGCTCATGCCTGTAATCCCAGCACTTTGGGAGGCCAATGCGGGCAGATCACGAGGTCAGGAGTTCGAGACCAATCTGACCAACATAGTGAAAGCCCGTCTCTACTAAAAATACAAAAAATTTGTCAGATGTGGTGGCATGCACCTGTAATCCCAGCTACTCAGACGGCTGAGGCAGGAGAATCGCTTGAACCCAGGAGGCAGAGGTTGCAGTGAGCTGAGATCACACCACTGCACTCCAGCCTGGGAGACAGAGCAAGACTCTGTCTCAAAAAAAAAAAAATAATAAAATATATGTGTATATATATATATTTACAAGATAGTATTTTACATTCACAAGAGGATTAGATTTCAAAGTAGAAAGTTTATTTTAATAAAAGAGAGATAAGAAATAATTTTCAAAATGAGGAATTGTGTTTTTGATTAGGAGGAAAATTGTTGTACCTTTTCTTTTTATTCTTTATTTATTGAACTTTCTCTAAGTGTCTGTGATATATGTTTATAATACTGAAATAGTCGCCGTTTTAAGGTAGTGTGGCAGATGTTGTTATTTATTTGAAATTTTAAGTTTTTTATTTATAAAAAGTTTTTATAAAAATTTATTAATATAATTTAAAAATTACAACCAGTTAACCATGTGTATGATATTAGTGTTTATAGTATTTAAACAAATAAGGCTGGGCACAGTGGCTCACACCATCCCAGCACTTTGGGAGGCCAAGGCGGGTGGATCAGGAGGTCAGGAGAAGGAGACCATCCTGGCTAACATGGTGAAACTCTGTCTCTACTAAAAATACAAAAAACTAGCCAGGCATGGTGGTAGGTGTCTGTAGTCCCGGCTACTCGGGAGGCTGAGGCAGAAGAATCACTTGAACCTGGGAGGCAGAGGTTGCAGTGAGCCAAGATCACACCACTGCACTCCAGCCTGGGTGACAGAGTGAGACTCCATCTCAAAAAAATAAAATAAAATAAAATAAAATAAAAAACAAATAAATACAAGATTGTTGTTTCTTATAAACTTTTTTTGTATCTTTGCCTATTTTTTCACTGTTTAAGGAATTTTTATTAAAGCAAAATTTTATAATCCAAATTACCTTTCCTTGCTCAGTTATCAATTCTGTTACTTAAAACAGAAGTGACATTCTTAGCTATTCCACACTAATGAATTACAAAATTAAAGGAATGCTTTAAATTTTTATACTTTGCTGAAAATTATTTATCACAGAGTCTGAAAAGCATTACAGTGTTTCTATATTTTATTATTTTGGGAGGATTTTTTCTTTTCAAATCAATAAGTAATCTAGGACTATCATTGCATTTGTTAGATCTGACATCTGCTTGGTATGTAAAGTTCAAAGTTTCCTTTTTAAATTTATTTTATACTTTACAAATTTTTTCCATAGTATTTAAGGTTTTTGATATTGAGATATTTTTCTTCAGTGATGCTCAAGTTTCTTTCTGTGGTCCCTGATCAGTTTTAAACAATTGGAACACCAGTGGCACCATTAACTGCTTTCTGGGCAGCCTCTTTAGCTTGGTGGTCTTGTAGTACAGCTATACCTTTGTCAACCTTAGTATAGAGAGGCTCTGGAGATTCAAGCATATGAAGGAGTTCCAAATTACCAATCTCCAACAACATACCAATGATTTTACCAGCACGACTAGGGCATGGCTTGAAGAAGAGGAAACAGCCATTCACTCGTTTCCTTTTGCTTTTGAGGAGGAGCAGATGCCATCATGGAAGTCAAAGGTTCTTGACCTTCTACATGAACAGCAGGCTGCTTCAAGGTAACCTGGGGCTGTGCATGAAAATGCCATTGAGGATTGTGAGCTTCCATAGCATATTTATACTGTGAAATGGTACAAAAAGCAGGAGTATCTGTAGTAGCAGTAGCGGCAACTGCAGGATGTGCTCCTATTGTCTGTTTCGATGGGTTACAACAGCTGTGTTGACATGACTCATGGAAGCTATGAAGAAGCTGGTCTCTTACTACTAAATGTAGTGAGCTAGGAGCGGCTTGGGCATATTTTTCAATGGATGAGGTCTGGCACCCTGAGCAATTTAGGGAGGATTTGAACTTAGTTGAGCAGTTTGGCTAGGAGAATACTTTGCAGCATGGCTCTCAGTCTGTGGGATAACTGCCATGAAGTCAATTGAAGAAGGTGCTGGCTGATAGGAACTGATTCCCAGGTTGAGCATAGTTTTTACACTTGCCATTCTTTGCACATACTGCACTGGTTAATGAGCTGAGCCTGGTGCTCTTCATTGCTTTTCTTCCCATGGAGTTAACACTATATACAATGGCTCAGTGCCCTCAATGCTACCATTCATTTCTGAAAGTCCTTTAGTTGCTTCCTCTGGAGAGGAGAAACATACACAAATCAAACCCTTTGTTGTGACAACCATCCTTCATAACCTTTGCATTGGTGATTGTACCAAGTGGAGAAAGTTCTTTCCAGAGACATTCATCAATACCATCAAGATTTTTTGCATAAATGTTAACACTTTGTTATCTGGTGATCCTATACTGCTTGATCTTTTCAAATTTGCACACAAGTTCCATCTGCCATTCTACTTTTTTTCTGAGCTTGACCAACATCAATTTGTTTTCCATTGAGCTTCTTTCTGTTCATCTCATCTGCGCATCTTTATGCCTTTCAAAGCTGACAAATCCAAAACCTTTGGGTTTTCCACTTTCATTAACCACTACTATCACACTTAAGACAGATCCCAACTTGCCAAAGAGATCTTTAAGGCACCTACCATCCATGTCTTCTCCAAAAATCTTCCTGTAAACATTGGTGAACTTTTTAACTCTGAGTTCTGCTTCTCATTGTTTACAAGACTTAATCCAACAAAGACTTTGCTATCATTTAGAAGCATCCATTTCATTTTTGAATAGATCTTTCAGCTGCTTCTGTGTCTCAAAATGTACAATGCCATCACCCTTGAAACTGTTTTCACCACAAAGCACCTAATGTGAAAGTGATAGAGACAGGAGGCAGCCAAGGGTCCTCTGGTAAAACACCACCTTCAAGACTAAAACAGCCTGAAGGCTGATAAACTGGACTGCAGGTCCTGGTTGAAGCCGCCCTTTCCTCACTGATTCTGAATAATGCCCACCTGTGCACTGGGATTACGGGGTGGAGCCTTGGGAAGTTTGTGCGGTGTGCAGTGGAGAGGAGTCTGGCCTGTTCCCATGTAGTGACCTAGGATTTAATCTATGAGGCGGGAAACCTGCTAGCAGGACTCTTTCTCTCTTTGCTGAGAGTTATTTTTGCTTTTTCCTTTCCACCCAATAAACTCCGTTCCCCCTCACCCTTCAAGTGTTTGCGTGCCTTTTCCTGGTGGTATGACAAGAACCTGGTTTTTTCTGCAACAAAAAGATGTTACCAAAAGCAGATATATCATGCAATGCTTTATAATCAATAGATTTGTCCAATTTTTTTATGAACATGTTGCCCACTCCATTTTTGCGGAGTGATGGATCACACCGAGACCACTTAGTGTGTATTGGCTAGTCTTTTATAACATCAAAATTCATGGGGTCTTAACCACATTCCACATCCTGCGTTTCCCAAGGAGCGCCGGTGATCTGGTTCCTGTAGCCCGGGATAGAGAGGACCGGCCAGCAGGCCTGGTCATGTGCGGTGCGAGGACAGGGGATGGCTGGGACGCTGGGCTCACCTCTGCACCTGTCTGCCGGTAGGGCCACAGGCTGCGACCTTTCCGTGAAAGGAGAGTAAGGGCTGGGGCGGAAGCCTGGGCCAGCGCACAAACACAAAATCACCTGGAATCCCAAACTACTCCACGGCCGAGGAACTGCGACCCGCAGAGGGCTGGGACGAGGGTGGCGGTGTAGGGTCCAGCGTCCAGGCCTCGGGATCCTGTTCCTTCTTGAAGCTGCTTCGGAGCTGCGAGGGGGCGGGGGGGTCGCTCTCGGCTGCCTCACCGGGTAATCTTATACAAGAAGAAAAGGAAAATGTCTGTGGCAGTGAAGACAAGGATTTTTTTGTAAAGTGTTTTGCAGGGGTGACCGGTGTTAAAACAGAAACCTTTTTTTTTTTAAGTTTTTTTCATGGGATGTTTTTCGGGGGAATGGATTTTTCAAGATAATAAATATGTGCTGATCCTGGAGAACACACTCCACACTCTCAGCACTAACCGCTTGGGAGAAGGGACCCATTAATGTTTAATTGTACCTTCTCTTGTGGCCCCATTTTTTCCCTTTTAATTATGTAACATTGGAGCCTACAGAAAGGTAGAAAAAATGGGCACCCACATAACCACCACCTAAATCCCATTAATTGTTAATATTTTGTCAAGTTTTCTTTATGTAATTTTTCAATTTGAATTAAAAGTAAATTATAGGCATCATGCTAATTTGCCTCTGTATACTTAAGCCTGCATATTCAAAAACTAAAGCCATTTTCTTGCATAACCACAATTCCCTTATCCTTTCACACCAAGTTATCAGTAATTCCTTAAAATTATTCAACTCCCAAATATTTTCAAATATAAACAGTCATGCCCCATGTAACACATTTCAGTCAACTAGTCGACCATCTACACTGTGGTGGTCTCATAAGATTAAACTGGAACATATATAGAAACTTGATAAACAGTATATGGCCCTTGATATGGCATTGCAGCTCAAGTAGAGGAATGACTGATGCTCAGTAGTGGTGCTGGAACATTTGATTTTCCTTATAAAAAATAAATAAGTGAAAATATATAGGGCCAGATGTAGTGGTTCATGCCTGTAATCCCAGCGCTTTGGGAGGCCAAGGTGGGCAGATCATCTGAGGTCAGGAGTTTGAGACCAGCCTGGCCAACATGGTGAAACCCCGTCTCTACTGAAAATATAATTAGCCTGGTGCAGTGGCAGGTGCCTGTAATCCCAGCTACTCAGGAGGCTGAGGCACGAGAATTGCTTGAACCTGGGAGGCTGAGGTTGCAGTGAGCTGAGATCGCACCAGCACTCCAGCCTGGGTGACACAGTGAGACTCTGTCTCAAAAATATACGTATATACACCATCTAGGTTTGCATAATTACACCCTATGATTCACATTTTCTTAATTTTTTCCCAATTATAGCAATTTTTAAAAGCCAGGATCCAATCGAGAACTGGACACTACATTTTGTTTTTGTCTCTTATTTTGTAATCCAGTAGATTTCTCCATACTTAATCCCTTGCTAAATGGCATAGACTTTTTTTTTTTTTGAGACGGCATCTTGCTTTGTCACCAGGCTGGAGTGCAGTGGCGTGATCTTGGCTCACTGCAACCTCTGCCTCCTGGGTTCAAGAGATACTCTTGCCTCACCCTCCTGAGTAGCTGGGATTACAGGTGCCTGCCACCACGGCTGGATAATTTTTTGTATTTTTTTTTTTTTTTTGAGACGGAGTCTCGCTCTGTCGCCCAGGCTGGAGTGCAGTGGCGGGATCTCGGCTCACTGCAAGCTCCGCCTCCCGGGTTCACGCCATTCTCCTGCCTCAGCCTCCCAAGTAGCTGGGACTACAGGCGCCCGCCACTACGCCCGGCTAATTTTTTGTATTTTTAGTAGAGACGGGGTTTCACCATGTTAGCCAGGATGGTCTCGATCTCCTGACCTCATGATGCACCCTCCTCAGCCTCCCAAAGTGCTGGGATTACAGGTGCGAGCCACCGTGCCCAGCTGGTATTGACATTTTAAAGGAACCATGCTAGTTGTCACGTAGAATATCTCACATTCTGGATTTGTGGGACTGTTCATGGTTTCATTAAGTTTGTTTGTCTATCCCCTCAATTTTCTGAAGTTTGAAGTTAAATTTAAAGACTTGGTTACATTCAGGTTAAATTTTTTGGCCAGAATCATTCAAAGGTGATGTCGTATACTTCCAATAGTGGCACATTACGAAGTTTATGTCTGGTTGTCCCACTGCCAGTGATGCTAATTTTCATTCCTAAATTAAGGTGGTGATTGCCAGATGTCTATATTGTAATGGTATATTTTCCTCTGTAATTAGCCAGTGATCTCTGAGTTTATACCTTGGTACTACATGAATATTCATTTTTCATCAAATTTCTCAAAATTAGTAGACTTTGTTTTTTAGAGCAATTTTAGGTTTACAGAAACCAATGAGCAGAAAGTACACAGAGTTCCCATGTAACACTACCTTCCTATCCCACTCTCCACCCAATCCCTACCTCTGTACACAATTTACCCTATTATTAACACCATGTATTAATGTGGTATATTGGTTACAATTGATACATATTGATACATTATTATAACTGAAGTCCATAGTTTACATTAGCATTCACTCTTTGTGTTGTAAAGTTCTGTGAATTTTGACAACTGTATAATGACAGATATCCACCAGTATCATACAGAATAGTTTCATCACCATAAAAATCCTCTGTGTTCCACCTATGTATCCCTCTCTTACTTTCCTCAAATTGCTGGAAACCACTGATGTTTCTACATTATAGTATTGCCTTTTCCAGATAGTCATACACTTAGAACCATACAATATATAGCCTTCTCATGCTGGCTTCTTTTACTTAGCAATATACATTTAAGTCTTCTCCATGTCTTTTCTTAGCTTAATATCTGATTTCTTTTTAGTGCTGTATAATATTCCCTTGTCTGGAAGTACCACAGTTTGTGTAGCCATTAACTTACTGAAGGATATCTTGGTTGCTTCCAAGTTTTGGCAGTTATGAATACAACTGTTATAAACAGCCATGTGCAGGTTTTTAAGGTTTTAACAAACTCTCTCTGGCAGTTTCTGTTTTTCCTCACTTTTCAAGCCCATGGACTATCTCCCAGTGCTGTTCATTTTAATATTCTGCAGAGTACTTAAGCATTACAGAATATAGAAGCTGGAAGATACTTGGCAGTCATTTAGTCCCTCATGTTCTAGATGAGAAAACTGAAGCCCAGATACCTTATTATTTGTGCAGTCCCCCAATCTGAGTGTCAAATCCACCTCTCCCAGTTGTTTTCTGTTCAAATAACCCTGTGAACTTCAGTGAACCTCACTGACCACATCATTATTCACCAATAGTTCCCCAATAGATCCACTCTACATTAGCTCATTTCAAATGTTCTTTTTCCTTTCACGCACATACCATACAGTACTTAAAATTCTGTTGACAACAATCAATATGAATTCAAATTAAGTTCTTGCCCCAAGGATGTGACTTCTACTACACAGTTTCTTTTGGCCTGAGGGCAATTCCTAGGGCATGAACTTAGTCATATGCCCTCAACAGACAGCACTCTAAGGAAGCTGGGGAATGAGGGTCTCCATTCTGCAGGGAGGCCTGGACTACGCACCACAGAAGACACTACTCTGTCCATCCCTCATGTCATTTGGATCCATGACTTCATATAACTTCTCTCCATCTAGGAATAGCTCCTCCAGGATTTTGGTTGGTTTCTTTTGCTGGGGAAACGTGAAAGTAACATTCATGGAGGGAAAAATAGCTCCTTGGCTCTTCAACTGGTCTTTCACCCTAAACTGATCATCTGCCTTTCCTACTATACAGGTACTATCAGGTTTACATTCTTACCCTCAGCTAGCACCTCCACTGGTCTAGGTCACTTACCTGGTGATAGGAGAGGGGGGTGTAGTAGTCATGGCTACTAGACTTGTCCTTTTAAATTGAGCAATCAAAATTTAGTAAGGGACTACTTAAACATCCCTTGGCTGCCAAACACATTCCTGTCTACTTCCGTTGTGTAACAGCATTGAATTGCAGAGATAAGAAGCAGAAATTTCCCAAGTGAATCCCTGGGGGTGACGGTAAATAGTGCTACTCTTTCTTTAATCCATGGTCCTCTTTCTATTAGCGACATGGGACCATATAATGGTTACTGATCTAGGATATATGCTTGTATCCCATCCCTGCAGCTTCAAAGGGCTACTGGAGTCTGTTCCATCACTCCATCAGTTTGACAGCTTCTAGTTGTTGTGATTTCGTGATTTGTATTAGGATCACTGAAATGCATTTTCATGTGTCCACCACTGCAACTGCAGTGCTACAAAGTACATTCCCTTTATACAGTGCTATAAAGTACAATGCAAGGATGTGTAGGATTCCATATTGGAGGATTAAACATTCTGTCAATCCTTGGATAGTGGTGCTGGTTGAGGCCATGTAAGTAGGAAAGATAAATCCATACTCAGAATAAGTATCAGTTCCAGCCAAGATGAATCATTACCCTTCCTGTGATGGAAAGAATCCAGTGCATTCAGCTTGCCACCATGTGGCTACTTAGTGTCCTTGAGGGATGATGCTATCTTGAGGCCTCAGTGTTGCTCTGTCTTGATGACAACTTTGACATTCAGAAGCAGCAGTAGCTAGATAAGACTTAGTCAGTGGAGACTTCTGCTGTTTGGGCCTCTGCATAGCCTCCATCCTTGTCACTATATTTATTCACCAATTGTGCCAGTACTGAGCTGGCCAATGGAAGAGGTTGGCTAACATCATCTGGCTGAGTCACTTTTCTCCTTGGTTGTTGATAGATACCTCTTGTAGGTGTTAACATGTGAAACAAAGATCTTCATACTTTTTGTACATCCCCATAAGTCCACCCATATGTCCTTTTCTCAGATGTCTTTTTCTCCAGTCTTCCAAATTTTCTCCTTCCATCCCCCTGACCTGTAGCCAAGCCATTTGACCAAGAGTCAGTACATTCTTACTTTGAGTCTCTTCTCTTTCCATGCAAAGTGAATGACAAGGTGCGTAGTGCAAAGTTCTGCCTACTGATTTTTTTTTAATTTTTTTATTTTTTGAGACAGAGTCTTGCACTGTCACCAGGCTGGAGTACAGTGGCGTGATCTCAGCTCACTATAAGCTCTGCCTCCTGGGATCACGCCATTCTCCTGTCTCAGCCTCCCAAGTAGCTGGGACTACAGGCGCCCGCCACCATGCCCAGCTAATTTTTTTTGTATTTTTTTAGTAGAGATGTGTTTTCACCATGTTAGCCAGAATGGTCTCGATCTCCTGACCTCATGATCCACCACCTTGGCCTCCCAAAGTGCTGAGATTACAGGTGTGAGCCACTGTGCCTGGCCAAGAATTTATTTTTGAGTTGAATTTTTAAATATTAAAAAATTTTAAATATACAAACAAAAATTGTATATATTTGTAGTGTACAACCTGATGTTTTGAAATATGGATACACTGTGAAATGGCTAACTCAAGCTAATTAATACATGTGTTACCTCACATACTTATCATTTCTTTTGTGGTGAAAACACTTAAAATCTACTGTCCTAGCAATTTTCAAGTATGCAATACATTGTTATTAACTGTAGTCACCATGTTGTACAATAGGTCTCTTGAACTTGTTCTTCCTGCTTATCTTAATTTTTGTATCCTTTGACCAACATCTCCCCAGTTCTACCCTCCTTCCCCTCCCCTAATAACCATTATTCTCTTTTCTGCTTCTATGTGTTTGACTTTTTTAGATTCCACATATAAGCGAGATTACATGGCATTTATCTCTCTGTGCCTGGCTTATTTCACTTAATATAATGTCCTCCAGTTTCATCCATGTTATTACAAAAGACAGGATTTCTTTCTTTAAGGCTGAACAATATTTCATTATGTATATACACACCACATTTTCTTTAATCATTCATCTGTTAAAGGATACTTAGGTTGATTTCATATCTTGTCTATTGTGAATAATGTTGCAATGAACATGAGGTACAGATTTTTCTTTGACATATTGAATCATTTTCTTTGGGTATATAAATAGTACTAGGATTGTTGGATCATACGGTAGTTTTATTTTTAACTTTCTGAGAAACCTCTATATTATTTTTCATAATGGCTGTACTAATTTACTTTCCTGCCAACAGTATACAAAGGCTCCCTTTTCTCCACATCCTCGCCAACACATGTTATCTTTTGTCTTTTTCATAGTAGCCATTCTAAAAGGGATGTCTCATTGTGGTTTTGATTTGTGTTTCTCTGATGACTGGTGATGTTGGTTATTTTTTCATATTCCTGTTGGCCATTTGTATGTCTTCTTTGGAAAAATGTTTATTCAGATACTTTGCCTCCCTTTCATTAATCAGGTTATATGTTTTCATGCTATTGAGTTGTATGAATGCTTTATATATTCTGGATATTAATCCTTTATCAGATGTATGGCTTGCAAATATTTTCTCCCTTTTTGTAGGCTATCTCTTTACTCTATTGATTGCTCCCTTTGCTTGCACAGCTTTTTAGTTTGATATAATCCCGCTTGTCTATTTTTGCTTTTGTTGCCTGTGCTTTGGGGGTCATATCCAGAAAATCATTGCCCAGACCAGTCTCATGGAGCTTTTCCTGAATGTTTTCTTCTAGTAGATTTATGGTTTCAGGTTTTATATTTAAGTCTTTAGTCCATTTGTGTTTTTTTTTTTTTTTGTATATGGTATGAGATAAGGGTCTAATTTCATTTCTCTGCATGTGGAGTTCTCCCAACACCATTTATTGAAAAGATTGTCCTTTCCCCATTGTGTATTCTTGGCATATTTACTGAAAATCAATTGGCCTTAAACGTGGATGTATTTTGAGGCTCTCTATTCTATTCCATTGGTCTACCAGTCTGTTCGTATGCCAGTATCATGTTATATTTTTGATTACTATAGCATCATAGTATATTTTGAAACTGGATAATGTGATGCCTCCTACTTTGTTCTTTTTGCTCACAATTTGCTATTTGGAGTTTTTTGTGGTTTCACATGAATTTGGGGACTTTTTTCTGTTTACATAAAAAATATCATTGGAATTTTGATGGAGATTACATTGAATCTGTAGATCACTTTGGGTACTAAGAACATTTTAACAGCATGAATTCTTCTAATCCATGAAGATGGGATATATTTCCATTTATTTGTGTCTTCTTCAATTTCTTTCACCAATGTTTTATAGTTTTCAGTGTACAGGTCTTTCACCTCCTTCGTTAAATTAATTCCTAAGTATTTGTGTAGCCATTATAAATGAAATTGCTTTCTTGATTTCTTTTTCAGATAGTTCATTGTTAGTGTATACAGATGCTACTCATTTTTTTATGTTGATTTTGCATCCTGCAACTTTACTGAATTAATTTACTAGTTCCAACAGTTTTTTTTGGTGGACTCTTTAGGGTTTTCTACATTTAAGATCATGTTGTCTGCAGAGACAATTTCACTTCTTCCTTTCTGACTTTAATGCCTTTATTTCTTCTTCTTGGCTAATTGCTAGAACTTGAATAGAAGTGGTGAAAATGGGCATCCATCTTGTTTCTGATCTTAGAGAAAAAGCTTTCAACTTTTTACCATTGAGTATGATGTTAGCTGTGGGCCTATCATATATGCCTTTATTGTGTTATATGGATATTGATACCTAATTTGTTGAAAGTTTTTATTACAGAAAGATGTTGAATTTTGTCAAATGCTTTCTCTGCATCCATGGAGATATTCATATAGTTTTTGTCCTTCATTCTGTTAATGTGTATATCACATTTATTGATTCATATATGTTGAACCGTCGTTGGGAGGATTTAATCTACTGCTATCTTTCCATAGCTGAAGTAGGTTGCTATCATTTTTTACTTACATCCGCATCCTGAGTTGATCTTCCAATGAACAAGCTTAGCTTTTTCCCTCCTTTAGCAATATTGGAACTCCCACATAGGCAGAGTTGCCAGCTGAGGGAGAGAATCTATTGTCACAATTTGGATAATGTGGGGACCTGGATCACCTGATCATACTGCTTACTTGTGTCCTCTAGTCTTTCTCATGCCCAATCCTTGATGTGATATGGTTTGGCTCTGTGTCCCTACAAAATCTCATCTCAAATTATAATCCCCACATGTAGAGAGAGGAACCTGGTGGGAGGTGACTGGAACATGGGGACAGTTTCCCTCATGCTGTTCTCATGATATTGAGTGAGTTCTCATGAGAGTGGATAGTTTAAAAGTGTTTGGCACATCCCCCCTTGCTCTCTGTCTCTCCTGCTGCCTTCTGAAGAAGGTGCCTGCTTCACCTTTGCCTTTAGTCATAAGTGTAAGTTTCCTGAGACCTCTCCAGCCATATGGAACTGTGAGTCAATAAACCTCTTTTGTTTATTAATTACCCAGGCTTGGGTAGTTCTTTATAGCAATGTGAAAATGGACTAATTCAATGTGCTACTTCTATTTTATTATGATTTGTTGCTGGGCCAGCCTGTCCTTATGATCTGGTAGATCTAACAAAACCAAACCCATGGTGGGAACTTTTAGCCACATGGTCACTTAATATTTGTTGTCAGATAATCCATCTCTACCTAGGTGCAGTAGCATGCTAGGAGCTATTAAAGTACACAATTATGCTATATATTTATACAATATACAATTACTTGCAGAGAGCATGACCATGCTAGTGAACCCCACAAGACTATGTGTGAATCGTCTATTAGGGTTTGCTATAAACTCTACATGGTGCTTTTTCCAACTGCATATACTTCTAATACCATAGAGCCTACTAGAGTGTATGGCTCAAACAGTAGGGCTGCTTGCCCTGTATCCTGGACCTGCTGCAGAGGCCTTTTCTGCCCTAAGCTTTTGTCAAAGGTGGAAGCCTTCTGTGTCACTCAGCAAATGTGTCAGAACAGTATTCCTTAGTATAGGGGGACCAATGGGCCCCCTAAAATCTTCTGCGACTGATGTCACAGGTCCTTAAATCTTCAGATGATTTTCTCTCTCAGGGATGCATGTGTCTCACTAGGCCATCCAACATGCTATTTCTTACCCAGTCTATTTTAACTGGTAAATAAAATGGACAAATGTAACATGCTACAGAATGTCCAGACAGCTCACGTCTCTGGACTACATTAGGACAGAGAGTCAAAGAACTAATATACATCTTGGACAAGTCTCTAAATGCATGCTGTTGTCTTTCCCATGAATGTGAATTGCTTCTGGTAAATTTCACTCTAAGTACTGCTTCAGTTATTTTACATATATAATGATTGGTAATCTTTTCATTTTAATTCAATTTTAAGCATGTTCTAATTTTTGTTATAATTTCTTCTTGCTTCCATGAATCATTTGGAAGCTGTTTGTAGTTTCTAAAATTCATGGATTACTTTTGGACAAGTTTTTGTTATTGATTTCTAATAGTGCTATTACACATTTGTTATACCAATGTAAACATTTGATACTACCTTTAGGCCTAATATCTGGTCAATTTTTATAAATACTCCAAGTGTGCTTGAAAAGAATAGAAATTCTTTAACTGTTGATTAGCCTTACTAATTTTACGTTTATTTATTCAATTACCAAAGATGAAATGTTAAAATCTCTCACTGTGTAGATTTTTTTATTGCTCTTTCCAATTCTAATTTTGGCTTTATTTATTTTGAGACTACATTATTAGGTATCCACAATTTTATAAAAATTAAGAAAAAATTAGAAAAGTTTAGAAAAAAATTAGAAAAATATAGAAAATGATGTGACAGAAGCACACATGGGCTTTATCTGGATGATCTCTTGTCAGGTTTGTATCCTGGGGAAGGCCTTCACAGCAAGAGATGGACCAGAGGTTTGAGACAAGGGGGCCACCACTCAGAAGGGGAGGAGGGCAAAGGAACTCCTGAGGGAGGAAAGTATCAGAGAGGAGGCTTTCATGTCTCAGTGATATCACTCAGCAGCATGGCATGGAGTCTGTAGTTCACAGAGTTCCAAAGAGCAGAAGCAGCTTGGGGTCTTTACAGCCTAGAGTTTATCTGTGGCAAGCAGATTTTGGATGTAGTTTCCCAGGGCATGTAAATCAGGCAGGCTCTAAATGCCTACAAATCTGCATGTCTGGGCTATGTTTAACACAATTGGATGTTTAAAAATTTGAGTTTGGTGCCAGTTGGTTTTTGAGCTAATGGGTTTCAGCTTGCTGTGAAGAAATAACCTAGGCGCCAATACACAGAGGCCATCCTTGTCTCATTTACATTATATGCAGTGACTCTATCCTTTTTTGCTCACAATTGTTTTATTCATTTCTTTTAGATTTGTTTACTTTACTGAGATTATTTGGTAGGTAAGATTTCAGTTTATTGTAGTTTGCTAATTCATTATTCAAAGTGTTCTAATAAAAATTTTGTTCCATCCTTAATCCCCATTTAAACAAAGCTGCTGTGGGTAAGGTCATCAATGGCCTTTGTGTTATCAAATCCATTTTGTTAACAAAATTTTAATGTTTAAAATTTTCTTATGTGTACACATGTTTAATTTATGTAATTTCAAAACGGGGTATCATACATGGAATTTGGTAGTTTTCTTTCCTTTTTTTGTTCACTTACTCTGTTTTTTAATGCTTTACTGTAACCCACAATGCAGTGTCCCCAATATTTATTATGTATAACTGATATTCACATAAAACATATTTTGTCATTAAGTGTTATCTTTTTCCACATAGGTGTTCCTGTCTTTAGTCTTCTATTTTCTCTCTCTCCCGCTTCTCTCCCACCCTTCCTCTCTCCATTTATGTACGTATTTAAATCATTTTAAAAATCATTTTATGTATCAGTTCAAAGCCTTCAGTGTAAATTGAGGGTCCAATTTTGTTTTCTTTGAATTGTTTATTTTCATATATTAATTTTTCATCTACATGTAGATTCTCAATTTTTTACTACTCTTGCTTATTCTTAATTAATACAATTGTTTTTCTTAATTGATCAATTCCAATAGTTCTATAGTAGGTGCTGATATCTGGTGAGAAAAGTTCCTCTCAATAGTCTTTTTTTGGGTAAAATGTTCTGACTATTCTTCTACATGAACTTTAAGATAATTTAATCCAATTTTAAAATGCTTTTGTGATTCTAATGTGAATTTAATTGAATTTATATATAATTTTAGGAGATTTATGTTTTTACAAGAGTTTTGTTTGTGTTTTTGAGACAGGGTCTCACTTTGTCACCCAGGCAGGAGTGCAGTTGTGGTATCTCAGCTCACTGAAGCCCCAAACTCCCACCTCAGCCTCCCAAGTACCTGGTTCTATAAGCATGCGCCAAGCCCAAATAGTTTTTTGTTTTGTTTTGTTTTGTTTAGATATAGCGTTTCACAATTTGCCGAAGCTGGTCTTGAACTCCTGGGCTCAAGCAGTCCTCCTGCCTCAGCCTCCCAAAGTGCTGGGATTACAGGTATGAGCCACTGCACCTAGCCCCATGTGTTTCTTATTTAATAGCTTTTGTTAACATTTTTATAGTTTTTTTCTTGTAGATCTTCTTTCTTGGTAAATTTATTTTACCTTTATTATTTTTGTTATTGTGAATATTTTTACCATTAGCATTTCAAGGTGCTTATTGCTAATGTATTTTGTATTATGATCTTATTTCCAAATACCTTACCAATATTCCTCTTTAAAATATTTGAAAGTTCTGTTTTTCCTAATCTCTATGATTTGCTAGGCATATAATCATATCCACAAAAAGTTTTCTCTATATTTATACTGACTATTTCATTTAAAAATCTTGTTACATTCATGGATCCTCCAAGATAATCTTTAATAACAAATAATGACAGCAGCTATTCCTACTGGTTCCTTGTTTTAATTGAAATGTTCCTTTATGATTTAAAATACTTGTTTTGTAGGCATTTCATAAATAACGGCTATGTTTAGACACTTTCTTTCAATTTCTATTTTACTCAAGAATCTTCATTAGGAGTGGAAGTTTAATCTTAACAATAGCCCTCTCAGCATCTATTGATATAATCACATTTTCCTCTTCTTTGATGTCAATTATGTAATTGTGTTAATATACTTAACTGATATTGAAATACCCATGAATTCCTGAAATACAATGCTCTTTGCATACTGTATTACTCTTTTTTGTTGTTGCAATTATTGATAACAGTGCTGGGTTTTTATTTAGAATATTCATTCACATGTATAAGTCAGATTGGTCTATAGTTTTGGTTTTTTTGTTTGTTTTTTTTTGTTTTGAGATGGAGACTTGCTCTGTCACCCAGGCTGGAGTGCAGTGGCGTGATCTTGGCTCACTGCAACCTCTGCCTCCTGGGTTCAAGCTGGGATTACAGACATGCACCACCATGCTGGGCTAATTTTTGGATTTTTAGTAGAGACGGGGTTTCACCATATTGTTCAGGCTGGTCTTGAACTCCTGATCTTAAGTGATCCACCTGCCTTGGCTTCCCAAAGTGCTGGGATTACAGGTGTAAGCCATGGCACCTGGCCTATAGTTTTGTCTTATGTTTATCAGGTTTTCATATTAATGCTGCACTGCCTATGTGAAATGAATTGGTTTTTCTTTTTTAAAAAAAATTTGGGATACTTTAAATAACATTGGAATTATCCTTCTTGCAACCCTAGTACTTTTTAAATTATGGATTTAAAAAATCACTTTACATTCTCTTCTTTGTAACTGGTCTACTAACATTTTCAATTTCTTCTTGGATTAGTTTTGGTCATTTATATTTTTCCAGAAAATTACCCATTTTCTCTAGATTTTCCAATGTGTGGTCATATAGTTGCATGCAGCATTTCAAAGTGAATCTTTCTTTTTTCTTTTCTTTTTTTTTTTTTTTTGAGATGGAGTCTTGCTCTCTGGCCCAGGCTGGAATGCAATGGCATGACCTTGGCACACTGCAACCTCTGCCTCCTGGATTCAAGTGATTCTTCCACCTCAGCCTCCCGAGTAGCTGGGATTACAGACATCCGCCATCATGCCCAGTTAAGTTTTGTATTTTTGTAGAGCGAGTTTTCACAATGTTGGCCAGGCTGGTCTTGAACTCCTGACCTTAGGCAATCTGCCCACCTTGGCCTCTCAAAGTGCTGGAATTAATTACAGGTGTGAGCCACCGCACCTGGCCCTCAAAGAGAATCTTTCTACCTTCATCTTATTTTACTTCTTGGTAGCATTCTACAGAGTTGAAGATTGTACTTGTGAGTTTTGAGTTTCTTGATTTGTTGAATGGATGTGATTAATTTATATCTTTAGTGTGATCATGCAGAGAAATGTATGAGAGATAGTGATGGAAAATTACAGGAAATCTGAAAATTTAATAAATTGTTGGCATTTTTATTTTCTCACTAGTACAGGGTTCATCTCAGTAATTATGAAATGTACTACCCTTTTCTCCTTTTCTATCTTATTTTGGAAAATTACAGCCTTATAATAGAGATCAGAAACGTGTTAACATTATGGCTGATCTATCTGACAACAGTGTTCTAAGAAAACAGTATCACAAATATACTTTCTCACCATAATTGTTCAAAACAGAAATTTTGTAAGCAAAGAATCAAGCATTTAAACCAAAGGAAAGTTAGAGTGATGTCATCTCTGGTTGAAAAACACAGTCTTTCTGAACAGATTTTCAATGTCCTTCAAGACCACAACTAATATAAAATTACAGAATACATTTGCTAATAATATGAACTGTACACTTTTTATATGAAAATGATGCTTGCTACAACATGACTTAACTAAACTGGATTTCTGCAAAAGATAAAACACCAGGCATGGTTGCTCACACCTGCAATCCCAGCACTTTGGGAGTGCTGAGGCAGGGAGGATCACTTGAGTCCAGGACTTCGAGACCAGCCTGGGTAACATAGTGAGACTCTGTCTCTTAGGAAAGTAAAAAATTAGCCGGGCATGATGAAGCATGACTGTAGTCTCAGCTACTTGGGAGGCTGAGGTGGGAGGATCACTTCAGCACAAGAGGCTGAGGCTGTGGTGAGGTACGATTACGCCCCCGCACTCCAGCCTGGATGACAGGGCCAGACTTTGTCTCAAAATATATGAAAGTAGATAAAATTAGTTTACTTGCTGAACATAATCAAATATAGCAACTTTCCAGTAAAAGACTATTAGGACAAACTATGTTAACACAACCTCAGATGATGCAGCATAGTTAAAACAAAACAAAACAGCTTTGGGCATATTCTATACTCCAACCTCTGTGGTGCAAAGGGACTATATGGCCAACTAGGTGTTGAGGCAGTCACAGAACTGCTGCACATGTGGTTTTTAAACAAGATTTTTAATTCCCCCTAAAGTGGAAGAAGTCATCTAACAAAATTTATTATGACTTAAATTGCTACTTCTTTATTTAGTTTTTCTCAAACTTTAACAAAATAAATTATGTAGTAAATTATAGTCATTAAGCTTGAAAAATGTTTCAATTGAATGGGAAAACTTCCTGTGATAAAGCCTCCAATCATCAAGGAATAAGTCAATATATTTTACACATAAATTTTCCAACATGTTAAGCACTAAGCTTTTAACTAAATAGCTAAGGGGAAATTGTTGCCACTGAATGCAACACATATACTGCCTTTTTAAATAACACCTACTACTTATCTTGATTCCAATTCATCACTAAACATCACTTGTATAATTTGATCACAGTGATGTCCTCAGAGACGGTTGTATGCAGAATCCTATAAATTGTCTCAAGCTGCTATGTTTTTAATGTTCACCTTAAGTTTATTTTTGTTCCCATGCCTTGCTGTCAGCTGTCACATTTTATAGTTCACCCCTTCTGCAAGACCCTTTCGATACTTGTGATTTGTTAGGAAGCAGAAATCAGATAACCTAACTTGTTAGAATTCTATGTGAAGTAAGAATAAGTAGACTCTGGGTAGCTGCTGCCTCTACCATTAAAAATTTTTAAAAAGGAAGACTTTTCAATTACCACTTAATTTGAACTTGACTTACCTAGACTACTATTAGTCGATATTAGTTTAACAGAGGGAAAATTGTTAATAATGTAGATCTAATATGTAAACACATATATCATTCCCTTGTTCTGGATCTATCAATGATTTCATACTTTGACTATATCTAAATTATCTGCTTTTCCTGGCCTTCAAAGTGGTCTTTAATTCAGTCCTGCTTTCCATGGGTTAAATTTCCTACAATGCTGAGATGTTTATATTGGTTTCCTCCTGTCCTATGAACTTTGTACTGATTTCTGCCCCAATAAATTTGATTATATGAAGAAAAAAATACTTTTTTTTTAAGATAGGGTTTCACTCCTGTTGCCCAGGCTGGAGTGCAGTGGCACAATCTTGGCTCACTGCAACCTTGGCCTCCTCAACTCAAGAGATTCTTGTGCCTCAGCCTCCCGAGTAACTGGGACTATGGGTGCGCCATTGGTGCCCGGTTAATTTTTGTATTTTTTTGTAGAGATGAGATCTCACCATGTTGCCCAGGCTGGTATGGAACTCCTGAGATCAAGTACTCCACCCACCTCAGCCTCCCAAAGTGCTGAGATTACAGGTGTGTAGTTACTGCACCAAGACAATGAGGCAATCACTTCTGAATAAAGTACAAGCATTAGTAACATCTCCCCTGGTCTCTCCAGATTGGTTATGCTGCCACAACTGAATTCTAAATGGGTTAAGTGTTATACAATTAGTTAAGTTTCTTTGGTAGGTATCAAATAAAACATCCACCTAAATTCTTAAGAACCTTGTTAAATAGTGCAATTTACAAACTCTTTATACAGATTCTGATAGCACATTTCTATTGGAAGACTATGGAATCACAATGAGGAAGGTAGTACTATATAGATCAGCAGCTGGCTTAATTGGCTTCCTGTAACTTATTAACAAATTAGGTTACAAAATACAAAGGCAACTTAATGAATCATCATATTTGGCATTGAACTCAAAGCTGAATTGTGTGAATTGTGAGATGCTTTCCATAATTCAACTTGCTTAATTACCCATATGAATTAATCATTCATACCTCAAGCCTGCTAACACTTTTGGATACCTGATGTTTATGTAATGGTGGTGCTCATTTGCTGAGTAAGGCATGAGTAGTTTCCTAGGTAAGCAGAAGTAGCCGTCAAAACAATCATAATGTGACACAGTAACAACAAGGCTGTATTTTGAAGGCTCTAGAAACCCAAGACGTATTTCAAGAGTCAAGTTACTTTTTTTTTCCTTTACCACTTATCCTCAAGTTCTACAAGTTACTTATACTGTATCAATTCAAATACATTTGGTTATTAGATATCTATTTTTTAAAGATGGACAAGATAAAATTGTGTAAATTTACAAGAAGTAATGGAAACTGCTAATAATGCTTATTTAAAAGAGTTATTAAAGCAACAGCTTACTACCAACTGTAGGCTTCTGAAAAATTTGCACAGGTGGGAAAAGATATGGGCATAGCATATTTTAACAACTGAAAATGTGGCAGGGAAAAAGTCTTTATTCTGAGAGTATAACCATCTTACTTTTGGGGTATTAAAATTACCTTTTATGAGATAATTCATTTTCAATGTTATTTGACAAAATTCAAAGTTGGTCATTCATTTTAGTCGCCTCATTTTTAGTAAATTTGCCTCCTGTAAAATCTAAGTTATGGGAACGACTAGAACATGTGTGAAAGCAAGTTGCTGTGAGACACAGTGACAGATTTTACAAAAAGAAAAGCATTTCATGACCACAGACCAGGATATCCAAAATTTTGGTGAGCTGGATTTTTTCCAAAGTCTGGTGACCAACTGTGGAAAAATAATTGGTTAATCTGACAGTGAGGTCCCTTAACAGTGTTGAAGAAAATGTATCTAAAAAAGTGCCCAGAGTCAAAGAAGTGAGAGCAATGCTGTATTTATCCCCCACTGACATGTGAGGAAAGAGCAATAATTTTGGACATACACCTTGTAAAACTTCTCAGAAACCAGACTACATTTCTAACTCTAAAATACATGCTGCTGGTCATGAAGATGTTCTGATCATATAATTGAACCTACTGACATTACATGTAATAAATTAAAAACACAAGTACCATGCTTAGTGTACTGTCTGGTACATACGAGTTCTCAATAACAATTAGTTTTATTTCTAGAAGGATTACCTCTGCCTCTTGTACCTTCTTATAAAAAGAAAGCAAAGTGAACTGAATAAATTGTATCTTAAATAGACTAAAGAAAAGCTTTTGTATTTGTCTTTTCTCAACTAAGCAGTTTCCATAGTGCCTAGCAAGGTCTCAGAAATGTACTCAGTGAAGAGGGTTAAATGGTAACTCTTTCAGAACAGAAAGGATTCCCTACAGAGTCCAGCAGAGGCAGAGCACTATTTTGCCCAGCCTGGCCTTGAACTCCTGGGCTCCGGCACTGCAGCCATCCTCCCACCTCAATCTTCCCAGCAGTTGGGACTACAGGCCTGTGCCATGGCACCTGGCTAAGGATAGCTATTATGAGAGTAGTAATGTAAGATGAAACTAAAAAGACTCATAATAGTAGGATTAAAAAGCACAAAAATTTTAAAGATTCTCCGGTACATTTATTTCACAAACTTTTTTGTACAGTTGACCCTTACACATGGGTTTGAACTGGGTGGGTACACTTATGCGCATACTTTTTTCAATCAAATGCAGGTGAGGTCACACAGATCAGCATTTGTGCGTGGGATGTGAAACTCATGTGTATGGAGGGTCAATTGGAGGGCCAACTTTTCTACATATGGGTTCTGCAAGACTTTCTGTGAGACTTGAGTATGGGCAGATTTTGGTATATGTGTGGCCCTGGAACTAGTCCCCAGTGTATACAAGGGATGACTGTATTTTAATGGTTTATAGTGTTAAAAAGAGAAAAATGTCCACGTAACCACAATTTTGAACACTGAACTATTTTAATATGAATTAATATGTCTTATATTTATTACCAATTGATCTTCAAATTGCAGCAGCCCATGAGTTAGGTTGTAAGTGTTCTTGCCATTCCACCCCAGCTCTCACTGAGTCAGTTTAAAATATACACACATAGAAGCAGACACAAGCCTTTTGTAAAGTAAACAAATCTTTTTTACTGTAAATAACTGTTCCTCAATGGAACTTTTTGTATCCAGTTTACTCTTTTCTAAAGCTGGGATATTCATATTAAATACCCAACAACCTCTATAAAGCAAAGAGTCTATCTCTGTGAAAACACAAGTAATTCTTGATGGCAATATTTTTCTTTTTTTTTTTTTTTTTTTTTGAGACGGAGTCTCGCTGTCGCCCAGGCTGGAGCTCACTGCACACTCCGCCCCCCGGGGTTCACGCCATTCTCCTGCCTCAGCCTCCCGAGTAGCTGGGACTACAGGCGCCCGCCACCTCGCCCGGCTAATTTTTTGTATTTTTAGTAGAGACGGGGTTTCACCGTGTTAGCCAGGATGGTCTTGATCTCCTGACCTTATGATCCGCCCGCCTCGGCCTCCCAAAGTGCTGGGATTACAGGCGTGAGCCACAGCGCCCGGCCCAATATTTTTCTTAATTCACCTAAACAAATGCAGTTTGGAAGGCCAAAAGGAGAAAAAAACACTTCAGATTATCAAAACCAAAAGAGATATGAAAAAATAACATATTTAACAATGTAGGTGGGAATTTTAAATACAAGATCCTGTTGAAAATATTGATATTCAAAGAAACAAACAGCTTTGGATCCATAGCCACAATTTAGGTTTTCCTAGATTAAAATCAGAAGTGATTTTATTGTTGGAAGATACATTAATTCTTTGACATCAGAATAAGAGGCTTGACAATTTAATTTCTAATTAAGAGACTGAATAGACAAAGGATCAAATACAAACAGTAGTGCAGGAAGAAAATAAATTGGAAGAAATATTTGTTCAACCAGTAGTAATAATTAAGACCACCATTTTAAAATTTTCTATACACAAAGAATGAGAAAATATTGTTATAATATTATTATTATACTTCTTTCTTTTTCAGTATTAGTGGACCCACATTATCTCCTGTCAGTTCATTGTGTTTATTATGTGAATCATCATGGGCAGGAAACTAAAAAGAAAAAAGAATTACAAGTGTTAATTTTAAAATATGATTCATTAGGTAGAAACATTTGTGAAATGCTCTCAGAAAGAAAGAATATCACTTGCTAAAAAAAAATCAGATCGTTTTCCTGAGTAATAGTTACATTTTACATCCAACTGAACCATATTCAAAATCTAACAATTTAAACAGTTACTTCATTATTTGGTTTAGATTTTAAGTAAAAACATATGAATGATTCCATATGAGTGATTAAAACAGACAACAGGTTTAAAAGGGAATCAAATAAGTTATTGGTCATTTGTGGAGCTTAAAATTCCAGCTCACCTATTGCTTAATTTTAAAACAATGGAATTTAATTCAAAATAAATTATAATTTTTTCTTGCTATAAAACTCATGCACACCACACAATTTTTGAAAATAAAAATATATTTTAGGCTGTGTGCAGTAGCTTATGCCTGTAATCCCAACACTTTCAGAGGCAGAGATGGACAAATCACTTGACATCAGGAGTTCAAGACTAGTCTGGCCAACATGGCAAAACCGCATCTCTAACTAAAAACACAAAAGTTAGCTGGGCGTGGTGGCATACGCCTGTGTCTAGGGTACTTGGGAGGCTGAGGTGGGAGAATTCCTTGAACCCAGGAGGTGGAGGTTGCAGTAAGCTGAGATCATGCCATCGCACTCTAGCCTGAGTGACAGAGCAAGACTCTGTCCCCGCAAAAATAAATAAAGAATAAATAAAAATAAATTTAAAAAAATTCACTCATAACCCATCCAGATATAGGTAATAATAATTAACAGTTTGTTTATCAAACTCCCGCTTGGGGGAGTGGGCGTGGCCCAGCAGCAGGCGTGCCTTACTAGTGAAAAAGCTGGGGTTGGAGCTGGCACGGGGGGAGGTGTGGGGGGCCTAGGGGGCTCTGCTTGGACCTTCTGGGTGTCCTCCTGTGACCTCAGGTTCCTCACCTGTCTCAGAGGACTGATGGGCTGCTATGGCAGGGTTGTTTGGAGGATTAAGACAGATAGTCCCGGTAAAGCCCCATTAGCCACACCCCCCCACTCCCCGCCCTCTGGATTTTTTTTTTTATTATTATTTTTCTGTCTTTCTGAGGAAACTTTCCAGAATGTGTCCAGGTGTTGAAGCGGGAAGGCTGGACACCCTCCCTTGGCGTCGCGGTTCCTTCCAGACGCCCCCTCTTCTTAGGCTTTTTTCAAGCGCACACCAGGCAACATGTGCTCTACCCAAGTGCGCTTCACAGATCTTCCTGTGGGTCTAAAACCAGAACGCTTTCTTCCCTGACCCCTGCCCTCATATCACCTCAACCCCAAGTCTTTTGGCAGAGCCGGCTATGGACTCGAGTGTCAGTTTAATGCTTGTCCCCTAAGGTCTCTCCAGGGCTCTTAGGACGGTGTTAGGGTTAGGATTCGGGTTCAGGTGCGCCTCTCGGTGCCCTGCGCTGGCGCTGTGTGCCTTTGCGAGGGCGGAGCTGCGTTCTCCTCAGCACAGGATGAGGTGTGTTCTGCTCAGCACAGACCCGGGGGGCCACCGCGAAGGCAGAGCAGCGTTCTCCTCAGCACAGACCTTGGGGGCACTGCCTCGCTTTGGGACAACTCGGGACCACATTGACGGTGAATAAAATCCTTCCTGTTTGCAGCGCTGAATAATCAGGGTCAGAGACCAGTTAGAAGGGTTCAGTGTGGAAAACGGGAAACCAAAAGCCCTTCTGAATCCTGCCCACCGAGGTTCTCTCCTGCCAAGGCGAGGCGGCTGCAGTGCGAGATCCACACCGCAGTCTCGGAAGACAAATGCAGGCCGGGCGCGGTGGCTCACGCCTGTAATCCCAGCACTTTGGGAGGCCGAGGCAGGCAGATCACGAGGTCAGGAGATCGAGACCATCCCGGCTAAAACGGTGAAACCCCGTCTCTACTAAAAATACAAAAAATTAGCCGGGCGTAGTGGCGGGCGCCTGTAGTCCCAGCTACTTGGGAGGCTGAGGCAGGAGAATGGCGTGAACCCGGGAGGTGGAGCTTGCAGTGAGCCGAGATCCCGCCACTGCACTCCAGCCTGGGCGACAGAGCGAGACTCCGTCTCAAAAAAAAAAAAAAAAAAGACAAATGCAGCATTCCTAATGCAGACATGACACGCAAAATATGACACCCCCATTGCTCATGTAACAAGCACCTGTAGTGCTAATGCACTGCCTCAATACAAAAACATTAATATAAGATCCAAAATCCCCTCACTGCCGTGCAGCCCTAAGACAGTGATCATAATAATCAACATAGTCATAGTCAATACAAATTTAGTAACGAACCTAGGGTTAAGGTTGGTGTTAGGATTAGGGGTTAGGGGTTAGGGGTTAAGTTTAGGGTTAGGGGTTGGAGATAGGAGTTGGGGTCAGAGTTAGGGGTTAGGAGTCAACGTTTAGAGTTAGGGGTTAAGAGAGGTTAGGGGTTAGGTATTTGGGGTTAGGGTTGGGTTAGGGTGAGGGTTGGGGTTAGGGGTTAGGGTTAGGGTTAAGGGTTAGAGATTAGGGTTATGGTCAGGGGTTAGGGGTCAGGGGTCAGGGTCAGGGTCAGGAGTTAGGGGTCAGGGTCAGGGTTCCCACTCTGTTCCCTTTGCCATGCAAAAGCTATTTAGTTTAATTAAGTCGCAGCTATTTAGCTTTGTTTTTATTGCATTTGCATTTGGGTTCTTGGTCATGAAATCCTTGCCTATGCCAGTGTCTAGAAGGGTTTATCCAGTGTTACCTTCTAGAATTTTTATAGTTCAGGAATTAGGTTTAAGTTCTTAATCCATCTTGAGTAGATTTTTGTGTAAGGTGAGAGATGAGAATCCAGTTTTATTCCCCTACATGTGGCTCGCCAATTATCCCAACATCATGTGTTGAAAAGGGTGTCCTTTCCCCACTTTATGTTTTTGTTTACTTTGTCAAAGATCAGTTGGCTGTAAGTATTTGGGTTAATTTCTGGGTTCTCTTTTCTGTTCCATTGGTTTATGTGCCTATTTTTAAACCAGTACCATGCTGTTTTGGTAACTATGGCCTTACTGTACAGTTTGAAATCAAGTAGTGTGATGCCTCCAGGTTTGCTCTTTTTGCTTAGCCTTGGTTTGGCTACATGGCTCTCTTTTGGTTCCATATTAATTTTAGAATTGTTTTTGTAGTTCTCTGAAGAATGATGATGGTATTCAGATGGGGATTGCATTGAATTTGTAGATTGCCTTTAACAGAATGGTAATTTTCACAGTATTGGTTCTACCCATCCTTGAGCATGGGGATGCATTTCCATTTGTTTCTGTCATCTATGATTTCTTTTCTTTCTTGGTCTTTTTTTTTTTCAGAGGGAGTTTCGCTCTTGTCGCTGAGGTGGGAGTGCAATGGTGTGATCTCAGCTCACTACAACTTCTGCCTCCTGGGTTCAAGCGATTCTCCTGCCTCAGCTTCCCGAGTAGCTGGGATTATAGGCATGCGCCACTGTGCTTGGCTCCATCTGTGATTTCTTTCAGCAGTGTTTTGTAATTTTCATTGTAGAGGTCTTTTGATTCCTTTGTTAGGTATATTACTAAGTTTTTTTTGTTTGTTTTTTTTGTTTTTTGCAGCTATTGCAAAAGGGGTTGAGTTCTTGATGTGATTCTCTGCTTGGTAGCTGTTGATGTATAGAAGAGCTACTGATTTGTGTACAATAATCTTGTATCTGGAAACTGCAGAATTATTTTATCATTTCTAGGAGCTTTCTAGAAGAGTCCATAGGGTTTTCAAGGCAAAAGATCATATCGTCAGCAACCAGTGACAGTTTGACTTCCTCTTTACCGATTTGGATTTCCTCTATTTCCTTCTTTTGTCTGATTGCTCTGGCTAGGACTTCCAGTACTATGTTGAAGAGGAGTGGTGAGAGTAGGCTCCTCATCTTGTTGCAGTTCTCAAGGCAATGCTTTCACCTTTTCCCCATTCAGTATTATGTTGGCTGTGGGTTTGTCACAGATGGCTTTTATTACATTAAAGTATGTCCCTTGTATGCCTATTTTGCTGAGAGCTTTAATCATAAAGCAATGTTAGATTTTGTCAAATGCTTTTTCTGCATCTGTTGATATAATCATGTGAGTTTTTTTTTTAATTCTGTTTATTTGGTGTATCACATTTATTGACTTGCGTATGTTAAACCATTCCTGTATCACTGGTATGAAACCCAATTGATCATGGTGGATTATCTTTTTGATATGTTGTTGGATTCAGTTAGATAGTATTTTGTTAAGGATTTTGGCATCTGCGTTCATCAAGGATGTTGTTCTGTAGTTTTCATTTTTGGTTATGTCCTTTCATGGTTTTGGTATTAGGGTAATGCTGGCTTCATAGAATGAATCAGGGAGGGTTTCTTCTTTCTCTGTCTTGTGGAATAGTGTGAAAGGATTGGTATCATTTCTTCTTTGAATGAAAGAAGACATTCTTTGAATGTCTGGTAGAATTCTGCTGTGAATCTGTCTAGTCCTCGGCTTTTTTTGTTGGTAATTTTAATATTACCATTTCGATCTTGCTGCTTGCTTTATTGGTCTGCTTGGGGTATCTAATTCTTCCTGATTTAAGCTAGGAGGGTTTTATTTTTCCAGGAATTTGTCCAACTCTTCTAGGTTTTCTAGTTCATGTGCCAAAGGTGTTCATAGTACCCTTGAATAATCTTTAATATTTCAGTGGTGTCAGTTGTAATATCCCCTGTTTCCTTCCTTAGTGAGGTTATTTGGATTTTCTCTCTTCTTTTCTTGGTTAATCTTGCTAATGGTCTATCGATTTTATTTATCTTTTCGAATAACCAACTTTTTGTTTTATTTATGGTTTGTATTTGTTGTTGTTGTTGTTGTTGTTGTTGTGTCAATTTCATTTAGTTCTGCTCTGATCTTGGTTATTTCCTTTGTTTTCTGGGATTGGGTTTGGCTTGTTCCTGCTTCTCTAGTTCCCTGAGATGTGAACTTAGATTGTCTGTTTGTGCTCTTTCAGACTTTTTGACATAGGTGTTTAGGGCTACAAACTTTCCTCTTAGCACTGCCTTTGCTGTATCCCAGAGGTCTTGATAGGTTTTGTCATCCAGTTCGAAGAAATTTTTTACATTTCCATCTTGATTTCATTTTTCACCCAATGCTCATTCAGGAGCAGGTTATTTAATTTCCATGTATTTGCATGGTTTTGAAGATTCCTTTTGGAGTTGATTTTCAGTTTTATTCCACTGTGATCTGAGAGAGTGCGTGATACAATTTCAATTTTCTTAAATTTATTGAGACTTGTTTTATGGCCTATCATATGGTCTATCTTGGAGAAAATTCCATGTGCTGTGGAATAGAATGTGTATTCTGTGGTTGTTGGATGAAATGTTCTGTATATATCTGTTAAGTCCATTTGTTCCAAAGTATAGTTTAAATCCAGTGTTTCTTTGTGGACTTTCTGTCTTGATGAACTGTCTAGTGCTGTCAGTGGAGTATTGAAGGCCCCCACTATTATTGTGTTGCTGTCTATCTCATTTCTTATGTCTACTAGTAATTGTTTTATAAATTTGGGAGCTCCAGTGTTAGGTTCATGTTTGTTTAGGATTGTCATATTTTTCTGTTGGATGAGGCCTTTACCATTATATACTGTCTGTCTTTGTCTCTTTTAGCTACTGTTGCTTTAAAGTTTGTTTTTTCTCATATGAGAATAGCTACCGCTGTTCACTTTTGGTGTCCATTTGCATGAAATGCCTTTTTCTACCACTTTCCTTAAGTTTATGTAAGTTGTTATGTGTTAGGTGAGTCTCCTGAAGGCAGCAGATAGTTAGTTGGTGAGTTCTTATCCATTCTGTGGTTCTGTATCTTGTAAGCGGAGCATTTAAGCCATTTACAACCAACATTACTATTAAAAAGTGGGGTACCATTGCTTTCATCATGCTGTTTGTTGCCTCTGTACATTGTTTTTGTTTTCTGTTTTTGCTTTTTCACTTGTATTTTTGTTTTATAGGTCTTGTGTGATTTATGCTTTAATGAAGTTCTGTTTTGATGTGTTTCCAGGATTTGTTTCATGATTTAGAGCCCCTTTTAGCAGTTTTTACAGTGCTGGTTTGGTAATAGCAAATTCTGTCAGCATTTGTTTGTCTGAAAATGACTGTATCTTTCCTTCATATATGATGTTTAGTTTTGCTGGATTCAAAATTCTTGGCTGATAATTGTTTTGTTTGAGGAGGCTGAAGAAAGGACCCCAATCCCATCTAGCTTGTAAGGTTTCTGCTGCAAAATCTGCTGTTAGTTTGATAGGTCTTCCTTTATAGGTTACCTAGTGCTTCTGTCTCACAGCTCTTAAGATTCTTTCCTTTGTCTTAACTTTGGATAACCTAATGACAATGTGCCTAGGCTAAGATCTTTTTGTGATGAATTTCCCAGGTGTTATTTGTGCTTCTTGTATTTGGATGTCTAGGTCTCTCACAAGGCCATGGAAATTTTCATTGATTATTCCCCCAAATATGTTTTCCTGGCTTTTAGAATTCACTTATTCCTCAGGTACACCAATTAGTCTTAGGTTTCATCGTTTAACAGAATGCCAGACTCCTTGGAGGCTTTGCTCATATTTTCTTATTCTTTTTTCTTTGTCTTTATTGGATTGGGTTAAATCAAAGACCTTGTCTTCGAATTCTGAATTTCTTTCTTCTACTTGTTCAATTCTATTGCTGAGACTTTCCAGAGCATTTCACATTTCTAAAAGTGCGTCCAAAGTTTCCTGATTTTTTTTTATTTAAGTTATCTATTTCCTTGAATGTTTCTCCCTTCACTTATTGTATTATTTTTTGGATTTTCTTGCATTGGGCTTCACTTTTCTCTGGCCCCTCCCTGATTAGTTTAATAACTAACCTGAATTCTTTTTCAGATAAATCAGTGATTTCTTCTTTGTCTGGTTCCATTGGTGATGAACTGGTGTGATTCTTTGGGGGTGTTGAAGAGTCTTGTTTTGTCAGATTACCAGGGTTGGTTTTCTGGTTCCTTCTCATTTTGGTAGACTCTGTCAGAGGAAAGGTCTAGGGCTGAAGACTGTTGTTCAGACTCTTTGGTCGCATGGAGTGTTCCCTTGACGTAGTACTCTCCCCCTTTTCCTATGGGCATGGCTTCCTGTGAGCCGAAGTGCATTGATTGTTGTCTCTCTTCTGGGTCTAGCCACCCAGCAGGTCTACCTGGCTTTCGGCTGGTACTAGGGGTTGTCTGCATAGAGCCCTGTGATGTGAACCATCTATGGGTCTCTCAGCCATGGATACCAGAGCCTGTTCCAGTGGATGTGGTGAAGGGTGCAGTAGATTCTGTGAGGGTCCTTAGCTTTAGTGGTTTAATGCTCTATATTTGTGCTGGTTGGCCTACTGCTAGGAGGTGGTGCTTTCCAGAAAGCATCAGCTGTAGTAGTGTGGAGGCACTGGCAGTGGGCAGGGACCTAGGACTCCCAAGATTATATGTCCTTTGTCTTCCACTACCAACTTAAACATTTGTGACAATTTCAATATCAGAAATTGATGTGTAATCGAATTTATTCTGGTAGCCTAAATTCTGGTAGCTTATTTTCTTATATCTTCAATCTTTATAATTTAGTTCTCACATGAGGGAGATCTAATATTGGAAATATTTTCAATCTGTATGTTTATGTATTTATTCTAGTTGTCCTGGCACAAGGTTATCAATGTTGCTGTGTGACCAGCCATTGGCTTTTCACATTTACAACTCCTCTGAATTTTTTCTTGCCTCATTTCTGGCACTGGGAAATTCTGATATTTTCTCCTCATCTCCATTGTACATTTTAGGGATTCTTGAAACTTTTGATGCACAAACATCCACACTTTCTGCATAAGTAAAATATTTTACTTAGATATTTTCTAGCGGACACTGAGTTCTCATGAGAAATCCTGTCTCTTTATTTGGAACACCCCCTCCCCAATATTCCATATGGAGTAGTTTTGTGTAGAAAGTGATTACTTCATTAATATGTCAAAGTATGGATACATTTTGAACACATTTCTGAAGTTGTAATACCTTTATTGATGAATAGTACCTGCGCATGACCAGAATTGTGTTTTTAGTAGATACGGGGTTTCACCCTGTTAGCCAGGATAGCCTCGATCTCCTGACCTCGTGATCCGCCTGCCTCAGCCTCCCAAAGTGCTGGGATTACAGGCGTGAGCCACCGTGCCTGGCCAATCACATCATTCTTGTATTCACCTAGTGGTCGCTGTGTACCTCCCACGTCAGGCACTGTACTACCAGACACTGAGGATCCGGTGGGGAGCGAGAGGGACTTTAAGGACTGAGTCAGTAGGACATGGGCTGGTGGGATAGGGAAGGATGAGGGAGACAGAGGGTCAGATGATCCCCATGTTTCTGCCTGGGGCACCTGAAGGGAAGTCAGAAAGGAAGCCAGGTTGAAGAGTGATGACAATGAGTTTTGTGTTTGGTCTGCAGGACAGAGATGCCGGGCTGCAGGGAGGACAGGTAGGAGGTGTGTGTCACAGGTAAAGGCAATTGCTCTGTGGGCCTGGGGTTTGATGGGAAGAGACGCTAAATCATGGTTCATGATTCTTTCTCAAAATTGTAATGCAAAGAGCCCTCATTGAATCTGCATTTTATAGCATGTACTGTGCAAGTTTCGGGGGTATCAGGAAGAAGAAACATGCTCCTTTGTCTCCTGAAGCTCACAGGCTAGTGGACATGGCAGACATGTAAGAGAAGGGAGAAGAGGTCAGTCCACAGAGAACAGCTTTGGGTTTACCTCTGATGCTGGCCCTGACCCAGATCAACCAAACCTAATGGAAACAGAGAGCTGAGAAAGCAGGAGAGTTGAGCTCACTGATGCTCGGATTTTACAGATGAATCTGGAGGCGGTTTCTCCCAGTGCTGACATCCAGGCACTGCGGGTGCCACAGAGAAACATGGAAGGGCCTTCTGGAGAACACCACACCCGGCATCCTTCCCCCTTTTAGAACTGGAGCGAGACAACCATGTGTGTCATCACTACTTTCTTTACAGTGTCGGTCTAACACCGTAATGGTCTGACAGTCCTGCAGGCTGGAAGCCCAGGATCACGGTGCCAGCAAGGTTGGTTTCTTCCAAGGCCTCTCTTCTGGGTGGTGGCCTCACGTGGCCTTTTCTCTGTGGGCACGTGCCCTTGGTGCTTCCCACCACTTTTTTCCAAGTTCACGCTGATCCCTTGAATCAGTTATCACTCCCCCACTTGTTTTCCAGCTTCTGTGATGTTCCTGGCAGGCGCTCCTCTCACTCTCTGCTGTGAACTCTTCCCTTTTACATCTGCAATCCCTTTGCATTCCTTTCAGTGGTGTTTGGAGGAGAAGCAAGGGCTGAAGTTGTTCCCACTCATGTCTTTCGCCCCCCAGGTGCCCCTGATGTTTCAGCTCCCAGTGGTGCCTGCAGGGAGATCCCTCTGTATTTCATAATATTATTTCTATTTTTTATACTTTTTTTTTTGAGATGCAGTTTCACTCTTCTCGCCCAGGCTGGAGTGCAGCGGTACGATCTCGGCTCAATGCGACCTCCACCTTCCAGTTTCAAGCAATTCTCCTGCCTCAGCCTCCCAGGTAGCTGGGATTACAGGTGCTCACCACGACGCCCAGCTAATTTTTGTATTTTTAGTAGAGATAGGGTTTCATCATGTTGGCCAGGATGGTCTCTAGCTCCTGACCTCAGGTGATCCACTAGCCTTAGCCTCCCGAGGTGCTGGAATTACAGGCGTGAGCCACTGCACCTGGCCACACTTTTTTTTTTTTAGTTTCCTTGTAGTACTGCTTGGGCTACATGGCTTAAGCTTTTGTACATAGTTTTCATTGTTTGGTTCTAAATGCTTTTAGATTTTCATTCTAATTCTTCTCGGACCAGTGCATTTTTTTTTAATTTAAAAAATAATTTAATTTAGTTTTATAGAGATGGGGGGTCTCACTGTGTTGCCCAGGCTGGTCTTGAACTCCTGGGCTCAAGGGATCCTCCTGCCTTGGCCTCCCGAAGCTCTGGGATTATAGGTGTGAGCCACCGTGCCTGGCCAGTAGTGTATCTTTAAATTTCCAAACCTAGGGGAGCCCTTAATTTTAGTTTGGTTGCCAATTTATGCCTTTATTCTGTTGCATCAAGAACATGGCTGGTGTGATGCAAGTTCTTTTGCTATTTGTTGAGTCTTGTTTTGCAGCCTAGGACATGGTGAGTGTTAGTAAATGTCCAAGGTGAACTTGAAAACAATGTGTAGTCTGTAGTTTTTGGGTGTCCACTAAATCAAGTTTGTTCAACTTTTCCATATTCTTTTTTTTTATTTTTATTTTTTGACAGAGTCTCACTCTGTTGCCCAGGCTGGAGTGCAGGGGCACGATCTCAGCTCACTGAAACCTCAAGTTCAAGTGATTCTCCTGCCTCAGCCACCCAAGTAGCTGGGATTACAGGCATGAGCCACCACATCTGGCTCATTTTTGTATTTTTTTATTTTAGTTTCAGCATGTTGGCCAAGCTGGTCCCAAACTCCCGACCTCAAGTAATCTGCCTGCCTTCGCCTCCCAAAGTGTTGGGATTACAAGCATGAAACACTATGCCTGGCCTAATTTTTCTATATTCTTCCTAATTGAGTCTGCTTAAACGAGCAGTTCCAGTGAGAAGTGGTATAATTTCCTGCGTAGAGAATGTGCTCATTTATTAATTTTTCCTTTTCTTGACACTTTTTTGTTTTGTAGTCATTTGAGGCTCTATTGTTATGCAGGCACACACAAGATCAGAATGGCTAATGCTTCCATTTTTTTTTTTTTTTCCTGTCGCCCAGGCTGGAGTGTAATGGCATGATCCTGGCTCACTGCAACCTTCGCCTCCCAGGTTCAAGCAGTTCTGCCTCAGCCTCTCTAGTAGCTGGGACTACAGGCATGAGCCACCATGCCTGGCTAATTTTGTACTTCAGTAGAGATGGGGTTTCACCATGTTGTTCAGGCTGGTCTCGAACTCCTGACCTCAGGTGATCTGCCTGCCTTGGCCTCCCAAAATGCTGGGATTACAGGCGTGAGCCACCATGCCTGGCCACTAATACTTCTTTTAAAATAATTAAATTATTTATGTATTTATTCTTTTTCCCCCACCCCTCCCCCACCAGTGAATGCTTTGGAATGAATACTCATCAGTATGCTGCAACCACTTTTAATCCTAATAATGATTTTGCCCTGGAGCCTACTTTGTGCGATATGAGCTTCTCTCCACTAGCTTCCTTTTGGATGGTCTTTGCCAGATGTGTCTCCTTCTATCTGTAGTAATTAGAGCCATTCCAACTATGTGTCAAAAATAAACAAAAGGGGCTTATGACCAAGCATGGGCGACTTACACAATCGTCAAAAGAAATGGAAGAACAACTCCCAGCCCTCCGAATCAGCCACCTCCTGGGATCAGGAATAAATCCTAATCTCAAAATACAGGTAAACAGTCTACCTCCTGTCCCCTAAATGAGATGCCAAGCATGCCCCTCCCCTCAGCCAGGCTGTCTCCATCCAAACTTCAATGACCACTGGCCTCCCTGCTGACCCATGTCCCACTGAGGAGCCCCAAGCTCTGAACCAACTGCCTACGCACCATCCCCTCGGGCTGCACCTGCTCCCCAGGCCTGCCCCTCCTTTGGAGCTGCCTCTGTCCACCAAGGGTGCTGTCGCTCACCTAACCTTCCAACCAGAACCCAGTGGTACCTTGCTGCCCCCTCCACTCCCTGAAGAAGCTGCCCCCATGCCTGTCAAGTTCTTCCAACTGCTCAAACCTTCTGGAACTCCAGGCCTCAGCATGTCTTGTCTGGGTGGCTGCAATGGCTAAGCTTGCTTCTCTGTCTCTCTCCATCAGTCAGTCACCCAATCAATCGATCAGTCATCTATCAATCAGCTATCCACCTATTAATCTATAATCAGTAATCTATTAATCTATATAATTTACTTCTATAATCAATCATTGATCTATCCCATGTATCTTCCTATCTATCCTTTATCATGTTTATCCATCTATCTATCATTTATGCCTCTATCATGTCTATCTTTCAATAATTTATCTATCACCAGGCACAGTAGCATGTGCCTGTAGTCCCAGTAACTCAGGAGGCTGAGGCAGGAGGACTGCTTGATGCTAGCAGATCAAGTCCAGACTGGGCAAGATAGTGAGATCTCATCTCTAAAAAAAATTTTTAAATCATCTATCATCGCTCTCTATTCATCTATCTATCCATGTATCTATCATGTATTTTATCTGTCACTTAGCACCTATGAATCATCCATCATCTATCAATCAATTATCTATATCATGTCTATATATCTATATATCTATGTATCAATTTATCCATCAATCATCTATCTGTCTGTTTTTGAGGCGATATTCACAAAATATACAATCAATCCCTTTAAAGTGCACAATTCAGTGGCATTTAGTATGCTCTATAGTTCCAGAACATTTTCTTCGAAATAAAAAGAAACGCGAGGCTGAGTGTGGTGGCTCATGCCTGTAATCCAGCACTGTGGGAGGCTGAGGCAGGACGATCACTTGAGCTCAGCAGTTTGAGACCAGCCTGGGCAACATAGTGAGATCCTGTCTACAAAAAAAAAAAATCACAAAATTAGTAGGGTATGGTGGCACACGCCTGTGGTTCCAGCTACTCAGGAGGCTGGGGCAGGATTGCTTGAGCCCGGGAGATCAAGGCTGCAGTGAGTTATGACTGCACCGCTGCATTCCAGCCTGGGTGACACGGTGAGGCCCTGTCTGTCTCATTAAAAAATAAAAAATAAATACAAAATTTTTTAAAAAGGACTGCCCCTGCCCCATTTTCCTTCCCCTGCCCCAGCCTCTGACACCCACTCATCTGCTTTCTGTCCCGATGAGCCTATTCTGGACATTTGTGTCTGGCTTCTTTCACCCAGCACGAACTCTTTGAGGTCTATCCGTCGTGTTATGGTGGAATGGCACCACGCCTTATGGACAGGCTGTTTGTCCATTTGTCTGTTGATGAATACTCAGGCTGTCCCACCTTTGGGAGGCTATGGCCATCCATGCATAAAGGTATGGCCGCACAGCTGTTCTCAGTTCTCATGCCTCTGAGGCCAGATGGGCTGCCACACCCTATTCCCACCAGCCACCCTCACATGCAGCCAAGTGGCCTGCAGTACTCGACACTGCTTCCCTGTTGCTGAAAGCTCCTCGGTGGCCTCTGGGCTAAGTCCTGTCTCTGTAGTGTGGCCTCCAAGGCCCGCCAGCTGCAGCCCTCCCTTCCCCTGCCCTCCCTTCCCCTGCATGCAGCACGAACACCCTGCAATGTGCTCCCAGTTCCCCCCAGGCCCCTGCACAAGTGGCCTCCTCTCCCTAGAAGGGCCAGCAGCACCCTGTGTGGCAGCTTAGACATCCTTTCTCTTGCCTTCGTGCTCCTCCCACAGGGACCAGCATGATCCCGTCCCCTAGTCCTATTTGGGCTCAGCCAGTATTTCTGTGCAATGTTGTTGCAGGTTCTGCCCCGCCACCGTCACAGGAATCCTAAGAACATTGGCGTGAGGCTCGGTGGAGGGCATGTTGGGCCATGTCTTCTGGTGACTTTCCCCCACGGAAGGGCTTGGGGATCAGGCCCACTCCTTTCCCAAACTCACTCTTTCCCCCACAGGCAACCCACTCCCTCTCCTCCATCTCACCCCAAGACCCGCAGCAGACACCACCAGACTCTGAGGCAGGGAGGAAGGACTGCATTTGCCAATGGAGGCTTTTACTGGGGGGGACTCGGGATGGCGCCCGGCCTGAGGGCTGAGGGCCCGGGAAAGGCACACGGTGGCGGTGGGGTCTCTCTCAGGAAGGCGCTGGCTCTGCAGACAGCTCCGCCTGGTGACCCCTCTTTGGCACTGAGCTGGGAACATGGTGTCCGCACTCCCGGCTAGCAAGCAGAGGCCCGTGTGGTCAGGTGGCGGCTGGCAGTGTAGGCTGGCGGGGTGACGGCCACAGGGGCTGGGTTTGACACCAGTGGGAGCCGGGGCCCTAGGGGACTCAGAGGCTGGGCAGCCCCCGCTGCTGGCAGGGTAGTCACATTGGCCACGGAGATGGCTACGAATAGGGAATCCAATAAATTAGGCTGTAGAAAGAGGAGGTGAGGGGCCGAGGGGGCGGGGCCTACATTCTCGCTCGGCAGGCAGTGCTGTGCGTCCCTCTCCCGTGGGATCTTCGGGGCTCTTGTGGGGGAGAGGATGCCGGTGAGGCGCTCTGTGTGACCGTGGGTACCACTGGGTGGCTTTTATGGCATCGCATGGGATGGGAGCCTTGGCTGGCCACCCTCAGGGGATGGATCGTGGGGTCTTTGAGAGACTGACGAGGAGGGATGCCACCTGCAGCGCCAGGGGCTGTGGCCTGAGGGGCTCCTGGGGCTCGGCTGCGCTGCTGTGCGGCCAGCACTGGGCCCCTTGCACTCCAGCTTCCTCCACGGAGCAAAGTAGAGGACTCACTGCCCTGGACAGGGCCCAGTAACTGTGGAACAGCCCCCCCCCCAGGGAGTGGGAGGGACAGGGCGAGGGTTACGCAGGGCGCCACCCTCCTCATCTACTTTCCCGAGGTCGGGAAGGGTCTTCTAGGAGGAGGGGCCAGGCATGCAGGGGCGGGGTGCGTGCGCAGGTGGGTGCTGCTATCTCCTTCATGTGATCCGAGCTTGGGGGCGGGGCAGGGGCTGGGGAGAGTGGTGTCAGGTGGAGGCACCCTGGAGGCCACCAGGGCCTTGTGGGCTAGGTGCCGGCACGTGCGCTGGGGCCGCGGCCTCGCCCAGGATTTGGCAGAGCTCCTGGAGGTGCTGCTGCATCTTGGGAATGCCCACCAGCTGCTGCTCCAGCCGCTGCTTCTCCTCTGTCAGGCTCAGGCGGGAAGCCGAGCCCAGCTTCTCAAACTTCCAGCCGCCCTCCCCATCGAACTGTAGCAAGTGTGTGTGGTACTTCCTGGCCAGGAGAGGGACAGGGTCAGGGGCATGGCACGAGGGCTGCTGATGACAGCCGCCTGCTGCTGCCGCCGGGCCCAACAGGCCACCTCCTCCCCTCAGGCAGCCACTCCCACTGACCCCAGGCAGGGAGACAGGACACCTACCACAGGGAGGGCCGGTGGGTGATGGAGAGCAGGGCAATGCCTGCGTCCTTGGCCGCCTGGAAGATCTTGCCTTCCACGTTGATTCTCATGGCGGCACTGGTGCATTCATCCAGGAGGGTGTACTTGGGCCTGGGGGTCTGGGCCGAGAGGAGAGTCTGTGCATCCTCCAGGGCCCAACACCCCAGCCTGGCTCAGGCTTCACTGAGCCCAGGCCTCCCCACAGCTGCTACTTCTCCTTCCAGGGGACCCCAGGGAGCCTGCCGGCCTGGAGTGCTCACCTGTGGTAGAACATGCGGGCCATGCCGATTCTCTGCTTCTCGCCACCCGGCGGGACGTCCTTCCAGTCACACATAGCCTCCTAACCTAGGCAGGGGCAATGGTCTTGGCTCAGTTCCACCAGTACCCAGACCTGGGGGCCAGCCGGGGAGCTGGGGCAGCTGTGGGAATGAGCTAGCTGTGACGACAGGGCCCCTGTGCCTCTGCGCCCTTGTCTGTCTGACAGACATTAATTATGGAGGAGTGGGGACTGGAATTGTGCCTTCCCCTAGAAGAGATATGGTGGAGTCCAAGCCCCAACACTTCAGTGTGACCTTATTTGGAGACAGGGCCTTCGCAGAGGTGATCACACTAAGATGAGGTCATCAGAGCAGACCCTAATTCAATATGACTATGTCCTCATAAAAAGGGGGTGTGCGGGCAGAGGACGTGCACAGGGGAACACGAGGTGAAGATACACAGGGAGAAGTGGACCATCTGCGAGCCAAGGACAGAGGCCTGGAACACATCCTTCTGTCATGGCACCTGGAAGGAACCCACCCTGCTAGTACCAGGATCTCGGGCTGCTGGATCCAGGAGATGATCCACCCCTGTGGTTTATGGCAGCCCCAGGACACCCATACAGTTTCTTGGCACAGAGCTCCAGAGCGGCCTGAGTGCTCTCCCCAGACCGGGGGCTTGTCACCCACAGGGGTTGGGCCTCCTGTCACTGCCCCGTGCCAGCACTTTGGCAAGGCTCGAGTGGGCTGCTTGAACGAGCAGGTGAGCTGGCTGCTCCATTAGGCCGGGGCGCTGTGTCAGAAGTAGCCCCTCCTGTCTTCTCACCCATGCTGCCTTCCCCAGCAGCCCAGGGCTAGAAGTGGCGACAGGGTATATGGCCACCCAGAGTAGAGGTTACACTTCCCAGGTGGCCTTGTGGTGAGGTGTAAGCATGAGACTAAGTTGTGGCCAATGAGATATAACCGTAACTATTCAATATGGCGGCTTCTGGAACCTTCCTTAAAAGATAGAAGGCACATACCTTTTGCCCCTTCCCTTCTACTTCCTCCATCCTATAGCCTGGGACATGATGTGAGGGCTGCAGCAGCCCTCTTGGATCATGAGGTGACTTTGGGAATGGAGGCCACACACAGCAGAGTGACATGGTAGAAAATCCTAGAGCCTTGGGGCCTTCACAGAGCAGGGCCAGCCCTGGCAACTGTGGCCTGGCTCTCTTGGGACCTAACAGCTCAGTAGGATAAACTCACAGATGATCTTAGCCACTACTGCAGGGAGGCCGGTTCTGTTCCTCGCAGCTCAACTCCATCCTAACGGCTCATGCTGGCCGGCCACAGGCCCTGGGCATTCAGGCTGCCACAGAGGCGGGAGGGGCCATGTGCTCCCAGGCCGAAGGCAGCAGGAGCAAGAGGCAGGGCCGGGCCAGGGGCTGTTCCACCACCATCGCCACCTGTGTTCCCGCTTCCTCCACAGGCAGGTGACAACACCCTGGTCATTTCCTGCAGGAGCCACTTCTTCTCATGTTGCCACCGAGGGAGGGCTTGGTGCCCATGCCCTTGAACCATGAAGGGGAGCCCCAGCAAGGCGAGGTCCTTGCCCAGGGCCATCTCGCACCCAGCAGTGGGGGCTGGAAGCAGAACCCAGAGGCTCAGAATTCAAAGACAGAACTGAACGCTCCATCTACTGTGTCCCTGTAGCTGCACCCCCCTCTCCTCCTCCGTTCTCCCGGCCCGACAGACACTGTGGACAAGCAGTATTCCTTGATAAGCCCAGGACAAGAAAACAGCTCAGGCTGGCCTCCTTTTCAGTGAACTCATCTCTGAATCCACCCGACTCTGCTGGCCCCAGCCCCCTCCAAGCTTCTGCACAGACCTCCTGACGGTAGCCATCACTGCACACATGTGCCTACCCCTCCCAAGCTGCCCCTGCCCACCGCCCCATGGTCTTTCCAAGAGCGTCTGATCCCGCTCAGGGAAAGCCTAGGCTCCCGCCTGGTCCGGAGGGCCCTCTGTGAGCCAGCCTCTCACACCACCAAGGCTGCGGGCCGCACTCTGCCCTGCTGCCCCTGGCTCCTGGACGGGGTAACCACTCAGCATTCTGCAGGGCTCAGCTCAGACCCCTTTTCTCTGGGAGAGGGTATCCTGGGTCCCCCAATGAGGTGCGCATCCCTGCTAGGTGCCCCCTTCCCTAGAGCACCCATGCCAGCTGGGGCCATCTGTGTGGTGTTGGTCCTCCCTGGTAGGCGGGCCTCAGAGGTAGCACCCTCTGCCCTGCCCCTGTGGCACCTGGCACTTTAGACTCCTGGATGTTGAGATAATCTTCACTGCCTGGAGGCCAAGGGAGAGGCCAGGGTGGGACAAAGGGCGGCTGCCAGCCCCAGGCCTCCTACCTCCCTCCCGCTGCAGGATGTGGTGCAGGTGCATGATGTCCAGGATGGCTTCCAGGTCCTGCTCTGAGTAGCCCTTCCTTCGCATGTCCTCCACTGAGTCCGGGTAGGTCACCTGGTCACGCAGGGAACCCACAGACATGTAGGGCCTGTGGGAAAGCTGGGTGTCCACGGAGGGAAGGGCCAGCCCTGCCTCCCCCAAGATACTCTGCGCCTCCCAGGCAGTGTAGATTCTGTCTGCTGTAGACAAAATAGTGGCCCCCCAAAAATGTTCATGTCCTAATTCCCAGAGTCTAACATACAAATATGTTAGATGGCATGGCAGTGGGAAATTAGATTTCAAGTGAAATTAAGGTTGCAAAGGTGGCGGGAGCAAAAAGCCGCAGCAGCAAAAATCCGCGGCGGCAGGGGCAAAAATCCGCGGCGGCGGGAGCAAAAAGCCGCGGCGGGCAAAAAGCCGCGGCGGCAAAAAGCCGCGTCGGCGGGGTGGGGGGCAAAAAGCCGCAGCGAGGCAAAAAGCCTTGGCGGGCAAAAAGCTGAGGCGGGGTGGAGGCAAAAAGCTGCGGCGGGTAAAGAGCCGCGGCGGTGTGGGGGGCCAAAAGCCGCGGCGGCGGGTGGGAGCAAAAAGCCAGGGCGGGCAAAAAGCCGCGGCAGCGGAGGGCAAAATAGTGGAGATGGGGTAGAAGGCCGGCACAGCTTGGCGTTGCTGGAGTGTGATGTGATAGGAAATGTGCAGCCAAAGACAAAAAAAGATGTAAGTAGGCTTGACTCATTGCAGCTAAGAACCCAGATGTTATCTTGAGGGTATTAACTAATAAGCAGTTTAAATCAGAATGGCACATTCTGATTTGTTGTTTGTATGTTCACATTTGGCAGGCATAGATACTGTTTGAAGAGAGAAAATTCAGTAGATAGAGGTAACAAACTTAAATATGTGCCAAGTCTAGAAACAAGAGACCAGGGGGATAAGGACCTTTCAAAATAAAATGCAAGATTTGAAAACTGATTGGCTGGGGGATGAGGAAAAGGCAGGTCTTTAAGGTCCATCCCTGTTTTGCTTTAAGGTATTAGGGGGTGGTTTTATCACATATTGTAGAATATGTCATTTCAGTTTTGAACATCTTGAGTTAAATTGTCCTAACATATCTTATGAATTTGATTTTCTTCCCTGGGAAGCTAATATTTCAAAAACTTAAAGAGTATAGGTTTCCAACTTGTATCCAATTTATAAAACTATCTCTAGGCTGCTGGCTTCAGGAGGAGGCTCATGAATATTCTCTTTGCAGAGAATATATCAGGAGTTAACAACAGCTTCAATATTTGTGGACGACGAGTTAACTAAGCCACCTCTTAGTGTATTTAAAGGGAAATCTTAGCTGAAGATATTCAATAATGAACCAACAGTGACTAAAAAATTCAATATTTAAGTATATTTCATTGTAATTAATTTGAATTGAAGTAGCCATATACAGCTAGTATTTACTACATTGAACAATGCAAATAAGAGGAAAAAATTAATAACCATCTCTAATACCACATGCCAAAATCCTCATCAATTTATTCTAGCTAAAGGAGTTTATCAGAAGCAGCAGTTGAAAGCACCAACTAAACCAGCTGGGGTTAGTTCACTGTCATTCTCTCAGAACCATCTCTTCTCTGAACAAAACAAGTACAAGAGTTCATTGTGAATCTGCATTCTCCTTGCCTATTTTAAGGTTTTGATGTTGACACTAATTTGTGAAATCCCTCCTGTGGTGTGATATTTCATTTTCCTTGCTTTCTGTTAGGACAAGAATGCTTCAGCTCTTAATTTAAAATTATGCTTCTCCCTCCTAGGTTGAGTGAACTTAGAATGCATTCTCTGACATATCCAAGTTTTTGTTAATATGAATTTGGGGAAAAAAGCATACTTAATTAGCTAAGACTTCTTATTCTAGGCTTGACCCTGTGTTTGACGTCTTTTGAATTTCTAGTTGCATGGGCTGCTCTCTGACACTGGTTAGTGACCTGGAAGCTATATTAATGTTAGGGGAGGTGGTGTATGAGCATTAGAGGTATCCTTGCAAGGAAAGACTTGTCTTATCTCAATACGTCTTTTTTTTGCCCACAAGAAAGTCAATGTTTGAGTCTTCTAAAATCTTCCTATTTCCAAGTTGCAGAGTACCATTGATTCCTAAACAAAGACCTAATTTTTGACTCAGAGACGTGACAAGGTAGTGAATCGCCATTATAATTTAACAATCTTCAAGATAAAATTATCTCTGATATTTAGATTTTACCCAATTATTAAGATATTAGGGTGTTTCATTAAGAATGGAAGACTCTAGTCTCTTGAGCAGAGACTATAAAGGCCTCAGATGATCATTTTTAATTTTATGCTCTTTTCTTTAACACCTTCAACACAGTTGGAAGCAGCTGATATTCCCCAGAGTTGTTGTGTTTTTTAAACCAAATGCATGGTTCAGTGGTAGAAAACTGGGCTGATCCAAGCTGTTTTCAGTAAACACTTCATTTCAGGTGACCTATTTCATATTAAATAATCTCTAGATCCTGTCTTCGAAACTAACTAGATCAGATAACCTACCCTGGATTTTCTCCTTTTAGGGTCTGTGAGCTGCAGTCACTTTTGTGAAAATGATTGCAATGACAAGATAGAGTTGTAGATGGGGAAAATGTTTTGACTAATTTAAGCATAGTGGTATTTCATATGAGAATTTAAGTTACACACATTTGAAAATTATAATGGAGTCTCTTGGCTGAGCTTTAAAAAAAATAGCGTTTAGGCTAAAAAGGGAACTGCTACCTCTCCTAAAATCAGAAAGATGTTACAGTAATTCTCCATTCTCTAGAATTATCAGGAAGCACCTTTATGATGATTTACTTTTGCTCTTGGGAGTGTGAGCCTGTGCAGTCGTGGAACCATCAATTAGAATGGTGGCTTTCTGATCCCAAAGTCATTCGTTCTGAAAACAATATTTTTCATAAATTTGAAAGTGAGAAATTTTGATCTTGCCATTCCCAAGTAACTCTCTTAATCAGAGGCATCAGCATGCTTCAGTGACAGCTGTCACCTTCCACTGCTGAGAGCCGTCTTTGAGTTCTCCATTTCACTCCCTACACTCCAATTTAGCTGCAGTTCTCTTGGCCAGTCCTATGAAATACATCCATGGCCTAACGACTCCTCACCACTACTACCACTCATCCTGACAGCATTCTCACCTAAGTCACTACCTTTTTTCTTGGGATTATGGTAGCCTCCCAATTTATTTGCTCACATAACCTATTTATTCTACACAGTGCACCAGATACACCCCTTTGAAATGCAAACACAATCATGTTATTCTCTGGTGAAATTGTCTCATATATTCCTATCGCATTTAAAATTAATTCAGAATCATCCCATGATTATCAAAACCCTACATGCTCTTCCACAACATGGTTTACTTCCAAGATATCTCTTCAACTTTTTTTTCACTGTACTGAATTGGTGACTAATAGTCATATTTTTGTTTTTGCTCAAAAACTCTTGACTTGTGAATTTTTCAGTTTCTCCTTTATCCACAGGTAACTCTTTCCTCATAAGGCTAATTGCTTGCTTCAATGGCCTATTCAGAGAAAGGACATTTGGGAACTTTTCGAGGACAATGACAAAAAGGCAAATAGCCCAGGATAAAAAGTAGAAAGAAACCAACTGAAAAACTGCTCTGTGATGTGTCCATTCATCTTGCAGTGTTATACCTTTCTTGTAACACAGCAGTTTGGAAACACTTTTGTTGTAGAATGTGTGAAGGGATATTTGGGAGCGCCTTGATGCCTATGTGAAAAAGAAAATATCTTCAGATAAAAAGTAGAAAGAAGCTCTCTGAGAAACTGCTTTGTGATGTGTGCATTCACCTGACAAAGTTAAACCTTACTTTTGATTTAGCACTTTCAAAACACTGTTTTTCTGCATTCTGCGAATAGACATTTGGGAGATCATTGAGACCAATGGCAAAAAAGCAAATATCCAAGGATGAAAACTAGAAGGAAGCTATCTGAGAAACCACTTTGTGATGTGTGCATTCAACTCACAGAGTGAAACCTTTATTTTCATACAGCAGTTTGGAAACACTGTTTTTGTAGAATCTGCAAATTGATATTTGAGAGCACATTGAGGCCTAAGGGGTAAAAGTAAGTATCTTCAGATTAAAACTAGAAAGAAACTTTTTGAGAAACTGCTTTGTGATGTGTGTATTCATCTCGCAGACTGAAACCTTTCTTTTGATTCAGCAGTTTGGAAACACTGTTTTTGTCCATTCTGCAAATGAACATTTTGGAGCTCATTGAGGCCAATGGTGAAAAAGAGAATATCCCAGTGTAAAAATTAGAATGAAACTATCTGAGAAATGGTTTTGTGATGTGTGCATTCATCACACAAATTTAAACATTTCTTTTCATTCAGCAGTTTGGAAACTCTGATTTTGTAGATTCTCTGAAGGGCTATTTGGAAGTGCACTGAGATCTACTGTGAAAAAGAAAATATCTTTAGATAAAAACTAGAAAGAATCTTTCTGAGAAACTGCTTTGTGATGTGTGCATTCATCTCGAAATGTTAAAACTTTATTTAGATTCAGCAGTTTGAGAGCACTGTTTATGTCCATTCTGCGAATGGACATTTGAGAGCTCATTAAGGGCAAAGGCAAAAAAAAAAAAATCCCAGGATAAATACTAGAAGGAAGCTATCTGCAAAACCGCTTTGCTATGAGTGCATTCATCTGTCAGAGTTAAAACTTTGCTTTCATTCAGGGGTTTAAAACAGTGTTTTTGTCCATTTTGCAAATGGACATTTGGGAGCTCATTGTGGTCAATGGCAAAAAAGCAATTATCCCAGGATAAATACAAGAAACAAGGTATCTGAGAAACCGCTTTGTGATGTGTGCATTCATCTCACAGAGTTAAACCCTTCTTTTCATTCAGCAGTATAGAAACACTTTTCTTGTAGAATCTGCAAAGGGATATTTGGGAGTGCATTGAGGCCTATGGTGAAAAAGAAAATATCTTCAGATAAAAGCTAGAAAGAAGCTTTTGGAGAAGCTGCTTTGTGACGTGTGCATTCATCTCACAGAGTTAAACCTTTCTTTTGATTCCGGATTTTGGAAACACTGTGTTTGTCCATTCTGGAAATAGCCATTTTTGAGCTCATTGAGGCCAATGGTGAAAAATAAAATACCCCAGCATAAAAACTAGAAGGAAGCTATCTGAGAAACTGCTTTGTGATGTGTGCATTCATCTCACTGATTTAAACCCTTCTTTTATTCAGCAGTTTGGAAACACTGCTTTTGTTCTTCCTGTGAAAGGACATTTTGGAGCTCATTGGGGCCAATGGCAAAAAAGCGAATATCCCAGGATAAAAACAAGAGTGAAGCTGTCTGAGAAACCGCTTTTCGATGTGTGCATTCACCTGGCAGAGGTAAACTTTCCTTTTCAGTCAGCAGTTTGGGAATGCTGTTTTTGTAGAATCTGTGAAGGGATATTTGCGAGTGCATTGAGGCCTGTGGTGAAAAAGGAAATATCTTCAGATAAAAATTAGAAAGAAGTTTCCTGAGAAACTGCTTAAAGAGGTGTGCATTCCTCTCACAGGGTTAAACCTTTCCTTTGATTCAGCAGTTTGGAAACACTGTTTTTGTACATTCTGGGAATGGACATTAGGGAACTCACTGATGCCATTTGTGAAAAACTGTATACCCCAGGAAGAAAACTGGAAGGATATTATCTGAGAAACCCCTTTGTGAAGTCAGCATTCGTCTCTCAGAGTTAAATCTTTCTTTTCATTCAGGAGTTTGGAAACACTGTTTTTGTTGAATCTGCCAAGTAATATTAGGGTGTACGTTGAGGCCTAGGGTGAAAAAGAAAATATATTCAGATAAAAACGAAAAGAAGCTTTCTGAGAAACTGCTTTGTGATGTGTGCATTCATCTCACTGAGTGAAAACTTACTCTTGATTCAGCAGTTTGGAGACACTTTTTTGTGCATTCTGTGAATGGACATTTAGGAGCTCATTGAGTCCAAAGGTGAAAAAGTGAATATCTGAGGATAAAAACTACTACGAAGCTATTGTGAAACCGTTATGTGATGTCTGCATTTATCTCACGGAATTAAACCTTTCTTTTCATTCATCAGTTTGGAAACACTGTTTTTGTGGAAACTGCCAAGGAATATTAGGGAGTTCATTGAGGCTTAGGGTGAAAAAGAAAATATCTTCAAATAAAAACTAGAAAGATGGTTTCTGAGAAATTGCTTTGTTATATGTGCATTCATCTCACAGAGTTACACCTTTCTTTACCTTCAGCAGTTTGTAAACACTGTTGTTGTCCATTCTGACTACAGACATTTGGGAGGTCTTTGAGGCCAAAGGTGAAAAAGTGAACATAACAGGATAAAAATTAGGAGGAAGCTATCTGAGAAACTGCTCTGTGTTGTCTGCTTTTATCTCATAGAGTAAAACCTTTCTTTTCATTTGTCAGTTTTGAAATACGTTTTTCTGGAATCTGCCAAGTAATATTAGGTAGTGCATTGAGGTCTATGGTGAAAAAGAAAATATATTCAGATTAAAACTTGAAAGAAGCTGAGAAACTGCTTTGTGATGTGTGCATTCATCTCTCAGAGTTAAGCTTTTCTTTTGATTCAGCAGTTTGGAAACACTGTTTTTGTCCATTATGCGAGTGGACATTTGGGAGCTCTTTGAGGCCAATGGTGAAAAAGTGAATATCCCAGGATAAAAACTAGAAGGAAGCTATCTGAGAAACCACTTTATGATGTGTGCATTCATATCACAGAGTTAAATTCTTCTTTTCATTCAGCAGTTTGGAAAAATTTTTTGTTTGAATCTGCCAAGGTATATTTGGGAGTGTGTTGAGGACTATGTTGAAAAAGAAAATATGTTGAGATAAAAACTAGAAAGAAGCTTTCTGAGAAAATGCTTTGTCATGTGTACATTCCTCTCAGAGTTAAACCTTTCTTTTGATTCAGCAATTTGGAAACACTGTTTTTGTCCATTCTACAAATGGACATTTGGGAGCTTGATGAGGGCAAAGGCAAGAAAGCCAATATTGAAGGATAAAAACTAGAAGGAAGCTATCTGGAAAATATCTTTGTGATGTGTGCATTCATCTCACAGAGTTAAACCTTTCTTTTGATTCAATTGTTTGGAAACACTGTTTTTGTCCATTCTCTGAATGGACATTTTGAAACTCATTGAGGCCAATAGTGAAAAAGTGAATATCTCAGAATAAAAACTAGAAGGAAGTTATCTGAAAAACCACCTGGTTTGGTGTTCATTCAACTCTCAGAGTTATAACATACTTTTCATTCAGCAGTTCTGAAAAACTGATTTTGTAGAATCTGTGAAGGGATATTTGGGAGCGCATTGAGGCCTATGGTGAAAAAGAAAATGTCTTCAGATAAAAACAAGAAAGAAGCTTTCTGAGAAACTGCTTCATGAGGTGTGCTCTCATCTCAAACAGATAAACCTTTCTTTTGATTCAGCAGTTTGGAAACACTGTTTTTGCCCTTATGCGAATGGACACTTGCGAGCTCCTTGAGGCCAATGCCATAAAACTGAATATCACAGGACAAAAACTATAAGGAAGCTATCTGAGAAACTGCTTCGTGATGTGTACATTCACCTCATAGAGTTAAACGTTTATTTTCACTCAGCAGTTGCTAAACAAAGTTTGTGTAGAAACTGCAAAGGTATATTTGGGAGCACATAGAGGCCTATGGTGAAAATGAAAATGTCTTCAGATATAAATTATAAAGAACCTTTCTGAGAAACTGCTTTGTGATGTGTGCTTTTATTTCACAGAATTAAACCCTCCTCTTGACTCACCTGTTTGGAAACACTGTTTTTGTCTATTGTAAGAGTGGACATTTGGGAGCTCATTGTGGCCAATGGAGAAAAAGCAAATATCCCAAGATAAAAACTAGAAGGAAGCTATCTGAGAAACTGCTTTGTGATGTGGGCATTCATCTCACAGAGTTAAACCTTTCTTTTCATTCAGCATTTTGGAAACACTGTTTTGTAGGATCTGTGAAGGGACATTTTCGACCACATATAGGCCTATGTTGAAAAAAAATTTTTCAGATACTAACTAGAAAGTATGTTACTGAGAAACCAGTTTGTGACATGTGCATTTTCTCACAGAGTTAAACCCTTCTTTTCATTCAGTAGTTTGGAAACACTGTTTTTGTACATTCTGTGAATGGACATTTAGGAGCTCACTGAGGCCAATGGCAAAAAAGGAGTATCCCAGAAAAAAAACAGGAAGGAAGCTGTCTGAGAATCCACTTTGTGATGTGCATTCACCTCACAGAGTTAAACCTTTCTTTTCATTCAGCAGTTTGGAAACACTGTTTTTGTAGAATCTGCAAAGAGATATTTGGGAGGGCATTGAGAGCTAAGGCAAAAAAGCAAACATCCGAGGAAAAAAACTAGAAAGAAATTATCTGAGAAATGGCATTATGAAGTGTGCATTCATTTTACAGTGTTAAACCTTTATTTTCATTCAGTAGTTTGGAAATGCTGTTTTTGTCAAATCAGCAAAGGGATATTTTGGAGTGCATTGAGGCCAATGGTGAAAAAGAAAATATCTTCAGATAAAAAGTAGAAGGAAGCTTTCTGAGAAACTGCTTTTTGATATGTGCATTCATCTCACAGAGATAAACTTTCCATTGATGCAGCAGTTTGGAAACACCAGTTTGTCTTTTCTGTGAGTGGACATTTGGGAGATCATAGAGGCCACTGGAGAAAAAGCAAATATCCAGACACAAAAACTAGAAGGAAACTATCTGAGAAAATACTTTGTTACGTATGCATTCACCTCGAAAAGTTAAACCTTTTTTTCATTAAGCAGTTTGGAAACAATGATTTTGTAGAATATGTGAAGGCATATTTGGGAGAATTTTGAGACTATGGTGAAAAAGAAAATACAGATAAAAACTAGAAAGAAGCTTTCTGAGAAACTGCTTTGACAGGTGTACATTCCTCTCACAGCTAAACCTCTCTTTTGATAGAGTAGTTTGGAAACACTGTTTTTGTCCATTCTGTGAATGTACATTTGGAATCTCATTGAGACCAATTGTGAAAAAGTGAATATCCCTGGATAAAAACTAAAAAAAATCTATCTGAGAAACTGCTTTGTGATGTGTGCAATCATCTTGCAAAGTTAAATCTTTCTTTTAAATCAGCAGTTATCTGCAAATGGATATTTGGGAGCACTTTGAGGCCTATGGTGAAACAGAAATCATCTTCACATAAAAACTAGAAAGAAGCTTTCTGAGAAACTGCTTTGTGACGTGTGCATTCATCTTACAGACTTTACCTTTCCTTTTCATACAGCAGTTTGGAAACACTGTTTTTGTCCATTCTGGGAATGGAAATTTGCAAGCTCATTGAAGCCCGTGGTGGAAAAGCGAATATCCCAGGATATAAACTAGAAGGAAACTACCTGATAAATAACTTTGTGATGTGTACATTCAGGTCAGAGTTAAACCATACTTTTGATTCAGCAGTTTGGGAACACATTTTTTGTCCAATGTGCAAATGGACAATTGGGAGCTCATTGAGGAAAATGGAAAAAGGGGAATATCCCAGGTTAAAAACTACAAGAAAGCTATCTGAGAAACTATTTTGTCATGTGTGCATTCACCTCACAAAGTTAAACCTTTCTTTTCATTCAGCATTTTGGAAACACTGTGTTTGTACGATTGGTGAAGGGATATTTGAGAGTATGTTGCACCCTATGGTGAAAAAGAAAATATCTTCAGATAAAAACTAGAAGGAACCTTTCTGAGAAACCACTTTGTGATGTGTGCATTCGTCTCACAGAGTTAAACCTTTCTTTTGATTCAGCACTTTGGAAACACTGTTTTCATCCTTTCTATGAATGGTCATTTGGAAGCTCATTGAGGCCAGTGGTGAAAAAGCTAATATCCCAGGATAAAAACTAGAATAAATCTATCTGAGAAACCACATTGTGATGTGTGCATTTGTCCCACAGATTTAAACCTTTGTTTTTCATGCTGCAGTTTTGAAACACTGTTGTAGAATCTGTGCAGGACTATTTGTGTGTACATTGAGGCCTAAGGTGAAGAAGAAAATATCTTCAGATAAAAACTGGAAAGAAGCTTTCGGAGAAACTGCTTTGTGATGTGTGCATTCATCTCACAGAGTTAAAACTTTCTGTTGATTCAGCAGTTTGGAATAACTGTTTTTGTCAATTCTGCAAATGGACGTTTGGGAGCTCATTCAGGCCAAAAGCAAAAAAAAGTGAATATCCCAGAATAAAAATTAGAAGAAAGCTGTCTGAGAAACTGCATTGTGATGTGTGCATTCAACATGCAGCGTTAAACCTTTCTTTTCTTTGAGCAGTTTGGAAACGCTGTTTTAAAGAATCTGCGAAGGGATATTTGGGAGCCCATATAGACCTAGGTTGAAAATATCTTCAGATAGAAACTAGAAAGAAGCTTTCTGAGAAGCAGCATTTTGATGCATGCATTCATCTCACGGAGTTACCACTTTCTTTTGATTCAGTGGTTTCAAAACACAGTTTTTGTCCATTCTGCAAATTGACATTTGGGAGTTCGAGGCCAGTGGTGAAAAAGCATATCCTAGGATAAAAACTAGAAGGAAGCTGTCTCAGAAACGGTTTTTTGATGTGTGCATTCATCTCGCAGATTTAAACCTTTCTTTTCCTTCAGGAGTTTGGAAACACTGTTTTTGTCCATTCTGTGAATGAACATTTGGGAGCTCATGGAGGCCAATAGCAGAAAAGTGAATACCCCTGGATAAAAACAAGAAAGAAGATATCAGAGAAAAGGCATTGTGATGTGTGCCTTCATTTTGCAGAGATAAACCTTTCTTTTCATTCAGCATTTTAAAAACCCTATTTTTGAAGAATCAGGAAAGGGATATTTGGGAGCACATTGAGGCCTATGGTGAAAAGGAAAATATCTTCAGATAAAAATTAGAAAGAAGCTTTATGAGAAACTGCTTGGTGATGTGTGCATTCATCTCATAGAGTTTCACTTTCTTTCAGTTCAGCAGTTTAAAAATTCTGTTTTTGTCCATTCTGTGAATGGACATTTTGAATCTCATTGAAGCCAGTGGTGAAAAACTGAATATCTCAGGAAAAAAATTAGAATGAAGCTGTCTAAAAACCCACTTTGTGTTGTGTGCATTAACCTCAAAGAGTTAAACTTTTCTTTTCATTCAGCAGTTTGGAAACACTGTTTATGTAGAATATGCCAAAGAATATATGGGAGCATATTGAGGCCTATGTTGCAAAGGAAAATATCTTCAGATAAAAACTAGAAGGAAGCTATCTGAGAAACTGCTTTGTGATGTGTGCATTCATCTCACAGAGTTAAAACTTCCTTTTTACTGAGCAATTGGGAAACCCTGTTTTTGCCCATTCTTTGAATGGACATTTTGGAGATCTTTGAGGCCACTGGTGAAAAAACGAATATCCCAGGATAAAAAATAGAATGAAGCTATCTGAGAAACCCCTTTGTGGTGTGCACATTCATCTCACACAGATAAACCTTTCTTTTCATTCAGCAGTTTTGAAAGGCTGTTTTGTAGAATCTTCAAAGTGATACTTGGGAGGGCATACAGGCCTATGTTGAAAAAGAAAATATCTTCACACAACAAAAATAAAGAAAGTTTCTGAGAAACTCCTTTGTGATGTGTGTATTTGCCTCACAGATTTTAACTTTTCTTTTCATTCAGGAGTTTGGAAAAACTGTTTTTGAAGAATCTGCAAAGGGTTACTTGGGAGTGCATTGAGGCTATGGTGAAAAAGAGACTGTATTCATATAAATAGTAGAAAGAAGCTTTCTGAGAAACTGCTTTGTGATTTGTCCATTCAACTCACAGAGTTAGACATTTCTTTTGACTTAGCAATTTGTAACACTGTTTTTTTGTCCATTCTGTGAATGGGTATTTGAGAGCTCATTGAGGTCAATGGCAAAAAAAGCAAATATCCCAAGATAGAAATTAGAAGAAAACTATCTGAGAAACCACTTTGAGATGTGTGCATTCATCTCTCAGAGTTAAACTTTCTTTTCATTCAGCAGTTGGCAAACACTGTTTTTGTAAAACTTGCACAGGTATATTTGGGAGCCTATGATGAAAAAGAAAATACCTTTATGTAAAAACTAGAAAGAAGCTTTCTGAGAAACTGATTTTTGATGTGTGCCTTCATCTCACAGAGTTAAACCTTTCTTTTCATTCAGCATTATGGAAACACTGTTTATCTAGAATCTGTGAAGGGATATTTGGGAGCACATTGAGGCCTATGGTGAAAAAGAAAATATCTTCAGGTAAAAACTGGAACTAAACTTCCTGAGAAACTCCTCTGTGATGTGTGCATTCATCTCACAGAGTTAAACCATTCTCACTCAGCAGTTTAGAAACACTATTTTTGCATATTCTTTGAATGGACTTTTTGGAGCTTATTGAGGCTAATGACAAAAAAGCAAATATCCCTAAATAAAAAATTGAAGGAAGCTATCTGAGAAACCACATTGCAATGTTTGGATTCATCTCACAGAGTTAAACTTTCATTTTCATTCAGCTGTTTGGAAACACTGTTTTTGTAGTAACTGCAAAGGGACATTTGGGAGCACATTCAAGCCTATGGTGAAAAAGAAAATAAATTCAGATTAAAAACTAGAAAGAGGATTTCTGAGAAACTGCTTTCTGATGTGTGCACATAAATTGTCTTACAGAGTTAAACCTTTCATTTGATTCAGCAGTTTGGAAACACTGTTTTTCTCCATTCTGCAAATGGACATTTGGGTGCTCATGGAGGCCGATGGCAAATAAGAAAATATCCCCAGAAAAAACTAGAAGGAAACTATCTTAGAATCCTCTTTGTGATGTATGCAGTCATCTCACAAAATTAAACTTTTTTTCATTCAGCAGTTTGGAAACACCACTTTTTCCTTTCTGTCAATGGACATTTGGGAGCGCATTGAAGCCAATGGCAAAAAAGCACATATCAAAGGATACACACTAGAAGGAAGATGTCTGAGAAACCACTTTGAGATGTGTGCATTCATCTCAGAGAATTAAACCTTTCTGTTCTCTTTTTAAATTTTACTTTAAGATCTAGGGCACAAGTGCACAATGTGCAGGTTTGTTACATATGTATACATGTGCCATGTTGGTGTGTGCACCCGTTAAATCATCATTTATATTAAGTATATCTCCTAATGCTATCCCTGCCCCCTCCACCGTCCCCATGACAGGCCCTGGTGTGTGATGTTCCCCTTCCTGTGTCCAAGCGTTCTCATGGTTCAATTCGCACCTATGAGTGAGAACATGCAGTGTTTGGTTTTCTGTCCTTGTGATAGTTGGCTGAGAATGATGGTTTCTGCACGAGAATGGTGGAATCTGCACAGGGATATTTGGGGTTGCATTGAAGCCTACGTTGAAAAAAGTGAACATCCCAGAATGAAAACTAGAAGGAAGCTATCTGAGAAACCACTTTGTGATTGGTTCATTCATCTCACAGAATTAAACCATTATTTTCATTCAACAATTTGGAAACAATGCTTTTCTGGATCTGCAAAGGGCTATTTGGGAGAGCATTGAGTCCTATGGTGAAAAATAAAATATCTTCACATAAAAACAATAAAGAAGATTTCTGAGAAACTGCTTTGTCATGTGTGCATTCAACTCTCAGAAATAAAAATTTCTTTTGATTCAGCAGTTTGGAAATACTGTTTTTGTTCCTTCTGTGAATGGATATTTGGGAGCTTTTTGATGCCAATGGTGAAAAAGAAAATATCCCAGGATAAAAACTAGAAGGAAGCTATCTAGAAACCACCTTGTGATATGTGCATTCATCCCTCAGAGTTAAACCTTTCTTTTCAGTGAGCAGTTTTGAAACAGTATATTTTAGAATCTGCAAAGGGACTTTTAGGAGTGCATTGAGGACTATGGTGAAAAAAGAAATATCTTCAGATAAAAACCAGAAAGAAGCTTTCTGAGAAACTGCTTTGTTATGTATAAATTCCTCTCACACAGTTACACCTCTCTTTACATACAAAAATTTGTAAACACTGTTTTTGTCCATTTCTGTGAATGTATATTTGGGAGCTCATTGAGGCCAATGGAAAAAATGAATATGCTTGGATCAAAACTACAAGGAAGCTATCTCAGAAACTGCTTTGTGATGTCTGCATTAGTCTCACAGAGTGAAGCCATTCTTTTCATTCAGCAGTTTGGAAACACTGTTTCTGTAGAATCTGTGAAGGGATATTTGGGAGCGTATTGAGGCCTATGGTGAAAAAGAAAATATCTTCAGATGAAAACTAGAAAGAAGCTTTCTGAAAAACTGCTTTGGGAGGTGCGCATTCATCTCACAAATTTAAACCTTTCTTTTGATTCGGCAGTTTGGAAACTGTATTTCTCCGTTGGATAAATGGACATTTGGGAGCTCATTGAGGCCAATTGTGAAAAAGCAAATATCCCAGGATAAAATCTCGAAGGAAGCTGTCTGAGAATCTGCTTTGTCATGTGTACCTTCATCTCACAGAGTTAAACCTTTCTATTCTTTCAACAGTTGGAACACTATTTTTAAAAAGTCTGTGATGGGATATTTGGGAGTGCATTGAGACCTATTGTGAAAAAGAAAATGTCTTCAGAAAAAAACCAGAAAGAAGTTTTCTGAGAAACTGCTTTGTGATGTGTGCATTCCTCTCAGAGAGCTAAACCTTTCTTTTGATTCAGTAGTTTGGAAAAACTGATTTTGTCCATTCTGTGAATGGACATTTGGGAGATCATTGAAGCCAATGGTCAGAAATAAAATCTCCCATGATAAAAAATAGAAGGAAGCTATCTGAGAATCCACTTTGTCATGTGTGGATTCACCTCGCAGAGTTAAACCTTTCTATTCATTCAGCAGTTTGGAAACACTGTTTTTAAAGAATATGCAATTTGATATTTGGAAGCTCATTGAGGACTATGGTGAAAAAGAAAATATCTTCAGATAAAAACTAGAAGGAAGCTTTCTGAGAAACTGCTTTGTGAAGTTTGCATTCATCTCATAGAGTTAAACCATTCTTTTGATTCAGCAGTTTGGAAACACTCTTTTTGTCAATTCTGCATATGAACACTGGGATCTCGGTGAGGCCAATGGCAAAAAAGTGAACATTCCAGGAAAAAAACTAGAAGAAATATATCTGAGACACCGCTTCACAAAGGGTACGTTCATCCCACAGAGTTAAACCTTTTTTATTTTCCATTCAGCAGTTTGGAAACACTGTTTTTGTATAATCTGCAAAGGGATATTTGGGAGCACCTTGAGGTCTATGGTGAAAATAAAGTAAATTCAGATAAAAACTAGAAGAAGCTTTCTGAGAAACTGCTTTCTGATATGTGCATTCATCTCACAGAGTTAAACTTTCTTTGATTCAGCTGTTTTGAAACACTGTTTTTGTCCATTCTGTGAACGGACATTTGGGAGCTCATTGAGGCCAACATCAAAATATTGAATATCCCATGATAAAAACTACAATAAAGCAGTCTGAGAAACCGTTTTGTGATGTGTGCATTCATCTAACAGAGAAAAACCTTTCTTTTGATTCAGCTGTTTGGAAACACCGTGATTGTCCATTGTGCGAATGGATATCTGAGTGCTCATTCAGTCCAATAGCGAAAAAGCAATTATCCCAGGATAAATAGTGGAAGGAAGCTGTCTTAGAAACCACTTTGTGATGTGTCCATTCATCTCCCACAGTTAAACCTTTCTTTTGATACATCACTTTGGAAACACTGTTTTTGTACAATCTGGGAAGGGGTATTTTGGAGTGCGTTGAGGTCTATGGTGAAAAAGAAAATACGTTCAGTTGAAAACTAGAAAGAAGTTTTCTGAGAAACTGCTTTGTGAGGTGTGCATTCATCTCACAGTGTAAAACCTTTCTTTAGATTCAGCAGTTTGGAAACACTGTTTTTGTCCATTCTGCCAATGGACATTTGGGAGCACATTGAGGCCAATAGCAAAAAAGTGAGTATCCCACAGTAAAAACTAGAAGGAAGCAAACTGAGAAACCAGTTTGCGTTGTGTGCAAACTGCCTCCCACAGTTAAACTTTTCTTTTGATTCAGCAGTTGGAGACACTGTGTTTGTCCATTCTGTGAATGCACTTTTGGGAGCTCATTGAGGCCAATGGTGAAAAAAGCAAATATCCCAGGATGAAAACTGGAAGGAAGCTATCTGAGAAACTGCTTCATGATGTGTGCATTCATAAGTCAGTGTTAAACATTTCTTTACATTTAGCAGTTTGGAAACACTGTTTTTGTAGAATCTGTGTAAGGATATTTGGAAATGCATTGAGGTATATGGTGAAAAAGAACATATCTTCAAATAAACTTAGAAAGAAACTTTCTGAGAAACTGCTTTGTGACATGTGGATTTATCTCACAGAGTTAAAACTTTTTCTCATACAGCTCTTTTCAAACACTGTTTTTGTCCATTCTGCAAATGGACATTTGGGAGCTCATTGAGGACAATGGCGAAAAAGTGAATATCCCAGAATAAAAACAAGAAGGAAGCTGCCTTAGAAACCATAATGTGATGTGTGCATTCATCTCACATAGTTAAACCTTTCTTTTGATACAGCAGTTCAGAAACACTTTTTGTCCATTCTGCAAATGGACATTTGGGAGCTCTTTGAGGTCCATGGCAAAAAAGTGAATATCCAAGGTTAAAAACTGGAAGGAATCTATCTGAGAGCCTGCTTTATGATGTGAACATTCATCTTGCAGAGTTAAACTATTTTTGATTGAGCAGTTTGTAAACTCTGTTTTTGTCCATTCTGTGAATGAACACTTGGGAGCTCATTGAGGCCAATGGTGAAAAAGTTAATATCCCAGGATAAAAACCAGTAGGAAGATATCTGAGAAATAACTTAGTGATGTACACATTCGTTTGGCAGAATTAAACCTTTATATTTATTCAGTAGTTTGGAAGCACGGTTTTTGTAGAATCTGTGAAGGGATCTTAGGGAGCACATTCAGGCCTTCAGTGAAAAAGAAAATATATTCAGATAAAAACCAGAAAGAAGATTTCAGTGAAACAGCTTAGTGATGTGTGAATTCATCTCACAGAGTTAAAAAAATTCTATCATTCAGCAATTTGGAAACACTGTTTTTGTAGAACCTTCAAAGGGATATTTGGGAACACATTGAGGCCTATAGTGAAAAACAAAGTATATTCAGATGAAAATTAGAAAGAAGCTCTCTAAGAAACTGCTTTGTGATGTGTGCATTCATCTCACAGAGTTAAACTTTTCTTTTGATTCAGCAGTTTGGAAAAACTGTTATTGTCCATTTTGTGAATGGACATTTTGGAGCTCACTGATGTCAATGATGAAAAAGCAAATATCACAAGATAAAATCTAGAAAGAAGCTATCTGGAAACTGCTTTGTGATGTGTGCATTCACATCACAGAGACAAACGTTTCCTTTCATTCAGTAATTTGGAAACACTGTTTTTGTCCATTCTGGAAATGAACTATTGTAAGCTCATTGAGGCCAAAGGTGAAAAAGCGAATATTCCAGGATAAAACCTTGAAGGAAGCTATCTGAGAAACCACTTTGTGATGTGTGCATTCATCTCACAGAGTTAACCTTTCTATATGTTTAGCAGTTTCAAAACACTATTTTGTAGAATATGCAAAGGGATATGTGGGAGCGCATCAAAGCCTCTGGTGAAAAAAAAATCCTCAGAAAGGAACCAGAAAAAAGCTTTCTGAGAAACTGGTTTTTGATGTGGGTATTCATCTTAAAGAGTTAAACCTTTCTTTTGATTCAGCAGTTTGCAAGCACTGTTTTTCTCCTTTCCACGAATGGACATTTTGGGGCTCATTGAGGCCAATGGCGAAAAAGCAAATATCCCAGTATAAAAAGGAGAAGGACACAGATTTGTGATGTGTGAATTCATCTCACAGATTTAAATTTTCTTTTGAATCAGCAATTTGGAAACACTATTTTTGTAAAACCTGTGAAGGGATATTTGGAAGTGCATGGAGGCCTATGGTGAAAAAAACTATTTTCAGATAAAAACTAGAAAGAAACTTTCTGAGAAACTGCTTTTTGATATGTGCATTCATCTCACAGATTTAAAATTTTCTTTTGATTCAGCAGTTTGGAAACACTGTTTCTGTCCATTCTATGAAAGGACATTTGAAAGCTCATCAAGGCCAACAAAGACAAAGAGACTATCCCAGGAAAACAACTAGAAAGAAGCTATCTGAGAAACTGCTTTGTTATGTGTGCATTCATCTCACAGGTCTACATCTTTCTTTGGTTCAGCAGTTTGGAAACACTGTTTCCGTCCATTCTGCAAAAGGATATATGAAGGCTCATTGAGGCCAATGGTGAAAAAGCTAATATCCAAGGATAAAAACTGGAAGGAATCTATCTGAAAAAATGCTTTGTGATGTCTGCATTCATCTTGCAGAGTTAAACTTTTCTTTTGATTGAGTAGTTTGGAAACTCTGTTTTTGTCCATTCTGCAAGTGGACACTTAGAAACTCATTGAGGCCAATTGCAGAAAAGTGAATATCCCATTATAAAAGCTAGTATGAAGCTATCTGAAACACGGCTTTGTGATGTGTGCACTCATCTTGCAGAATTAAACTTGCCTTTTCATTCAGCAGTTTGGAAGCACTGTTTTTGTAGAATCTTCAAAGGTATATTTGGGAGTGCATTGAGGCCTACATTGAAAAAGAAAATATCTTCAGATAAAAACTGGAAGGAATATCCCAGGAAAAAACCTAGAAGAACCTATCTGAGAAACTGCTTTACAAAGTGTGCATTCATCTACCAGAATTAAATCTTTTTTTCATTCAACAATATGGAAACACTGCTTTTGTAGAATCTGTGAAGGGATATTTTGGAGTGTCTTGAAGTCTATGGTGAAAAAGAAAGTAAATTCAGATAAAAACTAGAAGAAGTTTTCAGATAAACTGCTTTCTGATGTGTGCATTCATTCCACAGAGTTAAATATTTATTTGATTCAGCAGTTTTGAAACACTGTTTTTGTCCATTCTGTGAATGGACATTTGGAAGCTTATTGAGGCCAATGTTGAAACAGCAAATATCCCAAGATTAAAACTACAATAAAGCAGTGTGAGAAACTGCTTGGTGATATGTGCATTCATCTAGCAGAGATAAATCTTTCTTTTTGATTCAGCTGTTTGGAAACACTGTGATTGTCAATTCTCTGAATGGACACTTGGTATGTCATTGAGGCCAATGGAGAACAAATGAATATCACAGGATAAAAACTAGTAGGAAAATATCTGAGAAAACCCTTTGTGATGTACGCATTCATCTGGCAAAATTAATCCTTTATTTCATTCAGCAGTTTGGAAGCACGGTTTTTGGAGAATCTGCAAAGGGATCTTAGGGAGCACATTCAGGCCTACAGTGGAAAAGAAAATATCTTCAGGTAAAAACTAGAAAGAAGGTTTTGGTGAAACAGCTTTGTGATGTGTGCTTTCATCTCACAGAGTTAACCATTTTATCATTCAGCAGTGTGGAAACACTGTGTTTGGAGAATCTTTGAGGTTATATTTGGGAGCACATTGAAGCTAATTGTGAAAAAGAAAGTATATTCAGGTAAAAACTAGAAAGAAGCTCTATAAGAAACTGCTTTGTGATGTTTGCATTCATCTCACGGAATTAAACTTTTCTTTTGATTCAGCACTTTGGAAACACTGTTTCTGTCCATTCTGCAAACGGACATTTTGGAGCTCATTGAGGCCAGTGTTGAAAAAGTAAATAACCCAGGATAAAATCTGGAATGAAGCTATCTGGAAACCGCTTTCTGGTGTGTGCATTCATCGCACAAAGATAAAATTGTTTTTTCATTCAGCAATTAGGAAACATTGTTTTTGTCCATTCTGTGAATGGACATTTGGGAGCTTATTGAGGCCAATGGCAAAAAGGTGAATTTTCCAGGATAAAAACTAGAAGGAAGCTATAGAAGAAACCACTTTGTGACGCGTGCATTTATCTCACAGAATTAACTTTCCTATACATTCAGCAGTTTGGAAACACTATTTTTGTAGAATCTACAAAGGGATATGTTGTACTGCATCGAAGGCTCTGGTGAAAAAAAAATATCCTCAGACAAAAACTAGAGAAAAGCTTTCTGAGAAACTGGTTTTTTAGGTTGGCATTTATCTCATAGAGTTAAGCCTTTCTTTTGATTCAGCAGTTTGCAAACACTGTTTTTGTCTATTCTGCAAATGGACATTTGGGAGCTCATTGAGGCCAATTGAGAAAAAGCAAATATTCCAGGATTAAAACTAGAAGGAAGCTCTCTGAGAAACTGCTTTGTGATGTGTGCATTCATCCCTTTTCATTCAGCTGCTTGGAAACACTGTGTTTTTAGAATCTGCAAAGGGATATTTGGGAGGGCAATGAGGCCTATGGTGAAAAAGAAAATATCTTCAGATAAAAACTAGAAAGAAGCATTCTGCTTTGTGTTGTGTGCATTAATCTCACAGAGTTAAACTTTTCCTTGATTCACCAGTTTGGAAACACTCTTTCAGTCCATTCCGTGAAGGGACGCTGGGGAGCTGATTGAGGCCAATGGCAAAAAGGCGAGTATCCCAGGACAAAAACAAGAAAGAAACTATCTGACAAACGGCTTTGTGATGTGTGCTTCATCTCACAGAGATAAACCATCCTCTCATTCAGCAGTCTGAAAACTCTATTTTTCTAGAATCTGCAAAGGGATATTTGGGAGTACATTTTGTCCTATTGTGAAAAAGAAAATATCTTCAGGTAAAAGCCAGAAAGAAGCTTTTTGTGAAACTGCTTTCTGATGTGTGCATTGATCTCATGGAGTGAAAACTTTCTTTTGATTCAGGAGTTTGGAAACACTGTTTCTGTCCATTCTGTGAATGGACTTTTGAAAAGTCATTGAGGTCAATCATGAAAAAGTGAATATCCCAGGATAAAAACAAAAGGAAGCTATCTGAGAAACCGCTTTGTGATATATGCATTCATCTCACAGAATTAAAATTTGCTTTTCCTTCATTAGTTTGGAAACACTGTTTTTGCAGAATCTGTGAAGGCAAATTTAGGAGCATGTTGAGGCCTATGGTGGAAAAGAAAGTAAATTCAGATAAAAACGAGAAAGAAGCTGTCTGAGAAACTGCTTTGTAATGTGTGCATTCGTTTCACAGTGTTGAACTTTTCTTTTAATTCACCAGTTTGGAAACACTGTTTTTGTCCATTCTGCAAATGGATATTTGGCAGCTCAGTGAGGCCAAAGGAGAAAGAGTGAATATCCCATGATAAAAACTACAATGAAGTTATCTGGGAGACTGCCCTGTGATATGTGCATTCATCTCTCATTGTTAAAGGTTTCTTTTGATTCAGCAGTTTGGAAACACTGTTTTTTTAGTATCTTTGAAAGGCTATGTGGGAGAGCATTGAGGCCTGTGGTGAAAACAAAATATCTTCAGATAAAAACTGGAAAGAAGCTTTCTGAGAAACTCCTTTTGATGTTTGCATTCATCTCACAGAGTTAAAACTTTCTTTTCATTCAGCAGTTTGGAAACACTCTTTTTCTCCATCCTGCTATTGGACATTTCAGAGCTCAATGAGGCCGATGGCAAAAAAGTGAATATCCCAGGACAAAAACAAGAAGAAAGCTATCTGAGAAACCGCTTTGTCACATGTGCATCCATTTAGCAGAGTTAAGCTTTTCTTTTGCATTCAGATGTTTGGAAATAATGTTTTTCTAGAATCTGTGATGGGATTTTTGTGAGCTCATTAAGGCCTATGGTGAAAAAGGGAATATCACAGAACAAAAACTAGAAGGAAGCTATCTGAGAAACTACTTTGTGATGTGTAAAACTGTCGTTTCATTCAGCACTTTGGAAACACTGTTTTTGTAGAATCTGAGAAGTGATATTTGGGAGTGCATTGGGGCATGTGGTGGAAAAGAAAATATCTTCAGATAAAAACTAGAAAGAAACTTTTTGAGAAACTACTTTGCAATGTGTGCATTCATCTCACAGAGGTAAAACCTTCTTTGGATTCAGCAATTTGGAAACACATTTTTTGTACATACTGTGAATGGATATTTGGGAGCTCTTTGAGGCCAATGTTGAAAAAGTAAATATTCCTAGATAAAAATTAGCAGGAAGGTAACTGAGAAATAACTTTGTGATAGGTGCATTCATGTCACAGACTTAAAACTTACTTTTGAGTCAGCCTTTTGGAAAAAGAGTTTATGTCCATTCTGAGAATGGAAATTTGCATGCCCATTGAGGCCATTGCAAAAAACTGAATATCCCAGGATAAAAAGTAGAATTAACCTATCTGGAAACCGCTTTGTGATGTATGCATTCACCTGGCAGTGTTAAAACATTCTTTTGATTTAGCAGTTTGGAAACACTGTTTTCATTCATTCTGTGAATGGACATTTGGTTGCTCATTGATGCCAATTTCAAAAAAGTGAATAACCCAAAACAGAAACAACAAAGAAGCTATCTGAGAACCCACTTTGTGATGTGTGTATTCATCTCACAGTTAAACCTTTCTTTTCATTTAGAAGTTTGAAAACATTGTTTTTGTAGAATCTGCGAAGTGATAATTTGCAGTGCATTGAGGCCTGTGGTGAAAAAGGAAATATCTTCAGAAAGAAGCTTTCTGAGAAACTGCTTTTTGATGTGTGCATTTATCTCACAGAGTTAAACCTTTCTTTTGATTCAGCAGTTTGGAAACTGATGCCTATATTGAAAAGAATATGTTTACATAAAAACTGGAAAGAAACTTTCTGAGCAACTACTTTGTGACGTATGAATGAGGTATGAATTCATCTCACAGAATTAAACCTTTCTTTTGATTTAATAGTATTGAAACACTGTTTTTGCCAATTCTGCAAAAGCAGATTTTGGAGCTCATTGAGGGCAATGATGAAAAAGTGGATATAACAGCATAAAAACTAGAAGGAAGCCATGTGAGACACAGCTTTGGGCTGCATGCATTCATATCCCAGAGATAAAACTGTCTTTCATTAAGTAGTTTGGAAACACTGTTTTTGTAGAAACTGTGAAGAGATATTTAGGAGCACAATGAGATCTATGGTAAAAAAGAAAATATCTTCAGATAAGAATTAGAAAGTAGTTTTATAAGAAACTGCTTTATGATGTGTTCATTCATCTTACAGAGTTCAACCTTTCTTTTGATTCACTAGTTTGGAAACACTTTTTGTCCATTCTGAAAATAAACATTTGTAGTCTCCCTGAGGCCAAAGGTGAAAAAGGAAACATCCCAGAATAAAAACTAGAAGGAAGCAATCCTACAAACTGCTCTGTGATGTGTGCATTGATTACAGAGAGTTAAACCTCTCTTTGGATTAAGCAGTCCGGAAACACTGTTTTTGTCCATTCTGCTAATGTACATTTGGGAGCTCGTTGAGGACAGTGGTGAAAAAGGAATAACCCCGGATGACAATTAGGAGGAAGCTATCTGAGAAACTGCTTTGTGATGGATGTGGGCATTCATCTCACAGAGTTAAACCTTTCTTTTCATTCAGCAGTTGGAAACACTGTTTTTGTCCATTCTGTGAATGGACATTTGGGAGCTCATGGAGGCCAAAGTTAAGTAGCAAATGTTCCCTGATAAAACTGGAAGGAACCTATATGAGAAACTGCTTCGGTTATGTGCATACCTCACACAGAATTAAACCTTATTGAGGAGTTTGGAAACACTGTTTTGCAGAATCTGCAAAGGGATATTTTGCAGTGCATTGAGGCCTGTGGTGAAAAAGGAAACACCTTCAGATAAAAACTAGAAAGAAGCTTTCTGAGAAACTGCATTTTTATGTGTGCATTTATCTCACAGTGTTAAACATTTCTTTTGATTCAGCATTTTGGAAACACTGTTTTTTTTTTTTTTTTTACATTCTGTGAATGGACGTTTTAGGACTCATTGAGGCCAATAGCGAAAAAGTGAATATCCGTGGCTATTCACTAGAAGGAAGCTATCTGAGAAACTGCTTTGTGATGTGTGCATTCACCTCACAGAGTTAAACCTTTGTTTTGATTCTGCTGTTTGGTAACACTGTTTTTGTAGAAACTGCAAAGGAATATTTGGATGTGCATTGAAGTCTATGGTGAAAATGAAAATATCTTCAGATAAAATCTAGAAAGAAGCTTTCTGAGAAACTGCTTTGTAATGTGTGCATTTATCTCATGAAGTTAATATTTTCTTTTGATTCAATAGTTTGGAAACACTGTTTATTTCCATTCTGTGAATGGATGGAGCTCATTGAGTCAAATGGCAAAAATGGGAATATCCCAGGATAAAAACTACAAGGAAGCTAACGGTGAAACCACTTTTTGATGTGTGCATTCATCTCGCAGATTTAAACCTTTATTTCTTTCAGAAGTTAGGAAATACTGTTTTTGTAGAATCTGCAAAGGGATATTTGGGATCCTGCTGAGGCCTATTTTGAAAAAGAAAATAACCTCAGATGAAAACTAAAAAGAAGCATTGTGAAACTGCTTTGAGATGTGTGCATTCATCTGACAGAGTTAATCCATTCTTTTCACTCAGAAGTTTGGAAACAGTGTTTTTGTAGAATGTGTGAGAGTATATTTTGAAGTGCATTGAGGCGTATGGTGGAAAAGGAAATATCTTAAGATAAGAACAAGACAGAAGCTTTCTGAGAAACTGCTTTTTGATATGTGCATTCATCTCACAGAGTTGAACATTTGTTTTGATTTAGCAATTTGGAAACCCTCTTTTTGTCCATTCTATGAATGGAAATTTGGGAACTCATTGAAAACAATGGGGAAAGTGAATATCCCAGGGTAAATATAGAATAAGAATATCTGAGAAACTGCTTTGTGATGGATGTGGGCATTCATCTCACAGAGTTAAACCTTTCTTTTCATTCAGCAGTTGGAAACAGTGTTTTTGTCCATTCTGTGAATGGACATTTGGGAGTTCATGGAGGCCAAAGGTTAAGTAGCAAATGTTCCCTGATAAAACTGGAAGGAACCTATATGAGAAACTGCTTTGGTTATGTGCATACATCACACAGAATTAAACCTTATTTTCTTTCAGCAATATGGAAACACTGTTTTTGTGGAATCTGCAAGGGGATATTTTAGAGCATATTAAGGCATATGGTGAAAAATAAAATATCTTCAGATAAAAAGTAGAAAAAAGCTTTCTGAGAAGCTGCTTTGTTATGTGCGCTTTCAACACACAGAGTTAAACCTTTCTTTTGATTCAGCAATTTGGAAACACCATTTTTATCTATTTGGAGAATGGACATTTAGGAACTCTTTGCAGCCAATGGCGAAAAAGTGAATATCCCAGGATAAAAACTACAAGAAAGTTTTCTGAGAACCAGCTTTGTGATGTGAGCATTCATCTCACAAAGTTAAACCTTTCTTTTGATTCAGCAGTTTGGAAACACCGTTTTTATCTATTCAGAGAATGGACATTTCAGATCTCTTTGAACCCCAAAGTGAAAAAGCGAATCTCCCATGATAAAAAACAGAAGGAATCTATCTGATAAACTGCCTTGTGATGTGTACATTCACCTCAAAGAGTTAAACTTTTCATTCAGCAGTTTGGAAAAACTGTTTTGGTAGAATCTGCAAAGGTGTACTTGGGAGTGCATTGGGGCCAAACTAGAAGTTTCCTTTTAGTTTTTATCTGATGATACTTTCTTTTTCACCAGAGGTCTCAATGTGCTCCCACCTATCCCTTCGCAGAGACTACAAAAACAGTGATTCCAAACTGCTGAATGAAAATAAAGGTTTCAGTCTGTGGGATGAATGCACATATCACAAAGCCATTTCTCATATAGCTTCTTTCTAGTTTTCATCCTGGGATATTCACTTTTTCACCTTTGGCATCAATATGCTCCCAAATATCCCTCTGCAGACACTACTAGAAGGAAGATAGCTTCCTTCTAGTTTTTATCCTGGGATATTCCCTTTTTCTCCATTGCTCTCAATGAGCTCCCAAATGTCCAATCACAGAATGGGCAACAACAGTGTTTCCAAACTGCTGAACGAAAAGAAAAGAAAGTTTTAACTCTGCAAGATGAATATACACATCAGAAAGCGGTTTCTCATATAGCTTCCTCTCAGTTTTAATCCTGAGACATTCACCTTATCACCATTGGCCTCACAGTGCCCCCAAATATCCATTCGCAGAATGGACTGAAACAGTGTTCCAAGGTGCTGAATCATAAGACAATTTTAACTCTGTGACATGAATGCATACATCTCAAAGCACTTTCTCAGAAAGATACATTCTAGTTATTACCTGAAGACATTTTCTTTGCCATAATAGGCCTCAGTCAGCTGTGAAATGTCAATTCGCAGATTCTACCAAAAAATGTTTTCCAACTGCTGCATGAAAATAAAGATTTAACTCCTCAATTGAATGCACACATCACAAAGCGGTTTCTCAGATAGCTTCTTTCTAGTTTTTATGCTGGGATATTTGCTTTTTAGCCATTCACCTCAATCATCCCTCAAATGTCCATTCACAAAATGGACAAAAAAACCGTTTCCAAAGTGCTAAATGAAAAGAAAAGTTTAACTCTGTGAGATGAATGCACATATCACAAAGCGGTTTCTTGGATAGCTTATTTCTAATTTTTATCCTTGGGTATTTGCTTTTTCAACATTGGACTCAGTGAGCTCCCAAAGGTCCATTCACAGAATGGACAGAACACTTTTTCCAAACTGCCAAGTGAAAAGAACTGTTTGACACTGCAAGATGAATGCACACATCACAAAGAGTTTCCTCAGATAACTTCTCTCTAATTTCCTTTTTTGCCATAGGCCTCAATGAGCTCCCAAATATCCCTTTGCAGATGCTACAAAAAAAGTGTTTCTAAACTACTGAATGACAAGAAAGGTTTCACTTTGTGGGATGAATGCACACACCACAAAGCGGTTTCACAGATGGATTCCTTCTACTTTTTATCTTGGGATTTTCAAGTTTTTCCTTTTGGCCCCAGTGAGATCCCAAATGTCCACTCACAGAATGGACAAAAGCAGTGTTTCCACACTGCCGAGTCAAAGGAATGCTTTAACTAAGTGAGATAAATGCACACATCACAAAGGAGTATCTCAGAAAGTTTCCTTCTACTTTTTATGTGAAGATATTTTCTTTTTCACAATAGGCTTCAATGTGCACCCAAATATCCATTTGCAGTTTCCTCAAAAACAGTGTTTCTAAACTGCTGAATGAAAAGTATGGCTTTACTCTGTGAGATGAAAGCACAAGTCACAAAACGGTTTCTCAGATAGCTTCTTCTAGTTTTTATAATAGGATATTCACTTTTTTGCCTTGGGCCTCAAATAGCTCCAAAATGTCCACTCACAGAGTGGACAAAAAGAGTGTTTTCAAACTGCTAAATAAAAAGAAATGTTTATCTCTGTGAAGTGAATGCAAACATCACCAAGCAGTTTCTCAGAAAACTTCTTTCTCGTTTTTATCTGAAGATATTTTCTTTTTCACCATAGGCCTCATTAGGCTCCCAAATATCCCTTCGCAGATTCTACAAAAAGAGTGTTTCCAAACTGCTGGATAAAAAAAAAGTTTAACTCTGTGAGATGAATGCACACATCACAAAGCGGTTTTTCAGATAATTTCTTTTAGTTTTTATCCTGGGTTATTTGCTTTTTCACCATTCGCCTCAATGAGCTCCCAAATATTCACTCACAGAATGGACAAAAACAGTTTTTCCAAACTCCTAAATGAAAAGAAAGGTTTAACTCTGCAAGGTGAATGCACATATCACAAAGCAGTATCTCAGATAACTTTCTTTGCATTATTATCCTGGGAGAGTCGCTTTTTTGCCTTTGGCCTCAATGAACTCCCAAATGTCCATTCAGAGTAGACAATCACAGTCTTTCCAAACTGCTGAATCAAAAGAAAGGTTTAATGCTCTGAAATGAATGCACTCATCATGAAGTGGTTTCTCAGACTGCTTCCTTCTGGTTTTTATCCTGGGATGTTCACTCTTTCACCCTTGGCCTCAATGAGCTCCCAAATGTCCATTTGCAGAATGGACAAAAACAGTGATTCCAAACTGCTGAATCAAAAGAAAGGTTTAACTCTGTGGGATGAAGGCAAACATCACAAAAAGTTTCTCAGATAGCTTCCTTCTAGTTTTTATCCTGGGATATACCCCTTTTCACCATGGGACTTAATGAGTTCCAAAATGTCCATTCACAGAATGGACTAAAACAGGGTTTCCAAATTGGTGAGTCAAGAGTAAGGTTTAACTCTGTGAGATGAATGCACACATCACAAAGCAGTTTCTCAGAAAGATTCTTTCTAGTTTTTATCTGAAGTTATTTTCTTTGTCAATATAGGCATCAATGCGCTCCCAAGTATCCCTTTACTATTCTAAAAAAACAGTGTTTCCAAATTGCTGAAGAAAAAGAAGGGTTTAATTCTGGTGATGAATGCACACTTCTTAAAGTGGTTCCTCAGATAGCTTCCTTCTAGTTTTTATCCTGTGATATTCGCTTTTTCACCATTGGCCTCAATGAGCTCCATAATGTCCTTTCACAGAATGGGCAAGAACAATGTTTCCAAACTGCTGCATCAAAAGAATGGTTTAACGCTGTGAGATGAATGCACACATCACAAAGAAGTTTCTCAGAAAGCTTCTTTCTAGTTTTTATCTGAAGACATTTTCTTTTTCAGCATAGGCCTCAATTTGCTCCAAAATATCTCTTCCCAGGTTATCCAAAAACAGTGTTTGCAAACTGATGAATGAAAAGAAAGTTTTAACTCTGTGAGATGAATGCACACATCACAAACCGGTTTCTAAGATAGCTATCCTCCAGTTTATATCTTGAGATATCGACTTTTCCGCCATTGTCCTCAATGAGCTCCTGAATACCACTTCAGAGATTCTACAAAAAAAGTGTTTCTAAACTGCTGAATGAAAAGTTATGTTTCACTCTGTGATATCAATGCACACATCACAAAGCAGAGTCTCAGATAGCTTCCTTCTAGTTTTTATCCTGCAGTATTCCCTTTTTCAGCATAGGCCTCAATGAGCTCAGAAGTGTCCATTCACAGAATGGACAAAACAGTGTTTCCAAACTGCTAAATCAAAAGGAAGGTTTAACTCAGTGAGATGAATGTACACATCACAAAGCACTTTCTCAGAAAGCTTCTTTCTGGTTTTTATCTGAGCTTATTTTTTTTCACCATAGGCCTCAATGTGCCCCGAAATATCCCTTCTCAGATTCTAAAAAAGAGTGTTTCAACACTGCTGAAAGAAATGAAAGATTTAACTCTGTGAGATGAATGAACAGAACACAACGTGGTTTCTCAGATAGCTTCCTTCTAGTTTTTACACTGGGATATTCTCTTTTGCACCATTGGTCTCAATGAGTTCCCAAATGTGCATTCACAGAATGGGCAAAAACAGGGTTTCCAAACTGCTGAATCACAAGAAAGATTTAACTATATGAGATCCATGCACACATCACAAAGCAGTTTCTCAGAATGCTTCTTTCTATTTTTTATCTGTAGCTATTTTCTTTTTCACCATAGGCTTCACTGTGATCCCAAATATCCCTTCACAGATTCTATAAAAACAGCGTTTCCAATCTGCTGAATGAAAAGAAAGATTTAACTCTGCAGGATCAATGCACACATCACAGAGTGGAGTTTCAGATAGCTTCCTTCCAGTTTTTATCCTGGGGCATTCGCTTTTTCACCATAGGCTTCAATGAGCTCAAAAATGTCCATTCACAGAATGGACAAAACAGTGTTTCCAAACTGCTAAATCAAAAGAAAGGTTTAACTCAGTGAGACGAATGTACACATCACAAAACACTTTCTCAGAAAGCTTCTTTCTCGTTTTTATCTGAGCATATTTCCTTTTCACCATAGGCCTCAATGTGCCCCCAAATATCCCCTCTCAGATTCTAAAAAAGAGTGTTTCAACACTGCTGAAAGAAATGGAAGATTTTGAATGAACAGACCACAACGTGGTTTCTCAGATACCTTCCTTCTAGTTTTTACACTGGGATATTCCCTTTTGCACCATTGGTCTCAATGAGCTCCCAAATGTGCACTCACAAAATGGGCAAAAACAGTGTTTCCAAACTGCTGAATCACAAGAAAGATTTAACTATATGAGATCTATTAATACAGCACAAAGCAGTTTCTCAGGACGCTTCTTTCTATTCTTTATCTGTAGCTATTTTCTTTTTCACCATAGGCTTCACTGTGATCCCAAATATCCCTTCGCAATTCTATAAAAACAGCATTTCCAATCTGCTGAATGAAAAGAAAGATTTAACTCTGCAGGATCAATGCACACATCACAGAGCGGAGTCTCAGATAGCTTCCTTCCAGTTTTTATCCTGGGGTATTTGCTTTTTCACCGTAGTCTTCAATGAGCTCACAAATGTCCATTTGCAGAATGGACAAAACAGTGTTTCCAAACTGCTAAATCAAAAGGAAGGTTTAACTCAGTGAGACGAATGTACACATCACAAAACACTTTCTCAGAAAGCTTCTTTCTCGTTTTTATCTGATCATATTTCCTTTTCACCATAGGCCTCAATGTGCCCCCAAATATCCCTTCTCAGATTCTAAAAAAGAGTGTTTCAACACTGCTGAAAGAAAAGAAAGATTTAACTCTGTGAGATGAATGAACAGAACACAACGTGGTTTCTCAGATAGCTTTCTTCTAGTTTTTATCCTGGGATATTCCCTTTTGCACTATTGGTCTCAATGAGCTCCCAAATGTCCATTTGCATAATGGGCAAAAACAGTGTTTCCAAACTGCTGAATCAAAAGAAAGATTTAACTATGTGAGATCTATGCACACATCACAAAGCAGTTTCTTAGAACGCTTCTTTCTGGATTTTATCTATAGATATTTTCTTTTTCACCATAGGCCTCACTGTGATCCCAAATATCCCTTCACAGATTCTATAAAAACAGCGTTTCCAATCTGCTGAATGAAAAGAAAGGTTTAACACTGCAGGATCAATGCACCCATCGCAGAGTAGTTTCTCAGATATCTTCCTTCTAGTTTTTATCCTGGGATATTAGCTTTTTCACCACTGACCTCAATGAGCTCCCAAATGTCCATTTGCAGAATGGACCAAAACAGTGTTTCTAAACTGCTGAATCAAAACAAAGTTTTAGCTTTGTGAGATGAATGCACACATCACAAAGCAGTTTCTCAGAAAGCTTCTTTCTAGTTTTTATCTGAAGATATTTTCCTTTTCACCATAGGCCTCAATGAGCTCCAAAATATCCCTTTGCAGATTCTACAAAACCGTGTTTCCAAACTGCTGAATGAAAAGAAACGTTTAAGTCATGAGACAAATGCACTTATCACAAATCGGTTTCTCAGATAGCATTCTTTTCATTTTTATCCTTGGATATTTTCTCTTTGGCAATTGGCCTCAATGATCTCATAAATGTCCATTCACAAAATGGACAAAAACACTGTTTCCAAACTGCTGAATGAAAAGAAAATTTTAACTCTGTGAGATGAATGCACAAATCACAGAGCAGTTTCTCAGGTAGATTCCTTCACGTTTTTCCTGTTATATTCACTTTTACACTATTGGCCACAAAGAGCTCCTGAAAGTCCATTCACAGAATGCACAAAAGCAGTGTTTCCAAAATACTGAATCAAAAGAATGATTTAGCTCTGTAAGACGAATGCACACAGCACAAAGCTGTTTCTCAGAAAGGTTCCTTTTGGCTTTTATCCTAGGTTATTCACTTTTTTGCCATTTGCCTCAATGAGCTGCCAAATGTCCATTTGCAGAATGGACAAAAACTCTGTTTCCATACTCTGAATGAAAACAAAGTTTAACACTATGACAAGATGAAGTCTCAATTAGCTCCCAAATATCCATTTGAAGAATGGGGAAAAAAAATTTTTTCCAAACTCCTGAATCAAAAGGAAGGTTTAACTCTGTTAGATGAACACACACATCAGAAAGCATTTTCTAAGAAAGCTTCATTCTAGTTTCTGTGTGAAGATATTTTCTTTTTAACCAGAGGCATTGATGATCTCCCAAATATCCCTTCACAGATTCTACAAAAACAGTGTTTCCAAGTTGCTGAATGAAAATAAAGGTTTAACTCTGCGAGCTGAATGCACACATCACAAAGCAGTTTCTCAGATAGCATCCTTCTAGTTTATCCTGGGATATATGCTTTTTCACCATTGGCCTGAATGGGCTCGAAAATGTCCATTTGCAGAATGGACAAAAACAGTGTTTCCAAATGGTTTAATGAAAAGAAATGTTTATCTGTTTGCGATGAATGCACTCATCACAAAGCTGTTTCTCAGGTGGCTTCACTCTGGTTTTTATCCTGGGATACTTGCTTTTCCTCCACTGGCCTCATTGTGCTCCAAATATTCCTTCCCAGATTCTACAAAAACACTGTTTCCACACTGCTGAATGAAAGGAAAGGTTTAACACTACGAGATGAATGCACACATTGAAAAGCGGTTTCTCAGATAGATTCCTTTTAGTTTTTATCCTGGGATATTCGATTTTTCTCCATTGGCTTTGATGAGCTCCCAAATGTCCATTTGCAGAATTTACAAAAAAAGTGTTTCCAAACTGCTGAATCAAAAGAAATGTTTCTCTGTGAGATGAAATTACATATCAGAAAGCAGTTCCTCAGAAATCTTCCTTCTAATTTTTATCTGAGGATATTTTTCTTTTCACCATAAGCCTCAATGTGCTCCCAAGTATCCCTTCACAAATTCTTCACAAACAGTGTTTCCAAACTGCTAATGGAAAAGAATACTTAAACTCTGCAATATGAATGCACACATCCCAAAGCAGTTTCTCATAGCTTCCTTCTGGGTTTTTACTTTTGGATATTCTCTTTTCTGCAATTGGTCTCAATGAGCTCCCAAAATCCATTCGCAGAATGGACAAAAACAGTGTTTCCAAACTGCTGAATGAAAAGAAATGTTTACCTCTGCGAGATGAATGCACACATCAGAAAGCAGTTTCTCAGATAGCTTCCTTCTAGTTTTTATCCTGGGATATACACTTTTTCACCTTTGGCCTAAATGATCTCCCACATCTCCATTCACTGAATGGAAAAAAAAACAGTGTTTGCAAACTGCTGAATCAAAAGAAAGTTTAAACTCTGCGAGATCATTGCACACATCACAAAGCAGTATCTCAGAAAGCTTTATTGTAGTTTTCTTCTGAAGATATTTTGTTTTTCACCTTAGACCTCAATGCCCTCCCAAATATGCCTTTGTAGGTTCTAAAAAAAGTGTTTCCAAACTGCTAAATGAAAAGAAAGCATTGACTCTATGAGACCATCAAAAAGCGGTTTCTCAGATAGCTTCATTCTGGTTTTTATCCTGGGATATGCACTCTTTTGCCATTGGTCTCAGAGCTCCCTAATATGCATTCGCAGAAGAGACAAAAATAGTGTTTCCAAACTGCTGAATCAAAAGAAAGGTTTAACTCTATGAGTTGAAGGAACCCATCACAAAGCAGTTTTTCTGAAAGCTTCTTTCTAGATTTAATCTGAAGATAATTTTTTTACCATAGGCCCCATTATGCTCCTAAATACCCCTTAGCAGATTTTATAAAAACAGTTTTTCCAAACTAATGAATGAAAATAAAGGATTAACTCTATGAGAAGAAGGCAGACATCACAAAGCAATTTCTCAGGTCGCTTCCTTCTAGTTTTTATCCTGCAATATTTGCTTTTTCAGCATTGGCCTAAATGAGCTCCCAAATGTATGTTCCCAGAATATGCAAAAACAGTATTTACAAACTGCCAAATCAAAAGGAAAATTTATCTGTGTGCAATGAATGCACATATCACAAAGCTATTTCTCAGGTAGCTTAGTTCTGGTTTTTATCCTGGGATATTCACTTTTCCTCCATTGGCCTCAATGAGCTCCCAAATGTCCATTCACAGAAGGGACAAAAACACGGTTTCCAAACTGCTGAATCAAAAAAAAGGTTTAACTCTGTGAGATGAAGGAACTTATCACAAATCAGTTTCTCAGAAGGCTTCTTTCTAGTTTAAATCTGAAGATATTTTCTTTTTCACCATGGGACCAAATGTGCTCCCAATTACCCCTTCACAGATTCTACAAAAACAGTGTTTCCAAACTGCTGAATGAAAAGAAAAGATTACCTCTACAAGATGAAGGCAGACATCACAAAGCTTTTTCTCAGATGGCTTTCTTCTAGTTTTTACCCTGGGATATTCACTTTTTCACCATTGGCCTCAATGAGCTGCCAAATGTACATTCACAAAATGGAGAAAAGCAGTGTTCCCAATTGCTGAATCAAAAGAAAAGTTTAACTGTGTGAGATGAAGGAACACATCACAAAGCAGTTTCTCACAAAGCTTCTTTCTAGTTTTATGCTGACGATATTTTCTTTTTCACCAGAGGCTCCAATGCCCTCCCCCAAATATCTCTTCACAGATTCATCAAAAATAGTGTTTCCAAACTGCTGAAGGAAAAGAATGGTTTAACTCCACGAGATGAATGCAAACATCTCAAAGCAATTTCTCATAGCTTCCTTCTGGGTTTTTATTTTTGGATATTCGCTTTTTTACTATTGGCCTCAATGAGCTCAAAAATCAATTCACAGAATGGACAAACACAGTGTTTCCAAACTGCTGAATGAAAAGAAACATTTTTCTCAGAGAGATGAATGAGCATATGACAAAGTGGTTTCTCCAATAGCTTCTTTCCAGTTCTTACCCTGGTATATTCTTTTTTTCACCATTGGCCTCAAAGAGCTCCCAAATGTCCATTCATATAATGGACAAAAACAGGGTTTCCAAACTGCTGAATCAAAAGAATGGTTTAACTCTGTGAGATGCATGCACAAATCCCAAAGCAGTTTCTCAGAAAGATTCTTTCTAATTTTTATCTGAAGATATTTCCTTTTTCATCATTAGCCTCAATCTGATCCAAAAGATTGCTTCTCAGATTCTACAAAAACAGCATATCCACAGTGCCGAATCAAAAAAAAATGAAACCTGCAAGATGAATGCACATATCACAAGGCAGTTTCTCAGATAAATTCCTTCTAGTTTTTATCCTGGTATATTAGCTTTTTCATCTTTGGCGTCAACGGGCTCCCAAATCTCCTTTCACAGAATTGACAAATACGTCTTTCCAAACAGCTGAATGAAAAGAAAGATTTAACTCTATGAGATGAATGCACATATCACAAAGTGGTTTCTCACATAGCTTCCTTTTAGTTTTTATCCTGGGATATTTGCTTTTTTGCCACTGGCCTAGATGAGCTGCCAAATGTCCATTTGCAGAATGGACAAAAACAGTGTTTCCAAACTGCTGAATCAAAAGAATGGTTTAACTCTGTGAGATGCATGCACAAATCACAAAGCAGTTTCTCACAAAGATTCTTTCTAATTTTTATCTGAAGATATTTCCTTTTTCATCATTGGCCTCAATCCAATCCAAAAGATTGCTTCTTAAATTCTACAAAAACAGCATTTCCACACTGCTGAATCCAAAAAAAAAAAAAGAACCCTGTGTGATGAATGCACACATCACAAGGCAGTTTCTCAGATAGTTTCCTTCTAGTTTTTATCCTGGTATATTAGCTTTCTCATCTTTGGCCTCAATGGGCTCCCAAATCTCCTTTCACAAAATTGACAAATCCATCTTTACAAACTGCTGAATGAAAAGAAAGATTTAACTCTATGAGATGAATGCACATATCACTAAGCTGTTTCTCACGTAGCTTCCTTCTAGTTTTTATCCTGGGATATTCGCTTTCTCACCACTGGCCTAGATGAGCTCCCAAATGTCCATTCACAGAAAGGACAAAAACAGTGTTGACAAACTGCTGAATCAAAAAAAATTTTAACTCTGTGAGATGAAGGCACACATCACAACGCAGTTTCTCAGAAAGCTTCTTTCTATTTTTTATCTAAAGATATTTTCTTTTTAAGCATAGGCCACAACATTACCCAATTATTGCTTCACAGATTCTACAAAAACAGTGTTTCCAAACTGCTGAACAAAAAGAAAGGTTTAATTATGAGTGATTAATGCACACATCACAAAAAGATTTCTCAGTTAGCTTCTTTCTAGTTTTCATCATGGGATTTTTGTTTTTTGCAATTGGCCTCAATGAGCCCCCATATGTCCATTTGCAGAATGGACAAAAATGTGTTTCCAAACTGTTATATGAAAAGAAATGTTTACCTCTGAGAGATGAATGCACACATCACAAATCACTTTATCAGATAGCTTCCTTCTAGTTTTCATCCTAGGATATTTGCTTTTTTGCCATTGGCCTCAATGAGCTCCCAAATATCCATTCACAGAAAGGAAAAAAACTGTTTACAAACTGCTGAATCAAAGAAAGTTTTAAATCTATGCAATGAATGCCCCCATCACAAAGTGGTTTCTCAGACAGTCTCCTTCTAATTTTTATCCTGGGATACTCACTTTTTGCCATTGGCCTCAAGGAACTCTCAAGTGTCCATTTGCAGAATGCACAAAAACAGTGTTTCAAAACTGCTGTATCAAAAAAAGATTTAATTTTGTGAAATGAATGCACACATCACAAAGCAATTTCTCAGATAGCTTCCTTCTAGATTTCATCCTGGGATAGTCTCTTTTTCACCATTAGCTTAATGACCTTTCAAATGTCCATTTGCAGAAAGTACAAAAATAGTGTTACCAAACTGCTGAATCAAAAGCAATGTTAAACTCCGTGAGATGAATGAGCATACTGAAAGTGGCTTCTCCAGTAGCTTCCTTCTTGATTTTTTCCTGGGATATTTGCTTTATCACTGTTGGACTCAATGAGCTCCCAAATGACCGCACGCAGAATGGACAAAAACAGTGTTTCCAAACTGCTGAATCAAAAGAATGGTTCAACTTTTTGAGATGAATGCAAACATCACATCTCAGAAAGTTACTTTCTAGTCTTTTTCTGAAGATATTTTCTTTTTCACCATAGGCCACAATGCTCTCCCAAATACCTCTTAGCTGATTCTACAAAAACAGTATTTCTAAACTGCTGAATGAACAGAAAGTTTACCTCTGTGAGATGAATGCACACATCACAATGCTGTTTCTCAGATAAATTCCTTCTAGTTTTCATAATGGGATATTCGGTTTTTCACTATTGCCCTCAATGAGCTCCCAAATGTACATTCACAGAATGAACAAAAACTGTGTTTCCAAACTGCTGAATCAAAAGAATGGTTTAACTCTTGGAGATGAATGAAAGCATCACAAAGCAGTTTCTCAGAATGTTTCTTTCTAGTTTTTATATCTGAAGATATTTTCCTTTTCACTATAGGCCACAATGTGCTCCCAAATATCCCATCACAGATTCTAACAAAAGAGTGCTTTAAAACTGCTCAATAAAAGGAAAGATTTAATTCTCTGAGATGAAGGCACACATCACAAATTGGTTCCTCATATAGCTTTCTTTTGGATTTGCCCTGGGATTATCGCACTTTCATCATTGACCTCAAAGAGCTCCCAAATGTCCATTCACAGAAAGGACTAAAACAGTGTTTCCAAACTGCTGAATCGAAGAAACTTTTAAATCTGCGTGATGAATGCACCCATCACAAAGTGATTTCTCATACAGCTTCCTTCTAGTTTTTATCCTTGGATATTCACTTCACCATTGGTCTCAAGGAGCTCCCAAGTGTACATTCACAAAATGGACAAAAACAGTATTTCAAAACTGCTAAATCCAAGGAAAGGTTTAATTCAGTGAGGTGCAGGTACACATCACAAAGCAGTTTCTCAGAAAGATTATTTCTAGTTTTTATCTAAATATATTTACTTTTTCACCATAGGCATCAATGCACTCCCAAATATTTCTTAGCAGATGCTAAAAAACAAAGAAAAAACTTTCCAAACTGCTAAATGAAATGAAAGGTTTAACTCTGCTTGGTGAATGCACATATCACAAAACCGTTTATCAGACAGGTTCCCTCTAGTTTTTGTCCTGTGATATTCATTTTTTTTGCCATTGGCCTCAATGAGCTCCCATATGTCCATTCACAGAATGGACAAAAAAACTGCTGAATCAAAAGAAATGTTTACCTCTGTGAGATGAATGCACACTTCACTAAGCACTTTCTCAGAATGTTTCTTTCTAGTTTTTATCTAAAGGTATTTTCTTTTTCACCATTGGCATCCAAGAGCTCCCAAATATGCCATCACAGATCCTTCAAAAACTGTGTTTCCAAATGCTAAATGAAAAGAAATGTTAACATATCATAAAGCAGTTTTTCAGATAGCTTCATTCTAGTTTTTATCTTTGTATTTTCACTTTTTTGCAATTCACCTCAATGAGATCCCAAATATCCATTCACAGAAAGTACAAAAACAGTGTTTACAAACAGCTGAATCAAAAGAAAGTTTTACATCTCATAGATGAATGCACAAACAACAAAGCAGTTTCTCAGAAAGCTTCTTTCTAGTTTTTATTTGGAGATATTTTCTTTATCCACATAGGCCTCAAAAGACACCCAAGTATTCCTTCACAGATACTACAAAAACAGGGTTTCCAAATTGCTGAATGAAGAGAAAGGTTTACCTTGGTGAGATGAATACACATCAAAAAGCAGTTCCTCAGATAACGTTTTTCTAATTTTTATCCTGGGATATTCACTTTTTCACCATTGTCCTGAATGAGCTCCTAACTGTCCATTCTCAGAATGGACAAAACCGTGTTTCTAAACTGCTGAATGAAAAGAAACTTATACCTCTGTGGGAAGAATTGACACATCACAAAGCATTTTCTCTGGTAGCTTCCTTTTAGTTTTTATCTTGGGATATGCACTTTTTCACTATTGGCCTCAATGAGCTGTCAAATATCCATTGGCAGAATGGACAAAAACAGTGTTTCCAAACTCCTGAATGAAAAGACAGGTTTAACTCTGTGAGATGAATGCGCACATCACAAAGCATTTCTCAGATAGCTTCCTTCTAGTTTTTATCCTGGGATATTTGCTTTCTCTCCATTGGCTTCAATGAGTTTTCAAATGTCTATTCACAGAATGGACAAAAACAGTTTTTGAAAACTGCTATATCAAAAGAAAGGTTTAACTGTGGAATGAATGCACACATCACAAATCAGTTTCTCAGAAAGCTTCCACCTAGTTTTTATCTGAAGGTATTTTATTTTTCACTGTCTCAATGTACTGTGAAACAACCCTTCAGATATTCTACAAAAACAGTGTTTCAGAACTGCTGAATGAAAAGTACGTTATAACTCTGAGAGTTGAATGCACACCAAACAAGGCGGTTTTTCAGATAGCTTCCTTCTAGTTTTTATCCTGAGATATTCACTTTTTCTTCATTGGCCTCAATGAGTTTTCAAATGTCTATTCACAGAATGGACAAAAACAGTTTTGAAAACTGCTGAATTAAAAGAAAGGTTTAACTCTCTGGAACGAATGCACACATCACAAATCAGTTTCTCAGAAAGCTTCCATCTAGTTTTTATCTGAAGGTATTTTATTTTTCACCATAGGCCTCAATGCACTCCGAAATTGCCCTTCAGAGATTCTAAAAAAAGCAGTGTTTTCAAACTGCTGAATCAAAAGAAAAGTTTAACTCTTCAAGATTAATGCACACCTAAGAAAGCTGAGTCTCAAATAGCTTCATGTAGTTTTTATCGTGGCATATTTTCTGTTTTGTCATTGGTCTCAATAAGCTGCCAAATGTCCATTTGCAGAATGGACAAAAACAGTGTTTCCAATCTGCTGAACAAAAAGAAAGGTTTAACTCTGCAGGATGAATGCACACATCACAAAGCAGTATCTCAGAAAGATTCTTTGTAGTTTTTATCTGAATTTAATTTCTTTTCCACTGTAGTCCTCATTGCACTCCCAAATATGTCTTTGCAGATTCTACAACAACAGTGTTTCCAAACTGCTGAATGAAAAGAAAAATTTAATTCTGTGAGATGAATGCACAATTTACAAGTGGTTTCTCAGATAGTGTCCTTCTAGTTTTTATCCTGAGATATTAACTTTTTTGCCAGCCTCAAGGAGCTTTCAAAAGTCTATTCACAGAATTGACAGAGACAGTGTTTCTAAACTGCTGAATCAAAAGAAAGGGTTCACTCTGTGAGAAGAATGCACACATCACAAAACAGTTTCACAAAAACTTTCTGTCTGGCTTTAACCTGAACATATTTTCTTTTTCACCATAGGCTTAAATGCACTCCCAATTATTCCTTCTCAGATTTGAGAAAAACAGTGTTTCCAAACTTTTGAATGAAAGAAAGGTTTATCTCATGAGATGGAAGCCCACATCACAAAGCACTTTCTCTAATAGTTTCCTTCTTGTTTTTCTCCTGGGATACTCGCCTTTTCGCCATTGGTCTCAATCTGCTCCCAAATGTCCATTCACAGAATGGACACAAACGGTGTTTCCAAACTGTCGAATGAAAAGAAACATTTAACTGTGTGAGATGAATGGACACAACACAGAGCAGTTTCTCAGCTTGCTTCTTTCTAGTTTTTATTTGAATATACTTTCTTTTTCACCATAGGCTGCAATGTGCTCCCAAATATCCCTTTGCAGATTCTTCAAAAACAGTGTTTCCAATCTGCTGAATGAAAATAAAGGTTTAAATCTGCGAGGTGAAAGCACATATCAAAAAGCAGTATCTCAGAGACCTTCCTTCTGGTTTTTATCCTGGGATATTTGCTTTTACTCCATTGGTCTTACTGAGTTCCTAAATGTCCATTCACAGAATGGACAAAAATAGTGTTTCCAAACTACTTAATGAAAAGAAAGGTTTAACTCGGTGAGATGAATGCACACATCACAAAGGGGTGTCTCAGGTAGCTTCTTTTTAGTTGTTATCTGAAGATACTTGCTTTTTCACTATAGGCTGCTATGTTCTCCCAAATACACTTTTGCAGTTTCTACAAAAACAGGGTTTCCAAACTCCTGAATGAAAAGAATTGTTTAGCTCTGTGAGATGAATGCACATATCAGAAAGCAGTTTCTCAGAAAGCTTCTTTCTAGTTTTTATCTGAATATATTTTCTTTTTCACCATAGTACTTAAAGTGCTCCCAAATATCCCTTTGCAGATTTTACAAAAACCGTGTTTCCTAATTGCTGAATGCAAAGAAAGGCTTATCTCTGCCAGGTGAATGCATACATCACAAGGCAGTTTCTCAGATCATTTCCTTCTCGTTTTTATCCTGGGATATACACTTTTTTACCATTGGCCTCAATGAGCTGCTAAATGTCCATTCAGAGAGTGGACGTAAACAGTGTTTCCAAACTGCTGAATCAAAACAAAGTTTTAACTCTGTGGGGTGAATTCACACATCACAAAGCAGTTTCTCACAAAGCTTCTTTCTAGTTTTCATCTGAAGATATTTTCTACTTCACCATAGGCCTAAATGTGCTCCCAAGTATACTTTCACACATTCTACAAAAACAGTGTTTCCAACTGCTGAATCAAAAGAAAAGTTTAACTCTGTGACATGAATGTACACATCACAATATGGTTTCTTTGACAGCTCCATTCTTGTTTTTATCCTGAAATATTATTTTGTTCATCACTGGCCTAAATGACCCCCAAATGTCCATTCACAAAATGGACAAAAACAGTTTTTCCAAAGTGCTGAATCAAAAGAAATTTTTACCTGTGTGAGATGAATGCACACATCACAAAGCAGTTTTTCACAAAGCTTCTTTCTAGATTTTATCTGAAGTTATTTTCTTTTTCACCATAGTCCTCAAAGTACTCCCAAATATCTCTTCTCAGATTTTACAAAAACTGTTTCCAAACTGCTCAATCAAAAGAAAGGTTTATCTCTTATAGATGAATACATACATCACAGATCAATTTCTCACATAGCTTCACACTATTTTTTACCCTTCAATATTTGCTTTTTTGAAATTGGCATCAATGACCTCCAAAATGTCCATTCAAAGAAAGGACAAAAACAGTGTTTGCAAACTTCTCAATCAAAAGAAATATTCATATCTGTGAGATGAATGGAAGCATCACAAAGCAGTTTCTCAGAAAGAGACTTTCTAGTTTTTTTCTTAAGATATATACTTTTTCATATATGTCAATGTGCTCCCAAATATCTCTTCTCAGATTCTATAAAAACAGTGTTTCCAAACTGGTGAAAGAAAAGAAAATTTTATCACTGCGAGATGAATGTACACATCACAAAGCAGTTTCTCAGCTAGGTTCCTTTGAGGTTGTAACCTTGGATATTTGCTTTTTCACCATTGGCCTCCAGGAGCTCCAAAATATTCTTTTGCAGGATGGACAAAAGCAATATTTCCAAACTGCTGAAGGAAAAGAAATATTTAACTCTGTGAGATGAATGCATGCAACACATTGTGGTTTGTCAGATACCTTCCTCCCAATTTTTATCTGGAATCTTCAGTATTTTGCCTTTGGCCTCAATGACCTCCAAAATGTCCATTCACAGAATGGACATAAACTATGTTTTCAAACTGCTAAATCAAAAGAAATGTTTAACTATGTGAGATGAATGCACACATTACAAAGTGGTTTCTCAGGTAGCTTCCTTCTAGCTCTTATCCTGAGAAATTTGCTTTTTTGCTATAGGCTTCAATGAGCTCCAAATTTCCACTCACTAATTGGACAAAAACTGTGTTTCCAAACTGCTGAATCAAAAGACAGTTTTAACTCTATCAGATGTATGCACACATCACAAAGCAGTTTCTCAGAAAGCTTCCCTCTAGTTTTTATCTGAAGATATTTTATTTTTCACCATAGGCCACAGGGCACTCATAAATATCCTTCTGCAGATTCTACAACAGTGTTTACAAACTGCTGCATGGAAAGAAAGGTTTATCTCCATGAGGTGAATACAAAGATCACAAGGCAGTTTCTCAGATAGATTCCATCTAGTTTTTATCCTGTTATAGTCTCTTTTTCGCCATTGGCCTCAATGAGCTCCCAAATGTCCATTTGCAGAATGGACAAAAGCAGTGTTTCAAAACTGCTGAATGAAAAGAACGGTTTAACTCTGTGAAATGAACGCACACATCACAAAGCAGATTCTCAGATAGCTTCCTTGTAGTTTTTATCCTTGGATATTCACTTTTTTGCCATTGGCCAAAATGTGTTCCCAAATGTCCATTCACGGAATAGACAAAAACAGTGTTTCCAAATGGCTAAATTTAAAAAAAAAAGGCTTAACACTGTAAGATGAATGCACACATCACAAAGTCGTTTCTCAGATAGCTTCCTTCTAGTTGTTATCCTGGGATATTTGCTTTTTTGCCATTGTCTCAAAGAGCTCCAAAACGTCCATTTGCAGAATGGATAAAAACAGTGTTTCCAAACTGCTGAAAGAAAAGAAAGGTTTAACCCTGTGAGATGAATGCACACAGCACAATGCTGTGTCTCAGAAAGCTTCTTTCTTGTTTTCATCTGAAGATACTTTCTTTTTCACCACAGTCCTCAATGCACTCCCAAATGTCCCTTCGCAGATCTACAAAAACTGTGTTTCCAAACTGCTGAATGAAAGCAATCCTTTAAATTTGCAAGACAAATGCATTCTTCACAAAGTGGTTTCTCAGTTTCCTTCTAGTTTTTATCCTGATGCATGCTCTTTTTCCCCATTGGCCTCAATGATCTCCCAAATGTCTATTAATAGAATCGACAAAAACAGTGTTTCCAAAATGCCATATCAAAAGAAATGTTTAACTCTGCTAGATGAATGCACACATCACAAAGCAGTTTCTCAGATAGTTTCCTTCTAGTTTTTATCCTGGGATATTCATTTTTTTGCCATTCACCTCAATGAGCTCCAAAATGTTCATTCATGGAGTGGACAACAGCAGTGTTTCCAAACTGCTAAAAGAAAAAAAAGGTTTAAATCTGTGAGATGATTGCACACATCACAAAGGAGTTTCTATGAATGCTTCTTTCTAGTATTTATCTGGAGATATTTTCTTTTTCACCAAAGACCTCAATGGACTCCCTTGTATCCCTTCAGAGATTCTAAAAAAAAACAGTGTTTCCAAACTGCTAAATCAAATCAAATGTTTATCTCTGCTAGATGAATGCACACTTTGTAAAATGGTTTCTAAGATAGCTTCCTTCTAGTTTTTTTCCTGGGATATTAGCTTTTTTGCCATTGGCCTCAATGAGCTCCTAAATGTCCATTAGCAGAATGGAAAAAAACAGTGTTTACAAATTGCTGAATCAAAAGAAAGTTTTAACTCTATGAGATGAATGAACACATCACAATGCAGTTTCTCAGAGAGTTTCTTTCTAGTTTTCATCTAAAGATAATTTCTTTTTCACCGTAGTCCTCATTGTGCTCCCAAATATCCTTTCATAGATACTACAAAAACGGTGTTTCAAAAATGCTGAATGAAAAGAAAGGCTTATCTCTGCAAGATAAATGCCCATTAATTAAAGGGGTTTCTAAGATAGCTTCCTTCAAGTTTTTTTTTTTTTTTCCTGGGACACTTGCTTTTTTGCCATTGACAACAATGTGCTCCCAAATGTCCATTTTCAGAATGGACAAAAACAGTGTATCCAAACTGCTGAATGAAAAGAAAGGTTTCACTCTGTGAGATGAATGCTGGCACCACAAAGTGATGTGTGAGATAGATTCCTTCAAGTTTTTATCCTGAGATATTCCGTTTTTCTCCTTTTGCCTCAATGATCTCCGAAATGTCCATTCACAAAATGGACAACAACAGTTTTTCCAAACTGCTGAATCAAAAAAAAGTTTAGCTTTGTGAAATGAATGCACACATCACAAATTAGTTTCTCAGAAAGCTTCTTTCTAGTTTTTGTCTGAAGATATTTTGTTTTTCACCATTGGGCTCAATGCACTCAAAAATATGACTTTGCAGATTCTACAAAAACACTGTTTCCAAACTGGTGAATGAAAAGAAACTTTTAAGACTGTGAGATGATGGCACACATCACATAGCAGTTTCTCAGATACCTTCCTTCTAGTTTTTATCCTGGGATATTCACTTTTTTGCCATTGGCCTAAATGAGCCCCCAAAGGTCCATTAGCAGAATGGACAAAAACAGTGTATCCACACTGGTGAATCAAAAAAAAGTATTAACTCTGTGAGATGAATGCACACATCAAAATGCAATTTCTCAGAAAGCTTCTTTCTAGGTTTTATCTGAAGATATTTTCTTTTACACCATAGACCTCAATGTGCTCCAAAATATCCCTTTGCAGATCCTATAAAAACCGTGTTTCCAAACTGTTGAAGGAAAAGAAATGTTTAATTTTGCGAGATGAATGCACACATCATAAATCCGTTTCTCAGATAGCTTATTTCTAGTTTTTATCCTCAGTTATTCACTTTTTTGCCATTGACCTCAATGAGCTCCCAAATATCCATTTACAGAATGAGCACAAACAGTGATTCCAAACTGCTGAATCAAAAGAAAGCTTTAAATCAGCGAGATCAATGCACACACCACAGAGTGGTTTCTCAGATAGCTTCCTTCTAGTTTTTACCCTGGGATATACACCTTTTCATGTGTGCCTTAATGAACTCCCAAATGTCCATTCACAGAATGGATAAAAACAGTGTTTCCAAACTGCTGAATCAAGATAAATGTTTATCTCTGTAAGATGAATGCACACATCACAAAGCAGTTTCTCAGAAAACGTCTTTCTAATTTTTATCTGAAGATATATTCTTTTTTCATCACAGAACTCAATGCACCCCCAAATATCCCTTCTCAGAGTCTACAAAAACAGTGTTACCAAACTGCTGAATCAAAACAAAGGTTTAACTCTGTGAGATGAGTGTACACATCACAAAGTGGTTTCTCAGATAGCTTGCTTCTCAGCTTCATCTTGGAATATTCCCTTTTTTGCCATTGACTTCCATGAGCTCCCAAATGTCCTTTTGCACAGTGGACAAAAACTGTGTTTCCAAACAGCTGAATCAAAAGCAAAGTTTAACTCTGTGAGATGAATTCACACATCACAAAGCAGTTTCTCAGAAAGTTTCCTTCTAATTTTTATCTGAAGGTATTTTCTTTTTCACCATTGGCCTCAATAAGATACAAAATATCCCTTTGCAGATTCTACAAAAACAGTGTTTCCTAACTGCTGAATAAAAAGAAACGTTTAAATCTGTGAGTTGAATGCACACATCACAAAGTGGTTCCTCAGATAGCTTCATTCTAGTTTTTCTCCTGGGATACTCGCTTTTTCACCTTTGGCCTCAAAGAGCTCCCAAATGTTCATTCACAAAAAGGACAAAGACAGTGTTTCCAAACTGCTGAATCAAAAGAAAGGTTTAAATCTGTGAGACGTATGCACACATCACAAAGTGGTGGATGTCATAGCTTCCTTATAGTTTTTATCCTGGGATATTCTCTTTTTCAACATTGGCATCAATAAACTGCTGAATCAAAAGAAAGGTTTAACTCTGTGAGATGAAGGCATACATCACAAAGTATTTTCTAAGAAAGCTTCTTTCCAGTTTTTAGATGAAGATATTTTCTTTTTCACCCTTCACAGATTCTACAAAAAACAATGTTTCCTAACTGCTGAATGAAAAGAAAGGTTTAAATCTGCGAGATGAATGCACACATCACAAAGCCATTTTTCAGATAGGTTCCTTCAATTTTTATCCTGGGATATTTGCTTTTTCACCATTGGCCTCAAAGAGCTCCAAAATGTCCATTCACAGAATGGACAAAAACAGTGTTCCCACACTGCTGAGTGAAAAGGAATGTTTAACTCTGTGAGATGAATGCAGAAATCACAAAGCAGTTTCTCAGAAAACTTCTCTCTAGTTTTTATATGAAGATATATTCTTTTTTCACCATAGGACTAAAAGCATTCCCAGATATCCCTTCGTAGAATCCACAAAAACAGTGATTCCAAACTGCTGAATTAAAAGAAAGTGTTAATTCTGCGAAATGAAAGCCCACATCAAAAAGGGGCTTCTCAGACAGCTTCCTTCTAGTTTTCATTTGAGATATTCACTTTTTCACCTTTGGCCTCAGTGAGCTCCCAAAAGTCCTTTTGCAGAATGGACAAAAATACTGTTTCCAAACTGCTGAATCAAAGAAATGTTTTAACTCGGTGAGATGAATGCCCATATCACAAATCAGTTTCTTAAACAGCTTCCCTCTAGTTTTTATCCTGAGATATTCGCTTTTTTGCCATTGGTCTCAATTAGCTCCCAAATGTCCATTCGCAGAATGGACAAAAAGAGTTTCCAAACTGCTGAATCATAAGAAAGCTTTAACTCAGTGAGATGAATGTACACATCAGAAAGCAGTTTCTCAGATAGCTTCTTTCTAGTTTTTATCTAAAGATATTTTATTTTTCTACATAGGCCTCAGTGTGCTCTGAAATATCCCTTTGCAGATCTACAAAAAGAGTGTTTCCAACCTACTGAATGAAAAGTCACGTTTAACTCTGTGAGATGAATGCACATATCACAAAGCAGTTGCACAGAGAGCTTCCTACTAGTTTTTATTCTGGAATATTCAATTTTTTGCTATTGGCCTCAATGAGCATCAAAATATCCATTCTCCAAATGGACAAAAACAGCGTTTCCAATCTGTTGAATCAAAAGAAAAATTTAAGTCTGTGAGATGAATGCACATATCACAAATCAGTTTCTCAGGAAATTTCTTCCTAGTTTTTATTTGAAGATATTTTCTTTTTCACCATAGGTCTCAATAAGTTCCCAAATATCGCTTTGCAGATTGTACAAAAATGGTGTTTCCTAACTGCTGAATGAAAATGAAGGTTTAGCTCTGCAAATTGAATGCAGACATCACAAAGTGGTTTCTCAGATAGCTTCTTTGTAGTTTTTATCCTGGGATATTTGCTTTATTGAAATTGGCCACAATGAGCTCCCAAATGTCCATCCACAGGAAGGACAAAAACAGTGTATGTAAACTGCTGAGTCAAAAGAAAGGTTTATCTATGAGACATGAATGTACACATCACAAAGCAGTTTCCCATATAGCTTCCTTCTAGTTTTTATCCTGGGATATTTGCTTTTTTGCTATTGGTCATTATCAGCTCCCAAATGTCCATTTGCAGAATGGACAAAAACAGTGTTTCCAAACTGCTGAATGAAAAGAAAGTTTTTACTCTGCCAGATGAATGCACACATCACAAAGCGGTTTCTCAGATAGCTTCCTCATGGTGTTTATCCTGGAATATTTGCTTTTTCGCTTTTGGGCTCATTGACGTCCTAACTCTCAATTTGCAGAAGGGACAAAAACAGTGTCTCCAAACTGCTGAATGAAAAGAAAGATTTAACTCTGTGAAGTGCATGCCTCTATCACCAAGCAGTTTCTCAGATACCTTCCTTTAGTTTTTATCCTGGGATATTCACTTTTTCACCTTTGGCCTCAATGGGCTCCCAAATGTCCTTTGTCAGAATGGACAAAAACAGTGTTTGCAAACTGCTGAATCAAAAGAAAGGTTTAAATCTGTGACACGAATGCATACATCACAAAGTAGTTTCTCAGAAAGCTTCATTCTATTTTTTATCTGAAGATATTTTCTTTTTCACCATAGACCTCAATGTGCTCCCAAATATTCCTTCACATATTATAGAAAAACAGTGTCTCCAAACTGCTGAATGAAAAGAAAGGTTTAACCTTGTGACATGAATACACACATAACAAAGCAGTTTCTCAGATAGCTTCCTTCTAGTTTTTCCCCTGGCATATTTGCTTTTTTGCTATTGGCCTCAATGAGCTCCAAACTGTCCATTCAAACAATGGGCAAAAAGACTGCTTCGAAACTGCTGAATCAAAAGAATGATTTACCTCTGTTGGATGAATGCATGCTACCCAAAGCAGTATCTCAGAAAGTTTTCTTGTAGTTTTTACTTGAAGATATTTTCTTTTTCATGACCGGCCTCAATGCATACCCAGATGTCCCTTTCCAGATTCTACAAAAACTGTGTTTCCAAATTGCTGAATGTAAAGAAAGGTTTAACTCTGCAAGATGAATGGACACATCATAAAGCAGTTTCTCAGTTTCCTTCTAGTTTTTATAACAGGATATTCCCTTTTTCAGAAAACCCATTGGCCACAATGAGCTCCCAAATGTCCTTTCACAAAATGGTCAAAAACAGTATTTCCATACTGCTGAATCAAAACAATGTTTAAATCTATGAGATGAATGCACACATCACAAATGTGTTTCTCATAAAGATTCTTTCTAGTTTTTATCTGAAGATATTTTCTTTTTCACCATAGGCCTCAAGGCAGTCCCAAATATCCCTTCACAAATTCTACAAAAACAGTGTTCCCAAACTGCTGAATACAAAGAAACATTCAACTCTGCGAGATGAATGCACACATCATGAAGAAGTTTCTCAGATAGCTTCCTTCTTGTTTTTGTCCTGAGATATTCGCTTTTTTGCCATTGGCCCAATGAGCTCCCAAATGTCCGTTTGCAGAATGGACAAAACAGTATTTCCAAAATGCTGAATGAAAGGAAAGGTTTAACTCTGTGAGATTAATGCACACATCACAAAACGGATTCTCAGATAGCTTCCTTCAAGTTTTAAACCTGGGATATTCCATTTTTCACTTTTGGCCTCAGAGAGCTACAAAATGTCCATTCACAGAATGGACAAAAGCAGTGTTTCCAAACTGCTGAATCAAAGGAAAGATTTTCCTCTCTGAGCTGAATTCCAAGATCACCAAGTATTTCTCAGAAAGCTTCTTTCTATTTTTTGTCTGAAGATATTTTCTTTTTCACCACAGGACTCAGTGGACCCCCAAATATCCATTTGCACATTCTACAAAAGCAGTGTTTCAAAACTACTGAATGAAAAGAAAGGTTTAACTCTGTGAGATGAATGCACACTTCACACATCGGTTTCTCAGATAGCTTCCTTCTAGTTTTTATCATGGGATATTCACTTTTCCACCATTGGCCTCAATGAGCTCCTAATCGTCCATTCGCAGAATGAACAAAAATAGTTTCCACACTGCTTAAACAAAAGAATGTTTTAACTCTGTGAGGTGAATACACACATCACAAAACAGTATCTCAGAAAATTTCCCTCTAGTTTTTAACTGAAGATATTTTCTATTTCATGATAGGCCTCAACATGTTTCCTAATGTGCCTTCACAGGTTTTACAAAAAGAGTCTTTCCAAACTGCTGAATAAAAAAAGTTTTAGCTCTGTGAAATAAATGCCCTCATCAACAAGCAGTTTCCCAGATAGCTTCTTTCTAGTTTTTATCTGATGATATTTACTTTATCAACATTGGCCTCAATCCACTGTAAAATATCTCTTCCAAGATCCTACAAAAATGCGTTTCAAAATTGCTGAATGAAAAGAAAGGTTTAACTCTGCAAGATGAATGCACACATGATAAAGCAGTTTCTCAGATAGCTTCCTTCTAATTTTTATACTGGGATATTCTCTTTCTTGAAATTTGACAAAATGAGCTCCAAAATGTCTATTCACATATCAGACAAAAAGTGTTCCCACACTGCTGAATAAAAAGAAAATTAACTGTGTCAGATTAATGGACAAATCACAACGCAGTTTCTCAGAAAATTTCTTTCTAGATTTTATGTGAAGATATTTTCCTTTTCACCATAGACCTCAATGTGCTCCCAAATGACCTTATGCAGATTCTACAAAAACAGTGTTTCCAAACTGATGAATGAAAAGGAAGGTTTAGGTATGTGAGATGAATGCACAGCTCACAAAGCAGTTTCTCAGAATGCTTCTTTCTAATTTTAATCTGAAGTTATTTTCTTTTTCATCATTGTCTTCAATGAGCTCCCAAATATCTAGTTGCTGATCTTACAAAATAGTGTTTCCAAACTGCTGAATAAAAGGAAGGTTAAACTCTGTGAGATGAATGAACACATAACAAAGTGGTTTCTCAGATAGCTTCCTTCCAGTTTTTATCCTGGGATATACTCTTTTTTGCCATTGGCCTCAATGAGCTCCCAAATGTCCATTCACAGAATGGACAAAAACTGTTTCCTAACTGCCGAATGTAAAGAAAGGTTTAAATCTGCCAGGTGAATGCACACATCATAAAGAGGTTTCTCCAGTATCTTCCTTCTAGGTTTTACCCTGGGATTATCGCTTTTTTGCCATTGGCCTCAATGAGCTCCCAAATCTCCATTTGGAAAATGTACAAAAACAGAGTATGCAAACTACTGAATCAAAATAAAGTTTTAACTTTTTGAGATGAATGCACATGTTACAAAGCCGTTTCTCAGAAAGCTTCTTTCTAGTTTTTATCTGAAGATAATTTCTTTTTCACCATAGGCCTCAATAAGCTCCCAGATATCCCTTTGTAGATTTTACAAAAAAGTGTTTCCTAACTGCTGAATGAATAAGAAGCTTTAACTCTGACAGTTGAATGCACATATCACAAATCAGTTTCTCAGATAGCTTCATTCTACTTTTTATCCTGGGACATTCACTTTTTTGCTATTGGCCTCAATTTGCTCCCCAAGGTCCATTCACAGTAAGGACAAAAACAGTGTTTCCAAAATGCTGAATGAAAAGAAATGTTTAACTGAGAGATGAATGAACACATCACAAAGTGGTTTATCAGATAGCTTCCTTCCAGTTCTTATCCTGGGATATTCACTTTTTTTACCTTTGGCCTGAATGAGCTCCAAAATGTCCATTTTAGGAATGGGCAAAAAAAGGTTTTCCAAACTGCTGAATCAAAAGAAAGGTTTAACTCTGTGAAATGAACTCACACACCTCAAAGCAGATTCTCAGAAAGCTTCTTCTTTCTAGTTTTTAAGTGAAAATATTTTCTTTTTCACCATAGGCCTCAATTCACTCCAAATATCCCTGTGCAGATTCTACAAAAATAGTGTTTCCAAACTGTTGAATGGAAAGAAAGGTTTACCTCTGTGAGATGAATGCAGACATCACCAAACTGTTTGTCATATAGCTTCCTTCTAGTTTTTATCCTGGGATATTCACTTTTTCACTGCTGTCCTCAATGAGTTCACAAATGTCCATTCCCAGAATGGAGGAAAAAAAAAGATTTTCCAAACTGCTGAATGAAAAGAAATGTTTATGTCTGTGAGATGAATGCAAATTTCAGAAAGCAGTTTCTGACATAGCTTCCTTCTAGTGTTTATCCTGGAATATTCGCTGTTTTGCTGTTGGCATCAATGAGCTCCCAAATGTCCATTCGCAGAATGGACGATGTGTTTCCAAACTGCAGAATCAAAAGTAAAGTTTACCTCTGTGAGATGAATGCACACATCACAAAGCAGTTACTCAGCAAGTTTCTTTCTAGTTTTTATTTGATGATATTTTGTTTTTCACCATGGGCCTCAATGCACTCCCAAAGATCCCTTCTCAGATTCTACAAAAACAGTGTTTCCAAACTGCTGAATGTAAAGAAAAGTTTAAATCTGTGAGATGAATGCACACATCACAAACCAGTTTCTCAGACAGCTTCCTTCTAGTTTTTATCCTGGGTTATTCACTTTTTTGCCATTTTCCTTAATGAGCTCCCAAATGTCCATTTTCTGAATGGAGACAAACAGTTTTTCCAAACTGCTTAATCAAAGAAATGTTCAACCTTGTGAGATGAATGAATCCATCACAAAGCAGTTTTTCAAAAAGCATCTTTCTAGTTTTTATTTGATGATATTTTGTTTTTCACCATGGGCCTCAGTGCACTCCCAAATATGCCTTTTCAGATTCTACATAAACAGTGTTTACAAACTGCTGAATGAAAAGAAATGTTTACCTCTGTGAGATGAATGCACACTTCACAAAGCCATTTTGCAGATAGCTTCAGTGTAGTTTTTATCCTGAGATATTAGTTTTTTCACAATTGACTTTAATGAGCTTCCAAATGTCCATTCGTAGAATGGACCAAAACAGTGTTTCCAAACCTCTGAATCAAAAGAAACGTTTAACTCTATGAGATGAATGTAGACATCACAAAGCAGTTTCTCCAAAAACTTCTTTCTAGATGTTATCTGAAGATATTTTCTTTTTCACCATAGGCCTCACTGCACCCCCAAATGTACTTTCTCAGATTCTACAAAAACAGTGTTTCTAAACAGCTGCATGAAAAGAAAAGTGTATCTCTGTGAAATAAATGCACACATCATAAAGGGGTTTCTCTGATAGCTTCCTTCTAGTTTTTATCCTGGGATATTCACTTTTTCACCATTGGCCTCAATGGGCACCAAAATATCCATTTGCAGAATGGACAAAAACAGTTTTTCCAAACTACTTAGTCAAAAGAACATTTTAAGAGTGTGGGATGAATGCACAAATAACAAAACAGTTTGTCAGAAAGCTTCATTCTAGTTTTTATCTGAAGATATTTTCTTTTTCACCATAGGCCTTGAGGTGCTCCCAAATATCTCTTCGCAGATTCTACAAACACAGTGTTTCCAAACTGCTGAATGAAAGGAAACGTTTAGCTCTGTGAGATGAATGCACACATCACAAAGGAGTTTCTCTGAAATATTCTTTCTAGTTTTTATCTGAAGATGTTTTCTTTTTCACAATAAGCCTCAATGTGCACCCAAATAGTCCTTCACAGATTATACAAAAGCAGTGTTTCCAAGCTGTTGAATGAAAAGAAAGGTTTAATTCTCTGAGATGAATGCACACATCACAAAGGGGTTTCTGAGATAGCTTTCTTTTTATTTTTATCCTGGGATATTCCTTTTTCTCCATTGGCCTCAGGGAGCTCCTAAATGGCCATTTGCAGAATGGATAAAAACACTGTTTCCAAACTGCTGAATCAAAAGTAAGGTTTAAATTTGTGAGATGAATGCACACATTGCAAGTGGTTTCTTGGATAGATTCCTTCAAGTTTTCATCCCGGGATGTTTGCTTTTTCAACATTGGCCTCAATGAACTTCCAAATGTCCATTCACAGAATAAACAAAAACAGTGTTTCCGAACTGCTGAATCAAAAGAAAGTTTTAACTCTGTGAGATGAATGCACACATCACAAAGCAGTTTCTCAGAAAGCTTCTTTCTTGCTTTTATCTGAAGATATTTTCTTTTTCACCATAGGCCTCAATAAGATCCCAAAATCCCTTCACAGATTCTACAAAAACAGTGGTTCTTAACTGCTGAATAAAAAGAAGGTATAATTCTGTGTGTTGAATGCACACATCACAAAGCAGTTTCTCACATAGCTTCATTCTAGTTTTTATCCTGGGACTTTCACATTTTTGCCCTTGGCCTCAAAGAGCTCCGAAATATCCACTCACAGAAAGGACAAAAACAGGTTTTCAAAACTGCTGAATCAAAAGAAAGGTTTATCCCTGTGAGACAAATGCACACATCACAAATCACTTTCTCTGAAACTTCTTTCTAGTTTTTCTCTCTTTTTCAGCATAGGACTCAATGCACTCCCAAATATCCCTTAACAGATTCTTAAAAAACAACGTTTCCAAACTGCTGGATGATAAGAAAGTTTTATCTCTGTGGGACGAATGCATATGTCACAAAGCAGTTTCTCAGATAGTATCCTTCTAGTTTTTATTCTGGGATATTCTCTTTTTTGCCATTGGCCTCAATAAGCTCCCAAATGTCCATTCACAGAATGGACAATAATAGTTTCCCAAACTGCTGAATAAAAATAAAGGTTTAACTATGTGAGATTAATGGAGAAATCACAGATAAGTTTCTCAGAAAACTTCTTTCTACTTTTTATGTGAAGACATTTTATTTTTCACCATAGGCCTAAATGAGCTCCCAAATACCACTTTGCAGATTCTACAAAAACAGGTTTTCCAAACTGCCTAATGAAAAGGAATGTTTAGGTCAGTGAGATGAATGCACACATCACAAAGAAGTTTCCCACGAAGCTTCTTTCTAGTTTTTATCTGAAGATAATTTCTTATTCACCATAGGCCTCAATGTGCTACCAAATATCCCTTTGTAGATTCTACAAAAAGTTTTTCCAAACTGCTCAATGAAAAGAAACTTTTAACTCTGCAAGATAAATGCTCACATCACAAAGCAGTTTCTCAGATAGCTTCTTTCTAGTTTTTGTCCTTGGATATTCTCTTTTTCACCACTTTCCTTCATGCGCTCCCAAATATCCATTCAATGAATCAACAAAAACAGTGTTTCCAAACTGCTGAATCAAAAGAAAGGTTTAGCTCTAGGAGTTGAATGCACAAATTACAAAGCAATTTCTCAGAAATAGTCTTCCTTCTTTTTTCTGAACATATATTATTTTTCACCATAGTTCTCAAAGCACTCCCAAATATCCCTTTGCAGATACTACAAAAACAGTGTTTCCAAACTGCTGAATGAAATGCAACATTTAACGCTGTGAGATGCATGCACACATCATAAAGCAGTTTCTCAGCTAGCTTCCTTCTAGTTGTATCCTGGGATATTAGCTTTTTCACCATTGGCCTAATGAGCACACAAATGTCCATTCACAGAAAGGACAAAAGCAGTGTTTCTTAACTGCTGAATCAAAGAAAGGTTTAACTTGGCAGGATGCATGTGCACATCAGAAAGCAGTTTCTCAGACAGCTTCCTTCTAGTTTATACATTGGGATATTCACTTTTTTGCCATTGGCCTTAAGAAGCTCCCAAATGTCCATTCACAGAATAGACAAAAACAGTGTTTAAAAATACTGAATCAAAGCAAAAGTTTGAATCTGTGAGATGAATGCAAACATCACAAACCTGTTATTCAGACAGCTTCCTTCTAATTTTTATTTAGGGACATTCACTGTTTTGCCTTTGGCCTCAATGAGCTCCCAAATATTCACTCACAGAATGGACAAAAACAGTTTTTCAAAATTGTTGAATCAAAGGAAAAGTTTAACTCTGTGAGATGAATGCACACATCACCAAACAGTTTCTCAGATAGCTTCTTTCTAGTTTTTATACTTGGATATTCTCTTTTTCACCATTGGCCTCAATGATCTCCCTAATATCCATTCACAGAATGGACAAAAAAGGTGTTTCCAAACTGCTGAATCAAAAGCAAGGTTTAACTCTGTGAGATGAATGAAGATGTCACAAATCAGTTTCTCAGAAAACTTCTTTCTAGTTTTTGTCTGAAGCTATTTTCTTTTTCACCATAGACGTCAGTGTACTCCCAAATACCCATTGGCAGATTCTAGAAAAAGAGCTTTTCCAAACTGCTGAATGAAAAGAAAGTTTTAACTCTGTGAGATGAATGCACACATCATAAAAAGTTTTCTCAGATAGCTTCCTTCCAGTTTTTATCCTGGGATATTCACTTCTTTGCCATTGGCTTCAATTGGCTCCCAAATGTCCATTCACCAAATGGACAAAAACAGTGTTTCAAAACTGCTGAATCAAAGGAAAGGTTTAATTCTGTGAGAATAATGCACACATAAGAAATCAGTTTCTCAGAAAGCTTCTTTCTCGTTTTTATCTGAAGTTATTTTCTTTTTCACCATTGGCCTCAAAGAGCTCAAAAAGGCCAATCAAAGAATGGACAAAAACTTGTTTCAAAACTGGTGAATCCAAAGAAAGGTTTAAGTCTGTCAGATGAAAGCACACATGACAAAGTGGTTTCTCAGATAGCATCATTATAGTTTTCCTCCTGGTATATTCGCTTTTTTGCCATTGTCCTCAATGAGCTCTGAAATATCCATTTGCAGAATGGAAAAAACTGTGTTTCCAAACTGCTGAATTAAAAGGAAGGTTTAACTCTGTGAGATGAATGCAGACATCGCAAAGCAGTTTCTCAGAAAGCTTCTTTCTAGTTTTTATTTGAAGATATTTTCTTTTTCACCACAGGCCACAATACGCTCCCAAATGTCCCTTCAGCAATTATACAAAAACAGTGCTTCCAAACTGCTGAATGAAAACAAATGTTTAACTCAGTGACTTGAATGTACACATTGTAAAGCGGTTTCTCAGATAGCTTCCTTCTAGTTTTTATCCTGGTATATTCCCTTTTTTGCCATTGGCCTTAATGCACTCCCAAATATCCATTCACAGAATGTACAAAAACGATGTTTCCAAACGGCCTACTCAAAGGAAAGTTTTGACTCTGTTATGAATGCACACATAATAATGCAGTTTGTCAGATAGCTTCTTTCTAGTTTTTGTCCTGGATATTCTCTTTTTCACCACTGGCCTCAATGAGACCCCAAATGTCCTTTCATAGAATGGACAAAAACAATGTCTCCACACTGATGAATCAAAAGAAAGGATTAACTCTCTGAGATGAATGCACACATCACAATATAATTCCTCAGAAAGCATCTTTCTAGTTTTTAGATAAAGATATTCTCTTTTTCACCATAGGCTTCAAAGCTTTCCAAAATGTCCCTCCACAGATTCTACAAAAACAGAGTTTCCAAATTGCTGAATCAAAGGAACAGTTTAAGTCTGTGAGATGAATGCACACGTCACAAAGCAGTTTCTCAGATAGCTTCCTTCCAGTTTATATCCCTGGGTATTAACTTTTTTTGCCATAGGCGTCAATGTGCTCCCAAATATCCCTTTGCAGATTCTACAAAAGCAGTGATTCCAAACTGCTGAATGAAAAGACAGGTTTAACTTTGCGAGATGAATGCACACATCACAAAGGTATCTCTCAGAAAGCTTCTTTCTCATTTTTATCTGAAGATGTTTTCTTTTTCACCATAAGCCTCAATGTGCTCCCATATATCCCTTCATAGATTCTTCAAAAATGGTGTTTCCAAACTGCTGAATGAAAAAAAAGTTTTACCTCTGCAAGATGAATGCACCCATCACAAAGAAGTTTCTCAGAAACCTTCTATATACTTTTTTTCAGAAGGTATTTTCCTTGTCACCTCAGGCCTCATTGCACTCTCAATTGTCCATTTCAAGAATATACAAAAACATTATTTCCAAACTGCTGAATGAAAAAGAAAGGTGTAACTCTGGGAAATGAAATGCACACATCACAAAGCTGCTTCTCAGATACCTTCCTTCTAGTTTTTACCTCAGATATTCACTTTTATGTCATTGGTCTCAATGAGCTCCAAAATGTGCATTCACAAAATAGACAAAAACAAGGTTTCCAAAATGCTGAATCAAAAGAAAGGTTTATCCCTATGAGATGAATGGACAATTCACAAAGCATGTTCTCAGAAAGCTTCTTTCTTGTTTTAATTTGAAGACATTTTCTTTTTCACCATTGGCAACAATGTGCTCCCAACTGTCCACTCACAGAATGCACCAAAAGAGTGTTACTAAACTGCTTAATCAAAAGAAAGTTTTAACTCTGGGAGATGAATGCACACATCATGAAGCAGTATCTCAGATAGCTTCCTTCTAGTTTTTATAGAGGCATATTCCCTTTTTTGCCATTGGCCTCAATGAGCTCCTAAATGTTGATTCACAGAATGAACAAAAACAGTGTTTCCAATCTGCTGAGCCAAAAGAAAGGTTTAACTCCATGCAATGAATGCAAACATCACAAAGCAGTTTCTCAGCAAGAGTCCTTCTAGTTTTTATCTGAAGATATTTTCTTTTTCACCATAGGCCTCAAAGTGATCCCAAATGTCCATTCACAGAACATTAAAAAACAGTGTTTAAAAACCGCTGAATTGAAAGAAATGTTTATCTCTGGAAAATGAATGCGCACATCACAATGCAGTTTGCCAGATAGTCTCTTTCTTGTTTTTAAGCTGGGATATTCACTTGTTTGCCATTGGCCTCAATGAGGTCCAAAATGTCCATTAGCAGAATAGACAAAAAGAGTATTTCCAAATTGCTGAATCAAAAGAGAGCTTGAACTCTGAGAGATGAATGCACGCATAACAAAGCAGTTTCTCAGAAAGATTCAGTGAGCTCCCAAATGTCTCAATGAGCTCAGGGAGATCATTGAAACCAAAGGTGAAAAAGCAATTATCCCAGGATAAAAACTAGAAGGAAGAAATTTGAGAAAAAGGTTTGTGATGTGTGCATTCATCTCCTAGGGTTAAACCTTTCTTTTCATTCAGCAGTTTGGAAACACTGTTTTTGAAGGATCTGCAAAGGGATATTTGGGAGCACATTGAGGCCTGTGGTGAAAAGGAAAATATATTCTGATAAAAAGTAGAAAGAAGTTTTCTGAGAAACTTCTTGGTGATGTGTGCATTTAACTCACATATTTAAAACTTTCTTTTTATTCATCAGTTTGGAAACACTGTTTTTGTAGAATCTGTGAAGGGATATTTGGGAGCGCATTGAGGCTTATGGTGAAAAAGAAAATATCTTCAGATAAAAACTAGAAAGAAGCTTTCTGAGAAACTTCTTTGTGATTGTGCATTCATCTCACAGAGTTAAACCTTTCTTCTGATTCAGCAGTTTGGAAACACTGTTTTAGTCCATTCTGCGAATGGACATTTGGGAGCTCATTGAGGCCAAAAACAAAAAAGCAAATATCCCAGGATAAAAACTAGAAGGAAGCTGTCTGAGAAACTGCTTTGTGATGTGTGAATTCATCTCACAGAGTTAAAACATTCTGTTCATTCAGCAGTTTGGAAACACTGTTTGTGTAGAAGCTCCAAAGGGATATTTGGGAGCTCATTCAGGGCAGTGGCAAAAAAGTGAAAATCCCATGATTTAAACTAGAAGGAAACTATCTGAGAAACCGCTTTGTGATGTGTGCATTAATCTCACTGAGTTACAGATTTCTTTTCATTCAGCAGTTTGGAAACACTGTTTTTGTAGTATCTGCGAAGGCATATTTGGGAGTGCATTGAGGCCTATGGTGAAAAAGAAAATATGTTCAGATGAAAAATTGAAAGAGTCTTTCTGAGAAACTGCTTTGTGATGTGTGCATTCATCTCACAGAGTTAAACATTTCTTTTTATTCAGCAGTTTGGAAACACCATATTTGTCCATTCTGAGAACGGACATTTGGGAGCTCACTGAGGCCAGTGGGGAAAAAGCGAATATCCCAGGATTAAAAATAGAATGAAACTATGTGAGAAACTGGTTTGTGATGTCTGCATTCATCTTGCAAAATTAAACCTTTCTTTTTATTCAGCTGTTTGGAAAAACTGTTTTTGTAGAATCTGCCAAGGGATATTTTGGAGCGTTTTGAAGCCTATGGTGAAAAAGAAAATAACTTCAGATAAAAACTAGAAAGGATTCTGAGAAACTGCTTTGAGATGTGTGCATTAATCTCACAGAGATAAACGTTTCTTTGAATCAGCTGTTTGGAAACACTGTCTTTGTAGAATTTGTGAAGGGATGCTTGGGAGTGCATTGAAGCATGAGTTGAGAAAGGAAATATCTTCATAATAAAATTAGAAAGAAGTTCTCTTAGTAACTACTTTGTGAAGTCTTTATTCATCTCACAGAGTGAAGCCTTTCTTTTGATGGAGCAGTTTGGAAACACTGTCTGTCCATTCTGCGAGTGGACATTTGGGACCTCATTGAGGCCAATGTTGAAAAAGTGAATATCCCAGGATAAAAAGTAGTAGAAAGCTATCAGAGATACAGCTTTGTGATGTTTGCATTCATCTCACAGAGTTAAACCTTTCTTTTGATTCGGCAGTTTGCAAACACTGCTTTTGAAGAATCTGTGAAAGGACATTTGGGAATGCATTGATGCCTTTGGAGAAAAATAAAATATCCTCAGGTAAGAACTAGAAAGAAGCTTTCTGACAAACTGCTTTGTGATGTGTGCATTCATGTCACAGAGTTAAACATTTCTTTTAATTCAGGAGTTTAGGAACACTGATTTTGTGCATTCTGTGAGTGGACATTTCGGAGTTAATTGAGGCCAATTGTGAAAAAGCAAATGTCCCAAGATAAAAATTCGAGGGAAGCTATCTGAGATACTGCTCTGTGATGTGTTCATTCATCTCACAGAGAAAATTTTCTTTTGTTTCAGCAGTTTGGAAACACTGTTTAGAAAGAATCTTTCTGAGAAATTGTTTTGGGAAGTTTGCATTCATCTCACAGACTAAAACTTTCCTTTTGATTCAGCCGTGTGGAAACAGTGTTTTTGGAATCTGTGAAATGACATTTGGGATCATAATGAGGTCTATGGTGACAAAGAAAATATCTTCAGATTAAAAGCTTAAAGAAGCTTTCTGAGAAATTGATTTATGATGTGAGCATTCATATCATAGAGTTAAACCCTTATTTTAATTCAGCAGTTTGGAAACACTGTTTTTGTAAAATCTGTGAATTGACATTTGGGAGCTCATTGAGGCCAATGGTGAAAAAGTGAATATGCCAAAATAAAAATGGGTAGGAAGGTATCTGAGAAACCACTCTGTGATGTGTGCATTCATCTCACAGAGTTAATCCTTTCTTTTCATTCAGCAGTTTGGAAACATTATTTTTGTAAAATATGTAAAAGTCATTTGGGAGTGCTTTTCACCTATGTTGAAAAATAAATTATTTTCGGATAAAAACTAGAAGGAAGCTTTCTGAGAAACTGCTTTGAGTTGTGTGCATTCATCTCACAGAATTAAAGCATTCTTTTGATTCGGCTGTTTGTAAGCATTGTTTTTCTACAATGTGTGACAGGAATTTGGGATCATATTGAGATCTGTGGTGAAAAAGAAAATATCATCAGATAAAAACTATAAGAAAGATTTCTGAAGAACTGCTTTATGATGTGTGTATTCATCTCACAGAGTTAAACCTTTCTTTTGATTCAGCAGTTTGGAAACACTGTTTTTGTAGAATCTGAGAATGGGCATTTGGGACAACATTGAGCCCTGTGGTGAAAAAGGGAATATCCCTATAAGAAACTTGAAAGAATCTATCTGAGTAACTGATTTGTGGTGTGTGGATTCATCTCAAACAGGTAAAACCTTTTTTTGATTCAACAGTTAGGAAAAACTTTTTTTGTAGAGCCTGTGAAAGGACATTTAGGAGTGCATTGAAGTCTATGGTGAAAAAGCGATTATTTTTATATAAAAACTGGAAAGAAGCTATTGGTGAAACTGCTTTGCGATGTGTGGATTCATCTCACAGATTTAAATTTTTATTTTGATTAATCAGCTTGGAAACACTGTTTTTGCAGAATCTGCAGAGGGACACTTGACAGCTCCTTGAGTCCCATGATGAAAAAGTGAATATTCCCAGATTAAAACTAGAATGAATCTATCTGATGAAATGCTTTGTGAAGTGTGCATTCAACGCACAGAGTTAAACATTTCTTTTGATTGAGGAGTTTGGAAACACTGTTTTTGTAGAATCTGTGAAAGGACATTTCAGAGCGCATTGGTGCCTTTAGAGAAAAATAAAATATCTTCAGATAAAAACTAGAAAGAAGCTTTCTGAGAAACTGATTTATGATGTGTGCATTCATGTCACAGAGTTAAACATTTCTTTTGATTCAGGAGTTTGGAAACACTGTTTTTGTACATTCAGTGAGTGGACATTTCAGAGCTCATTGAGGCCAATTGTGAAAAACTGAATGTCCAAAGATAAAAACTCGTTGGAAGCTATCTGAGAATCTGCTCTTTGATGTGTTCATTCATCTCACAGTTATAAACCTTTCTTTTGTGTCAGCAATTTGGAAACACTGTTTAGAAAGAATCTCTCTGAGAAACTGCTTTGTGAAGAGTGCATTCATCTCTCAGAGTTAAACTTTTCTTTTGATTCAACAGTTTGGAAACACTGTTTTTTTAGAATCTGTGAAATGAGATTTGGAATCGTAATGAGGTCTATGGTGAAAAAGAATATCTTCATATTAAAAGTTTAAAGAAGCTTTCTGAGAAACTGATTCATGATGTGTGCATTCATCTCACAGAGTTAAACAATTACTTTAATTCAGCAGTTTGGAAACACTGTTTGTGTAAAACCTGTGAATGGACTTTTGGGAGCTCATTGAGGCCAATGGTAAAAAAGTGAATATCCCAAAATAAAAACTGGTAGGAAGATATCTGAGAAACCACTTTGTGATGTGTGCATACATCTCACAGAGCTAATCCTTTCTTTTGATTCAGCAGTTTGGAAACACTGCTTTTGTAGTATCTGGCAATGGACATTTGGGACTGCATTGAGGCCTATGGTGAAAAAGGGAATATACCTATAAGAAACTTGAAAGAATCTATCTGAGGAACTGATTTGTGATGTGTGGATTCATCTCAAAGAGTTAAATCCTTCTTTTCCTTCATCATTTTGGAAAAACTTTTTTTGTAGAGTCTATGAAAGGATATTTGGGAGTGTATTGAGGTCTATGGTGAAAAATGAATATCTTTATATGAAAACTGGGAAGAAGCTATAGGTGAAACTGCTTTATGATGTGTGGATTCATCTCAGAGTTTTAAATTTTTGTTTTGATTCATCAGTTTGGAAATACTGTTTTTGTAGAATCTGCAAAGGGGCATTTGAGAGCTCCTTGAGTCCCATGATGAAAAAGTGAATATTCCCAGATGAAAACTAGAATGAAGCTATCTGATGAACTTCTTTGTGAAGTGTGCATTCAACTCACAGAGTTAAACATTTCTTTTGATTGAGGAGTTTGGAAACACTGTTTTTATAGAGCCTGTGAATGGACTTTTGGGAGAGCATTGAGGCCTTTTTTGAAAAAGGAAATATATTTGGATATAAACCTGAAAGAAGCGATCTGAGATACTGTTTTTTGATGTGTGGATTCATCTCACAGAGTTAAATCCTTCTTTTGATTCAGCATGTTGGAAACACTGTTTTTGTAGAATCTCTGAAGGGACATTTGGAACTGACTGAGACCTGTGGTGAACAGGAGAATATCCCCAGTTACAAACTAGAAAGAATGTGCCTGAGAAACTCCTCTGTGATGTGTGCATCCATCTAAGAAAGTTAAACCTTGCTTTTGATTCAGTTGTTTGGAAACACTGTTTTTGTAGGACCTGTGAAAGGACATTTGGGAGTGCATTGAGGTCTTTGTTGAAAAAGCAAATATATTCAGATATAAACTGAAGGGAGTCTATCTGAGATACTGCTTTTTGATGTGTGCATTCGTCTCATAGAGTTAAACCATCCTTTTGATTCAGCAGTTTGGACACACTGTTTTTGTAGAATTTGTGAAAAGACATTTTTGAGCTCATTGAGGCCTTTGGTGATAAAAAGATATACCCAGATAAAAACTAGAAAGATGTTATCTGTCAAACTGCTTTGTGATGTGTGGAATCATCTCACAGAGTTAAACCTTTCTTCTGATTCAGCAGTTTGGAAACACTGTTTTTGTAGTTTCTGTGAAAGAACATTTGGGAGCACATTGAGGCCTATGGTGAAAAAGCGAATATCCCCAGATAAAAGTTAGAAAGAAGCTATGTGAGAAACTGCTTTGTGGTGTGTGCATTCAACTCACAGAGTTAGCCTTTCTTTTGATTCAACATTTAGGAAACACTGTTTTTTAGAATCTGTGAAGGAACATTTGGGAGCACTTTTAGATCTATGGTGAAAAAACATATATCCCCAGATAAAAACTAGAAAGAAGTTATCTTTGAAATTGATTTGTGATGTGTGGATTCATCTCAAAGATTTAAACCTATCTTTTGATTCAGTAGTTTGGAAACCACGTTTTTGTAGAATCTGCCAAGGGACACTTGGGAGCTCATTGAGAACAATGTTGGAAAAGCAAATATTCACTGATAAAACTAGAAAGAAGCTATATGTGAAAGTTATTTGTGATGTGTGGATTTATCTTCCAGTGTTAATCTTTTCTTTGGATTCAGCATGTTGGAAACACTGTTTCTGTAGAATCTGCAAAGGGATAGTTGGGAGTGCATTGAAGCCAGCCATGAAAGAGCGACTATCCCCGTATAAAAACAAGAAAGAAGCTATCTGCAAAACTGCTTTGTCATGTTTGGATTCAGCTGACCGAGTTAAGACTTCCTTTTCATTCAGCAGTTTGGAAACACTGTTTTTGTAGAATCTACAAAGGGACACTTGCAAACACATTGAGGCCTACAATAAAAAAGAAAATATTCGAAGATAAATCTTGAAAGAAGCTGCATGTGAAACTGCTTTGTGATGTGTAGATTCGTCTCACAGAGTTAAAGACTTGTTTCAATTCAGCAATTTTGAAACACTGTTTCTGTAGAATCCACAAGCAGACATTTGGGAGCCCATTGATGCCTATGGTGAAAAAGTGAATATCTCCAGATAAAAACCAGAAAGCAGCTTGCTGTGAACCTACTTTTTGATGTCTGGATTCATCTAAGAGAGTTAAAAATTTATTTTGTATTAGCAGTTTGGAAACACTGTTTTTGTAGAATCTCTGAAAGGTCATTTGGGAAGACATTGAGGCCTATGGTAAAGAGGCAAATATACCCAGATAAAACCTAGAAATAAGCTATTTGTTAAATTGTTTTGTGATGTATGGAAGCATCTCACAGAGATAAACCTTTCTTTGGATTCAGCAGTTTGGAAACTGTTTTTTTAGAATCTGTGAAGGGATATTTGGGAGTGCTTTGAGACCTGTGGTGAAAAAGTGAATATCCCCAGAAAGAAACTAAAAAAAAAAAAAAAAGAGCTATCTGTTAAACTTTTTTGGGATGTGTGGATTCATCTCACAGAGTTAAACCTTTCTTTTGATTCAGCAGTTTGGAAACACTGTTTTAGTAGAATCTGCAAAGGAACATTTCAGAGCTAATTGAGGCCCTGGCAGAGAAGTGTATATTCCGAGATAAAAACTAGAAAGAAGCTATCTGAGGAACTGCTTTGTGATGTGTGTATTCATCTGACAGAGTTAAACCTTGATTTTCAATCAGCAGTTTTGAAACACTGTTGTTGTAGAATCTACAAAAGGACATTTGGGAGCGCATTGACGGATATAGTGAAAAAGCGAATATCTCCACATAAAAACTAGAAAGAAGCTATCTGAGCAACTGTTTTGTGATGTGTGCATTCAAATGACAGAATGAAACTTTTCTTTTGATTCTGCAGTTTGGAAATTTTTTTTTTTGTAGAATCTGTGAAGGCACATTTGGGAGAGCTTGAAGCACATGGTGAAAAAGTGAATATCCTCAGATAAAAACTAGAAAAAAGTTGTCTGTGAAACTGCTGTTGCTGTGTGGATTCATCTAACAGAGTTAAGCCTTTCTTTTGATTTAGCAGTTTGGAAACAATGTTTTTGTAGAATCTGCAAAGTGCTCATTGATGCATATAGTGAAAAACAAATAACCCTAGATAAAAACTACAAAGAAGCTTTTTGTTAATCTGCCTTGGGATGTGTGGATTCATCTCACAGACTTAAAAATTTCCTTTGATTTAGCAGTTCGGAAACACTGTTTTTGTAGCAGCGTCAAAGGGACTTTTGGGAGTACATTGAGGCCTGTGGTAAAAAAGGAAATGTCCCCATATAAAAACCAGAAAGAATCTATCTAAGAAACTGTTTTGTGATGTGTGCATTCAACTCAGAGAGATAAACATTTCTATTCATTCAGCAGTTTGTACTACTGTTTTGTAGAACCTTTGAAGGGACATTAGGGAAGCCTTTGAGTCCTATGGTGAAAGGGCAAATATCCTCAAATAAAAACTACAAAGAAGCTATCTGTGAAACTGCTTTGTGAATGGTGCATTCATATCACAGATTTAAATTTTTCTTTTGATTCAACAGTTTGGAAAAACTGTTTTTGTAGAATCTGTGAAGGGAAATTTGGGAAGTCATTGAGGCCTAATGGGAAAAGGCAAATATCCAATGATAAAAACTAGAAAGAAGCTATCTGTGAAACTGCTTCATGATGTGTGCATTTATCTCTCAGAGTTAATCCTTTCTTTTGATTCAGCACGTTGGAAACACTATTTCTTTAGAATCTTCAAAGGGACATTTGGGAGGTCATTGAGGCCTATGGTAATGAAGAGAATATCCCCAATAAAAACTAGAAAGAAGATATGTGGAAAAGTATTTTGTGTGTGTAAATTCATCTGGCAGAGTTAACCCTTTCTTTTGATTCAGCAGTTTAGAAACACTGTTTTTGTAGAATCTATGAAGGGACATTTGGGAGGTCATTGAGGTCAATGGTGACAAAGAGAAAATCACAAGATAAAAACTAGAAAGAAGCTATCTGTGAACTGCTTTGTTATATGCACATTCATCTCACAGAGGGAAAACTTTATTTTGATTCAGCAGTTTGGAGACACTGTTTTTGTAGAATCTATGAAAGGACATTTGAGAGGGAATTGAGTCCTATGGTGAAAATGCAAACATCTCCAGATAAAAACTACAAAGAAGCTATCTGCAAAACTGCTTTGTGATGTATGGATTTATCTCAGACAGTTAAGACTTTCCTTTGATTCAGCACCTTAGAAAAACTATTTTTGTAGAATCTGCAAATGGATATTTGGGACCTCATTGAAATCTATGGTGAAAAAGAGTATATCCCCATATAAAAACTAGAAAGAAGATACCTGTTAGGCTGCATTGTGTTGTGTGGATTCATCTCACATTGTTAAACCTTTGTTTTGATTCAGCAGTTTGGAAACACTGATTTGTAGTATCTGCAGAGGGATATTTGAAATCTCTTTGAGGCCAAAAGTGAAATACTGAATATCTCCAGATAAAAACTAAAAAAAAAAATCTGTCTGTTAAACTGCTTTGTGATGTGTCAACTTATCTCATAGAATTAAACCTTTCTTTTGATTCAGCAGTTTGGAAAAACTGTTTTTGTAAAATCTGTAAAAGGACATTGGGAGTGAATTGAGTCCTGTGGTTAAAAAGGGAATAAACCCAGATAAAAACTAAAATGAAGCTATTGGTTAAATTGCTTTGTGTTGTGTGGATTCATCTCAGAGAGTTAAGCTTTTCATTATATTCAGCAGCTTGGAAACACTGTTTTTGTAGAATCTGTGAATGGATATTTTGGAACTCACTGAGACCAACGGTGAAAAAGTGAATATCCCCAGATAAAAAGTAGAATGAAGCTATCTGTGAATCCGCTTTGTGATGTATGGATTCATCTCAAAGAGTTAAATCTTTCTTTTGATTCAGCACATTGGAAACACTTTCTGTTGAATCTGTGAATGGATATTTGGGAGTGCATTGAGGACTATGGTGAAAAAACCGAATATCCCCAGATAAAAACTAAAAAGAAGCTACCTGTGAAACTGCTTTCTGATGTGTGGATTCATCTCACAGAGGTAAACTTTTCTGTTCTGCACTTTGGAAACATTTTTTTTTTTTTTGCAGAATCTGTGAAGGGACATTTGGGAGCTCATGAGGCCTATGGTAAAGAAGGTAATATTCACAGTTAAAAACTAGACAGAAGCTCTCTGTGAGACTGCTTTGTGATGTTTGTATTCATCTCACAGAGTTAAATCTTTCTTTCGATTCAGCTATTTGGAAACACTGTTTTGTAGGATCTGTGAAGGGACATTTGGGAACTCATTGATGCCCGTGGTGAAAAGGCAATTATCCCCAGATAAACACAGAAAGAAGCTATCAGTGAAACTGCTTTTTGATGTGTGGATTTGTCTCACAGATTTAAACCTCGATTTTGAATCACCAGTTTGGAAACACTATTTTTGTAGAATGTGCAAAAGGACATCTCAGAGAGAATAGTGGCCTGTGGTGAAAAAGCCAATATCCCCCGATAAAAAATAGGAAGAAGCTAACTGTGAAAATGCTTTGTCATGTGTGGATTTATCTCACAGAATTAAGCCTTTCTTTTGATTAGGATGTTGTAAACACTGTTTCTGTAGATTCTGTGAGGGACATTTTGGAACTCATTGAGACCTATGGTGAAAAAATGAATATCCCCAGATGAAAACTAGAAAGAAGCTATCTGTTAAGCTGCTTTGTTATGTGTGATTCATCTCAGAGAGTTAAAACTTCATTTTGATTCAGCATGTTGGAAACAGTCCTTTTGTAGTATCTGTGAAGGGTTATTTTGGGGAGCATTGAGGACTATACTGACAAACTGGATATCTCAAGATAAAAACTAGAAAGAAGTTTCTGTGAAGCTGCTTTGTGATGTGTGGATTTAACTCAGAGAGTTAAACCTTTCTTTTGATTCAACAGTTTGGAAAAAGTGTTATTGGGGAATCTATGAAGGGACATTTTTGGAGTGTTTTGAGGTCTATTGTGACAAACTGAATATCCCCAGATAAAAACTAGAAAGAAGCTACCTGTGAAACTGCTTTATGATGTCTGGATTTATCTCACAGAGTTAAACTTTTTTTTGATTCGGTAGGTTGGAAACAGTCCTTTTCAAGAATCTGCAAAGGGAGATTTCGTAGTGCATTGAGGCCTATTGTGAAAAAGCAAATATCTCCATATAAAAACTAGAAAGAAGCTATTTGTGAAACTGCTTTGTGACAGATGGATTCATCTCACAGAGTTAAGCCTTTCTTTTGATTCAGCAGGTTGGAAACAGTCCTTTTGTAGATTCTGGGAAGAGACATTTAGAGTGCATTCAGACCTGTGGTGTGGAAGAGAACATCCCCAGATAAAACTGGAAAGAAGCTATCTGTTAAATTGCTTTGTGATGTGTAAATTCATCTCACAGAATTAAGCCTTTTTTTTTCATTCAGCAGTTTTGAAACACTGTTGTGGTTGAGTCTGCGAAGGGACATTTGGGAGCTCATTGACACCTATGTTGTAAAACCAAATATCCCCAGATAAAAACTAGAAATAAGCTATCTGTGAAACTGCTTTGGGAAGTGTGGATTTATCTCACAGGGTTAAACTTTTTTTTTGATTCAGCAGTTTGGAAACACTGTTTTTGTAGAATCTACAAAGGGATAATTGAGTCTGCATTCTGGCCTATGTTGATAAATAGAATATCCCCAGATAAAAACTAGAAAGACGCTGTCTGTGAAACTGCTTTGTGATGTGTGGATTTACCTCAGGAAGTTAAACTTCTCTTTTCATTCAGCAGTTTGGAACACTGTTATTGTAGAAACTGTGAAGGGATGTTTTGGAGCTCATTGAGGCCTTTAGTGAAGAAGCAAATAACTCCAGATAAAAACTAGAAAGAAGTTATCTGTGAAACTGCTTTGTGATCTGTGGATTCTTCTCACAGGGTTAAAACTTTCTTTTGATTCAGCAGGTTAAAAATAGTCTTTTTGTAGAATCTGTGATGTGACATTTGGGAGCACATTGAGGCCTATGGTGGCAAACAGAATATACTGAGATAAAAACTAAAAAGAAGCTATCTGTGAAACTGCTTTGTCATGTTTGAATTCAACTCAGAGAGTTAAAACTTTCTTTTCCTTTAGCAGTTTGAAAACACTGTTTGCATAGAATCCACGAAGGGACATTTGGGAGCTTATTGAGGCCTATGGTGTAAAAGAAAATACATCCAGACAAAAACTGGAAGGAAGCTATCTCTGAAACTGCTGTGTGATGTTTGGATTCAACTCACAGAATTAAACTTTTCTTTTGATTCAGCAGTTTGGACACACTGTTTGTATAGAGTCTGTGAAGGGAAATTTAGGAGCACATTGAGGCCTATAGTGAAACTGTGAATATCCCCAGGTAAAAAGTAGAAAGAAGTTATCTGTGAAACTTCTTTGTGATATGTGCATTCTTCTCACAGAAATAAACTTTTTTTTATTCAGCACGATAGAAACAGTCCTTTTGCAGAATCTGTGAAAGGAAAATTGGGAGTGCATTCTGACCTGTGGTGATAAACTGCATATCCCCAGATAAAAACTAGAATGATGCTAACTGTGAAACTACTTTGTGATGAGTGGATTCAACTCAGAGTGTTAAAACTTTGTTTTGATGCAGCAGTTTGGAAACACTCTTTTTGAAAAATCTCTGTAGGGATATTTTGAGATGCATTTAGGCCTATGTTGAAAATGTGATTATCTCCAGATAAAAAATAAAAAGAATTTCTTTGTGAAACTGCTTTGTGATGTGTGGATTCTTCTCAGAGTTAAAACTTTATTTTGATTAAGCAGGTTGGAAACAGACTTTTTGTAGAATCTTAGAAGAGACATTTCAGAGCCATTGAGGCCTGGTGTAACAAACCAAATATCCCCACATAAAAACTAGAAAGAAGCTGTTTGTGACATGCTTTGTGTGTATGGATTCATTTCACAGAAAGAAATCTTGCTTTTGATTCCTTGGTTTGGAAACAATGTTGTTATAGAATCTGTGAAGGGACAATTTGGAGCTCATTGAGGCCTAGGGTGAAAAAGCAAATATACCCAGATAAAAACTAGAAGGAAGCTCTGTGTGAAACTGCCTTGTGATGTGTGGATGCATATCATAGTGTTAAACCTTTCTTTTGATTCAGCAGTTTGGAAATACTCTATTTGAAGAAGATAAAAACTAGAAATAAGCCATCTGAGAAACTGTTTTATGGTGTGTGCGTTAGTCTCACAGAGTTAATACTTTCTTTTGATTCAGCAGGTTAAAAACAGTCCTTTTGTAGGATCTGCCAAGAAGCATTTGGGAGTGCATTGTGGGCTATGGTGACAAACCGAATATCCCCAGATAAAAACTAGAAAGAAGCTATCTGTGAAGCTGCTCTGTGATGTGTGGATTCGTCTCAAAGATTTAAACCTTTCTTTTGATTTAGCAGAATGGAAATAGCCCTTTTGTAGAATCTCTCATACTGCTTTGTGATGTGTGGATTCATTTCACAGAGGTAAACCTTTCTATTGATTCAGCAGGTTGGGATCAGTCCTTTTGTAGAATCCACAAAGGGACATTTGATAGTGCATTGACGCCTATAGTGACAAACTGAATATCCAAAGATGAAAAGTAGAAAGAAGCCATCTGTGAAACTATTCCATGACGTGTGGATTCATCTCACAGAAGTAAAACTTTCTTCTGAATCAGCGGGTTGGAAACATTGCTTTTCTAGAATCCATGAAAAGACATTTGGCAACTTGTTGAGGCCTAAGGTGAAAAAGAGAATATCCCCAAATAAAAACTAGAAAGAAGTTAGCTGTGAAACTGTTTAGAGATGTGTGGATTCTTCTCACAGACTGGAACCTTTCTTTTAATTCAGCAGGTTGGAAACAGTCCTTTTTTAGTATCTGCAAAAGGACATTAGGGAGTACATTGAGAGCTACAGTGATAAACCAAATAACTCCAAATAAAAAGTAGAAAGAAGTTATCTGTGAAACTGCTTTGTGATGTGTGGATTCATCTCTCAGAGGTAAACCTTTCTTTTGATACAGCAATTTGGAAACACTGTTTTTGTAGAATCTGCAAAGGGGTATTTGGGAGCTCACTGAGGCCTATGGTGACAAACTAAATATCCCCATATAAAAACTAGAAAGAAGATATCTGTGAAACCCCTTTGTGATGTGTGGATTCAATTCAGAGAGATAAACCATTTTTTTGATTCAGCAGTTTTTAAACACTGTTTGAGTAGAATCTGCAAAGAGATATTTGGGGGCTCATAGAGGCTTATGGTGAAAAAGCCAGTATTGCAAGATAAAAACTAAAAAGAAGCTATCTGTGAAACTGCTTTGTGATGTGTGGATTCATCTCACAGAGTTAAGCTTTTCTGTTGATTCAGTAGTTTGCAAACACTTTTTTTGTAGAATCTGCAAATTGACATTAGTGAGCGCATCGAGGCCTATAGAGAAAAAGCCAATATCCCCAGATAAAAACTAGAAATAAGCCACAAGCTAACCTGCTTTATGACGTGTGGATTCATCTCAGAGAGTTAAAACTTCCTCTTGGTTAAGTAGTTTCAAAGCACTCTTGTTGTAGAATCTGTGAGGAAACATTTGGGAGCTCTTTTTGGCCTATGGTGAAAAAGCAAGTATCCAAAGATAAAAACTAGAGAGAGGCTCTCTGTGAAACCGCTTTGCAATGTGTGGATTCTTCTTACAGAACTAAACGTTCTTTTTCATTCAGCAGGTTGGAAACAGTCCTTTTTTAGCATCTGCAAAAGGACATTTTGGAGTGCATTGAGGCCTATGGTGACAAACTGAATATCCCCAGATAAAAACTAGAAAGAAGTTATCTGTGAAACTGCTTTGTGATGTATGGCTTCATCTCATGCAGTTTAACAATTCTCTTGATTAAGCAGATTGGAAATGCACTTTTTGTAGAATCTGCAAAGGGACTTTTGGGAGCCCCTCGAGGTCTATCAGAAAAAAAGAATACACCCAGATAAAAATTAAAAATAATCTATCTGTGAATCTGCTATGTGATATGTGGATTTATGTCACAGAGTTAAACCTTCCTTTGGATTCAGCTGTTTGGAGACACTCGTTTTGGAGAATACGTGAAAGGACACTTGGGAGCCCATTGAAGCCTATGTGGAAAACTGAATATACCCAGATAACAATTAGAAAGAAGCTATCTGTGTAAGTGCTTTGTGATGAGTCAATTCATCTCACAGATTTAAACTTTTCTTTTGACTAAGCAGTTTGGAAACACTCTAATTGGAGAATCAGTGAAAAGACTTTGGGAAGCCCCTTGAGGCCTATGAGAAAAAACGAAATATCCCAAGATAAAAACTAGGAAGAATCTCTCTGTAAAATTGCTTTGTCATATTTGGGTTCATCTCACATAGTTAAACGTTTGTTTTGACTCAGCAGGTTGGAATCACTTTTTTTGGAGAATCTGTGAAGGCACATTAGGAAGCCCATTGATGCCTATGGGGAAAAACTGCATATCCCCAGATAAAAACCAGAAAAACTATCTGTGAAACTGCCTTGTGATGTGTGGATTCATCTCACAGAGTTAAACCTTTCTTTTGATTCAGCAGGTTGTAAATGGTCTAACTGAAGAATTTTCTAAATGACATTTTGGAGCCTGTTGCAGCCTATGGGGAAAAACCAAATATCCTCAAATAAAAACTAGAAAGAAGTTGTCTGTGAAACTGCTTTGTGATGTGTGGATTCATCTCACAGAGTCAAACCTTTTTTTTATTCATGAGGTTGAAAACGCTGTTTTTCTAGAATCTTTGAAAGGACATTTGGGAGCCCATTGAGGGTTATGAAAGAAGCTATCTGTGAAACAACTTTGTGATGTGTGGATTCAGGTCACATAGTTAAAACTTTATTTTCATTCAGCAGGTTGGAAACACTCTTTTTGGATGATCTGTAAAGGGAAATTAGGGAGCCCATTGAGGCCTATGGGGAAAAACTGAATATCCCCAGATAAAAACTAGAAAGAAGCTATCTGTGAAACTCCTTTGTGATATGTCAATTCATCTCACAGAGTGAAACGTTTATTTTGATCCACCAGGTTGGGAACACTCTTTTTTCAGACTCTGTGAAGGGACATTATGGTGTCCATTGAGGCTTATATGTAAAAACAAAATATCCCCAGATGAAAACTAGAAAAAAGCTATCTGTGAAAAAGCTTTGTGTTGTGTGGATCCATCTCAAAGAGTTAAACAACTCTTGTGATCCAGCAGGTTGTAAATACTCTTTTTTGGAGAATCTGCAATGGGACATTTGGGAGCCCATGGAGGCCTATGGAAAATAAGTTAATATCCCCAGATAAAGCTAGGAAGAAGCTCTCTGTGAAACTGTTTTGTGATATGTGGATTCATCTCACAGAGCAAAAGCTTTTTTTGATTCAAAAGGTTGGAAACACTCTTTTTTGAGAATCTGCAAAGGGACATTTGGGAGCACATTGAGGCCTATGGGGAAAAAATAAATATCCCCAGATAAAAACCAGACAGAAGCTATATCTGAAACTGCTTTGTGATGTGTGGATTCATCTCACAGAGTTAAACATTTTTTTTTTATTTAGCAGGTTGGAAAAATTCTTTTTGGAGAATCAACAAAGTGACATTAGGAGCCCATTTAGGCTCCCTCAGAATATCCTCACAATATCCTCAGATGAAAACTACAAAGAAGCTATCTGTGAAACGATTTGTGGCATGCAGCTTCATCTCACAGAGTTAAACTGTTCTTTTGATTCAGCAAGTTAGAAACACTCTTTTTGGAGATTCTGTGAAAGGACATTTGGGAACCCATTGAAAACTAAGGGGAAAAATTGAATATTTCCAGATAAAAAACTGGAAAAGAGATATCCATGAAACTGCTTTATGAGGTTTCAACTCATCTCACAAACTTAATCCTTTATTCTGATTCAGCAGGTTGGGAGCACTCTAATTGGAGAATCAGCAAAGGGACATATAGGAGCCTATTTAGACTTATGGGGAAAAATCAAATATCCTCAGTTAAAAACAAACAAAAAGCTATCCGTGAAACTGCTGTGTGATGTGTGGATTCATCTCAGAAAGTTGAGATTTTCTTCTTATTCAGCAGGTTGGAAACACTGTTTTTGGAAAATCTGGAAAGGGACATTTGGGAGCCCTTTGAGGCCTGTGGGAAAAACCGAATATCCCCAGATAAAAACTAGAAAGAAGCTATCTGTGAAACTGCTTTGTGATGTGTGGATTTATTTCACAGAATTAAAACTTTCTTTTGATTCCACAGGTTGGAAACACCATTTTTGGAAAGCATGTGATGGGACATTTGAGAGCCCCTTGAGGCTTATGGGAAACTCTAAATATCTCCAGATAAATACTCAAATGAAGCTATCTGTGAAACTGCTTTGTGATGTGTGGATTCATCTCATAGAGTTAAACCTTTCCTTTGATTCAGCAGGTTGGAAACCCTCTTCTTGGAAAATATGTGATGGTATATTTGGGAGCCCATTGAGGCCTTTGGGGAAAAACAGAATATTCCCAGATCAAAACTATAAAGATGCTATCTCTGAAACTACTTTGTGATGTGTGGATTTATCTCAGACAGTTAAACCTTCCTTTTGATTCAGCAAGTTGGAAACACTCTTTTGGGGAATCTGTGAAGGAATACATTGTAACCCTTTGAGGACATTGGGGAAAATCAAATATTCCCAGATAAAAACTAGAAAGAAGCCATGTGTGACACAGCTTTGTGATGTGTGGATTAATTTCACAGCATTAAAACTTTCTTTTGATTCTGCAGGTTGGAAACACTTTTTTTTTGGAGAATCTTCAAAGAGAAATTAGCAAGCACATTGTGGCATACATGAAAAAGCAGAATATTCCCAGATAAAACATTGAAAGAAGGTTTTATTCAGCAGGATGGAAACACTCTCTTTGTAGAATCTATGAAGGCACATTTGGGAGCCATTTGAGACCTATCAGGAAAAAAAGGATATCCCTAGATAAAAAAACACAAATAAGCTACCTGTGAAACTTCTTTGTGATGCATGGATTCAGATTACAGAGCTAAACCTTTCTTATGATTCCACAGTTTGGTAAAACTCTTTTTGGAGAATCTGTGATGGGACTTTTGGAAGTTTTTTGAAACTTATGAAAATAAATTGAATATCCCCAGATAAAAACTACAAAGAATTTTTATGTGAAATGCTTTGTGATATGTAGATTCATCTCACAGAGTTAAATTTTTCTTTTGATTCAGCATGTTGGAAACACTCTTTTTGGAGAATCTGCAAAGGGACATTTGGAAGCCCACTGAGGTCCTTGGAATAAAAACCAAATATCCCCAGATAAAAGAGAACAAAAATGCTGGCTGAAATGGCTTTGTGATGTGTGTATTCAATTCACAGATTTAAAATTTTATTTTGATTCAGCAAGTTGGAAGCATTCTTTTGGAGCATCTGTGAAGGGACATTTTGGAGTTCATTGTAGCCTATGGGGAAAAACTGAATATCAGAGATAAAAATTAAAAACAAGGTATCTGTGAAACAGTATTGTGATGTGTGGATGCATCTCACGAGTTAATGTTTTCTTCTTGTTCAGAGGGTTGCAAACACTCTTTTTGTAGAATCTGTGAAGGGACATTTTGGAGTTCCTTAAGGCCTATGGGGAAAATCGAATATCACCACATAACAACCACAAAGAAGCTATTAGTGAAACAGCTTTGTGATAGGTGGATTCGTCTCACAGTGTTAAACCTTTCTTTTGATTCAGCAGGATTAAAACAGTCTTTTTGAGAAACTGTGAAGACACATTTCAGAGCCCATTGTGGCCTACAAAGAAAAATAGAATATCACCAGATAGAAAAACGAAAGAAGCTATCTGAAACTGCTTTGTGATGTGTATTCATCTCATGGAGTTAAAATTTTCTTATGATTCTGCAGGTTGGAAATACTCTTTTTGGAAAATATGTGATGGGACATTTGAAAGCCCATTTAGGCCTGTGAAGGAAAACAGAATATCTCCAGATAAAATCTAGAAAGAAGATATCTGCTTTCTGATGTGTGGATTCATCCCATAGCATTATATCTTTCTTTTGATTCAGCAGACTGTAAATGCACTTCCTGGAAAATATGCGATGGGACATTTGGGAGCCCATTGAGGCCTATGGGGAAAACAGAATATCCTGATAAAAACTAGGAAGAAGCTCTGTGTCATACTACTTTGTGATGTGTGGATTTAACCCACAGAGTTAAAACTTTCTTTTGATTCAGGCGGTTGGAAACACTCTTTTGGTTAATCTGCAAAGGGACAAATGATAACCCATTGAGGTCTATGAGGAAAAACTGAATATACCAAGATAAAAACTAAAAAGAAGCTATTATTTGTGAAATGGCTTTGTGATGGGTGGATTAATCTCACAGTGCTAAACAATCATTTTGATGCTGCAGGTTTGAAACAATTTTTTTGTAGAATCAGCAAAGGGACTTTTGGGAGCTCATTGAGGCCTCTAGTGAAAAAGCGAATATCCCCAGATAAAAACTAGAAAGAAGCTATCTGTGAAACTGCTTTGTAATATGTTGATTTATCTCACAGAGTTAAATTTTTCTTCTTATTCGCACGTTGGAAGCCCTCCTTTTGTAGAATCTGCAAAGGTACATTTGGAAGCCCATGGAGGCCTATTAAGAAGCACCAAATATCCCCAGATAAAAACTAGAAAGAAACTCTCTGTGAAACTGCCTTGTGAAGTGTGGATTCAGCTCACAGAGTTAAACCTTTGTTTTGATTCAGTAGGTTGGAAACACTCTAATTGGAGAATCTGAAAACTGACATTTGTGAGCCCACTGAGGCCTCTGGTGAAAAACCGAGTATCCCCAGATAAAAACTTGAACGAATTTATCTGTGAAACGGCTTTGAGATGTGTGGTTTCATCTCACAGTGTTAAAACTGTCTTTTGTTTAAGCAGGATGGAAACATTGTTTTTGGAGAATCTGTGAAGTGACACTTGGGGGCCCATTGAGACTCAGGGTAAAAACAGAACATCCCTAGATAAAAACTAGAAACAAGCTATTTGCAAAAATGCTTTGTGATGTGTGGATTCATCTTAGAGAGTTAAATGTTTCTTCTTATTCAGCAGTCTGGAAACACTCATTTTGTAGTATCTGTGAAGGGACATTTTGGGGCCTTTGTAGGCCTATGGGTAAAAACAGAATATTACCAGATAAAAACATAAAAGGAGTTATCTGTAAAACAGCTTTGTGATGTGGGGATTCATCTCACAAAGTTAAACATTTCTTTTGGTTCAGCATGGTGGAAACACTCTTTTTGGAGAATCTTCGATGGGACAATTGGGAGCCCATGTAGACCTATGGGGAAAAACCGGATATCCCCAAATAGAAACTACAATGCAGCTATCTATGAAACTACTTTGTGATGTGTGGATTCTTCTCACAGAGAAAAAAAACCTTTCTTTTAATTCAGCAGTTTGGAACCACTTTTTTCTGTAGATTCTGTGAATTGAAATTTGGAAGCAAATTGAAGACTAATGGGAAAAACTGAATATCCCGATAAAAACTAGAAATAATCTACCTGTGAAACTACTTTGTGATGTCTGAAATCATCTCACAGAGTTAAACCTTTCTTTTGATTCAGCACGTTGGACTCACTCTTTTTGGAGAATCTGTGAAGGGACATTTAAGAACCCCTTGGGGCCTAAGGGGAAAAACAGTATATCAGCAGACAGAAAATCCAAAGAAACTATCTGTGAAACTGCTTTGTGATGTGTGGATTCATCTCACAGAGTTAAACCTTTCCTTAGATTTGGCACGTTGGAAACACACTTTTTGGAGAACCTGCAAAGGGATATTTGGAAACCCATTAGGGCCTATGGGGAAAAACAGAATATCCCAAGATAAAAACTACAAAGAAGCTTTCTGTGAAACTTCTTTCTGATGTTTGATTTCATCTCACAAAGTTCAGCCTTTCTTTTGATTCAGCAGGTGGAAACAGTCTTTTTGAAGTATCTGGAAAAGACATTTGGGAGTTCATTGAGGCTACTAAAGAAAAACTGAATATCCCCCAATAAAAACTAGAAAAAAGGTGTCTGGGAAACTGCTTTGTGATGTGTGGACTCATCTCAGAGACTTAAACTTTTCTTTTGATTCAGCAGCTTGGGAAGACTTTTATCATAGAATCTGTGAAGGGACATTTCAGCACCCATTGGGTCCTATGGGGAAATATCAAATATCCCCAGATAAAAACTAGAAAGAAGCTATCTGCGAAATTTTTGTGATGTGTGGATTCATCTCACAATTTTAAATATTTCTTTTGATTCAGTAGGATGGAAACACTCTTTTTGGAGAATCTGTGAGGGAGCATTTGGGAGCCCATTGAGGCCACTGGGGAAAAACCAAATATCCCCAATTGAAAATTAGATAGAAGCTCTCTATGAAACTGCTTTGTGATGTGTGGATTCTTCTCACAGAGAAAAAAACTTTCTTTTGTTTCAACAGTTTGGAAACAGCCTTTGTTTAGTATCTGTGAAAAGAAATTTGGGACCCAATTGAAGCCTAATTGGAAAAACTGAATATCCCCAGATAAAAACTAGAATGAAGCTATATGTGAAACTACTTTGTGATATATGGATTCATCTCACAGAGTTAAACCTTTGTTTTGACTCAGCATGTTGGAAACACTCTTTTTGCAGAATCTGCGAAGGGACACTTGAATGTCCAATGAGGCCTATGTGGAAAAATTGAATATCCTTAGATAAAACTGGAGAGAAGCTACCTGTGAAACTGCTTGTAATGTGTGGATTTAACTTACAGCAGTAAATTTTTTTTTTATTCAGTAGGTTGGAAACATCCTTTTTGTAGAATCTGTGAAGGGACATTTGTGAGCCCATTTATGCCTGGGGTAAAAACGGAATATCCCCAGATAAAAACTAGAAGGAAGCTATCTGTGAAACTGCATTTTGATGTGTGGATTCATCTTACAGAGTTAATTCTTTCTTTGGATTCAGTGGGTGGAAAACATTCTTTTTGGAGAATATGAAATGGGACATTCAGGAGCACTTTGGGGTGTATGGGGAAAAACTGAATATCACCAGATAAAAACTACAAAGAAGGTATGTATGAAACTTCTTTGTGATTTGTGGATTCAACTGACAATGTTAAATCTTTCTTATGATTCCACAGGTTGGAAATACTTTTTTTGGAGAATCTGCGAAGGGACATTTGGGAGTCGTTTGAGGCCTATAGGGAGAAACCGAATATTTCCAGAAAAAAACTAGAAAGAAGCTATCTGTAAAACTGCTTTGTGTTGTGTGAACTCATGTGACAGAGTTTAAGTTTTCTTTTCATTCAGCAAGTTGCAAACACTCTTTTTGGAGAATCTGCGAAGGGACATTTGAAAGCCCATTGAGGCCTATGCAAAAAAATGGAATATTCCCAGATAAAAACTAGAAAGAAGCTATCTGTGAAACAGCTTTGTGATGCGTGGATTCATTTCATAGTGTTAAAACTTTCTTTTGATTCAGCAGGTTGGAAACAGTCTTTTTGTAGAATCTGCAAAGGGACATTGGGAGCCCATTGGAGCCTACTGAAACTGCTTTGAGATGTGTGGATTAATCTCACAGAGATAACTTTTTCTTCTTGTTCAGCAGGTTGGAAAAACCTATTTTGTAGAATCTGCAAGGGGATATTTGGATCCCTTTGAGGCCTATAGGGAAAAATCGAATATCCAAGATAAAAGCTACAAAGAAGCTATGTGTGAAACTTCTTTTTGACGTGTGGATTCAACTGGCAATATTAAATCTTTCTTATGATTCCACAGGTTGGAAATACTCCTTTTGGAGAATCTGCAAAGGGACATTTGGGATTCCTTTGAGGCCTATAGGGAGAAACCAAACATTTCCAAATAAAAACTAGAAAGAAGCTATCTGTGAAATGGCTTTGTGGTTTGTGAACTCACCTGACAGAATTTAAGTTTTCTTTTGATTCAGCAGGTTGAAAACACTCTTCTTGGAGAATCAGCAAAGGGACATTTGGGAGCCCATTGAGGCCTACTGAAACTTTTGTGTGATGTGTGGATTCATCTCACTGAGTTAAATTTTTCTTCTTATCCAGCAGGTTGGAAACACTTTTTTTGTAGAATCTGTAAAGGGACATTTGGATCCCTTTGAGGCCTATAGGGAAAAACAAAATATCCCCAAATAAAAACTACAAAGAAGCTATGTGTGAAACTTCTTTGTTATGTGTGGATTCAAATGACAATGGTAAATCTTTCTTATGTTTCTGCATGTTGAAAATACTTTTTGGAGAATCTGTGAAGGGACATTTCAGAGTCCTCTGAGGCCTATAGGGAGAAAGTGAATTGCTGAGACCAGCTCTGTTGGGGAGACCCTAACCCAGAGGCACTAAAGTAATTAAAGACAGGCACACAGAAATATAGAGGTGTGAAATGGGAAATCAGGGATCTCACTGCCTTCAGAGTTGAAAGCCCTGAACAGAGATTTACCCAAGTGTTTATTAACAGCAAGCCAGATATTAGCACTGTTTCTATAGATATTAAATTAACTAAAAGTATCCTTTATGGGAAATGAAGGGATGGGCTGAATTAAAGGAATGGGTTGGGCTAGTTAATTGCAGCAGGAGCATGTCCTTAAGGCACAGATCACTCATGCTATTGTTTGTGGCTTAAGAATACCTTTAAGCGGTTTTCTGCCCTGGGCAGGCCTGGTGTTCCTTTCCATCGTTCCTGTAAACACATAGCCTTCCAGCGTGGGCATTACGGCCCTCATGAACCTGTCACAGTGCTGCAGAGACTGTTTATGGCCAATTTGGGAGCCAGTTTATGGCCAGATTTTGGGTGGCTTGTTCCCAACAGCGAATATTTCCAGATACAAGCTAGAAAGAAGCTATTTGTGAAACTGCTTTGTGTTGTGTGAACTCATCTGACAGAGTTTAAGTATTCTTTTGATTCAGCAGGTTGGAAACACTGTTTTTGGAGAATCTGTGAAGAGACATTTGAAAACCCATTAATGCCTATGGAAAAAAACAGAATATCCCCAGATAAAACTAGAAAGAAGCTATCTGTGAAGCTGTTTTGTGATGTGTGGATTCCTTTCACAGATTTAAAAAATTCTTTTGATTCACCATGTTGGAAACACTTTATTTGGAGAATCTGCAAAGGGACATTTGGGAGCTTTTTGTAGCCTATGAGAAAAAAATGAATATCCCCAGACAAAAACTAAAAACAAGCTATCTGTGCTATCTGTGAAAGTACTTTGTGACATGTGGATTCATATGAAAGACAAAACTTTCTTATGATTCAGCAGGTTGGAAACAGTCTTTTTGGATAATCTGCAAAGGGACACTTGGGAGCCCATTGAGGCCTGTGGGGAAAAAACGAATATCCCCAAATAAAAACTAGAAAGTTGGTATCTATGAAACTTCTTTGCAATGTGTGGATTCCTCTCGCAGAGAGAAACCTTTCTTTTGATTCACCAGTTTGGATACACTCTTTCTGTGGAATCTGAGAAGGCTAATTTGGGTGTCAATTGAGGCCTAATGGGAAAACCTGAATATTCCCAGGTAAAAACTAGAATGAAGCTATCTTTGAAACTCCCTGAGATGTGAAAATTCATCTCATAAAGCTAAATCTTCCCTTTGATTCAGCAGTTTTGGAGCATTATTTTTGTAGAATCTGTGAAGGGATGTTTAGGAACCTCTTGAGGCCTATGGGGAAAACAGAATATCCCCAGATAAAAGCTAGAAAGAAACGGTCTGTTTTCTACATACGGCTAGCCAGTTTTCCCAGCACCATTTATTAAATAGGGAATCGTTTCCCCATTGCTTCTTTTTCTCAGGTTTGTCAAAGATCAGACAGTTGTAGATATGCAGTGTTATTTCTGAGGGCTCTGTTCTGTTCCATTGATCTATATCTCTGTTTTAGTACCAGTACCATGCTGTTTTGGTAACTGTAGCCTTGTAGTATAGTTTGAAGTCAGGTAGTGTGATGCCTCCAGCTTTGTTCTTTTGGCTCAGGATTGACTTGGCGATGCGGGCTCTTTTTTAGTTCCATATGAACTTTAGTTTTTCCAATTCTGTGAAGAAAGGCATTGGTAGCTTGATGGGGATGGCATTGAAACTGTAAATTACCTTGGGCAGTATGGCCATTTTCACGATATTGATTCTTCCTACTCATGAGCATGGAATGTTCTTCCATCTGTTTGTATCCTCTTTTATTTCCTGAAAGCTGAAAGTGGATCCCTTCCTTACACCTTATACAAAATTCAATTCAACATGGATTAAAGACTTAAACGTTTGACCTAAAACCATAAAAATCCTAGAAGAAAACCTAGGCATTACCATTCAGGACATAGGCATGGGCAACGACTTCATGTCTAAAACACCAAAAGCAATGGCAACAAAAGACAAAATTGACAAATGGGATCTAATTAAACTAAAGAGCTTCTGCACAGCAAAAGAAACTACCATCAGAGTGAACAGGCAACCTACAAAATGGGAGAAAATTTTCACAACCTACTCATCTGACAAAGGGCTAATATCCAGAATCTACAATGAACTCAAGCAAATTTTCAAGAAAAAACAAACAACCCCATCAAAAAGTGGGCGAAGGACATGAACAGACACTTCTCAAAAGAAGACATTTATGCAGCCAAAAAACACATGAAAAAATGCTCATCATCACTGGCCATCAGAGAAATGCAAATCAAAACCACAATGAGATACCATCTCACACCAGTTAGAATGGCAATCATTAAAAAGTCAGGAAACAACCGGTGCTGGAGAGGATGTGGAGAAACAGGAACACTTTTACACTGTTGGTGGGACTGTAAAGTAGTTCAACCATTGTGGAAGTCAGTGTGGCGATTCCTCAGGGATCTAGAACTAGAAATACCATTTGACCCAGCCATCCTATTACTGGGTATATACCCAAAGGACTATAAATCATGCTGCTATAAAGACACATGCACACTTATGTTTATTGCGGCATTATTCATCCTTTGTAGGGACATGGATGAAATTAGAAATCATCATTCTCAGTAAACTATCGCAAGAACAAAAAACCAAACACCGCATATTCTCACTCATAGGTGGGAATTGAACAATGAGATCACATGGACACAGGAAGGGGAATATCACACTCTGGGGACTGTTGTGGGGTGGGGGGAGGGGGAGGGATAGAATTGGGAGATATACCTAATGCTAGATGACGAGTTAGTGGGTGCAGCGCACCAGCATGGCACATGTATACATATGTGACTAACCTGCACAATGTGCACATGTACCCTAAAACTTAAAGTATAATAAAAAAACAGACCCATGGACCAAGAAGAATAAGTAGGAGGTAGAGGAAAGCCTAGAGGTATAGAAGACCAAATCGATGATGGCATGGAGGTGCAGATAAGGTTACTATGTGAAGGATAATTTGGTGAGATTAACCTCGTAAAATGGTGAAGTGATTCTTTGGATGGTAATAATTGCATGAAGTAGAAAAGAATTCATTTGCTTTGGAAGAAAAAGCCTTAGATTCTAGCTTCTTACCTGCCATTTTTACTCTGTATCTTGGGAACAAATCACCTCACCCTTCTTGGAATACCTGTTGGTTTATCTAAATAGCCAGCCTCCTGAGGGATTTGTTTCTTCTGCCATTCAAACTGTATGTTTGCACAAAGACCTATTATTAGAAGGTTTGACTCCATCCTTTAACCACTGGTTACATTGATTGGTACAGGGATGGTCATCCAACCCAAACTTTGCTAAACAACAGAGCCCTTTCTAGGGCATTTATTTTCAAATTGTATCAAAACGAGAATTTTCCCTTTTCTTGTTCTGGGAATTATTAGATGGGATACTAGAGAGCTGTCAGCTCCTACAATTTTATTTTATTTTTTTACAATGTTGAGGTAGCTGTTCTGCAATGAGAGAGAGTAAAGACAATATACCAAAAAAAGCATAGACAAGAGATATAGAGGCCTATTGGGAGTAAGGTCCCTGAATTTTGTTGACACTTAATTTTATCTACTTCTTCCCTGTGGTTTGCCTGTCCAGAATTCTGTTTGATTCTGTTATTTTTCCAATGAATTGTCTACTTTGCCTTGGTCAGCTTAAGTTGCGATTCTGTCCCTTGTAATCTAAAGAATCCCAGTGAACACATTTCCAAAGCAATTTCCTTATGTCTAGGAATGTGTAGGCGTGAGACACAATTAGTTATTATTATTATTGAAATAGAACAGTCGGTAGTTTGAATTCACCTGAATGTGATATTTCCAACTGCAGCCTTTGAGAAGATTGACTGTATTAGAGGTGCTAGGGTGAGATTTACTGTACTTTTAGATGCTATTTTTCTAGAAGATCCAAGAGCATGTGCATTCTGCTTTGAACCAGTAATCTCTGTCTTAAAAAAATTCCATTCCAAAGATTGTGTGTGTGTGCATTTGTGTGTGTGTGTGTGTGTGTGTATAGAAAATGTGACACTGGGCAACAATGTAATTATTAGCTCATTAAAAGTAATCTTCAAAGAAAAAAAAGAAAGAAATGGTATGTGAAACTGCTTCATAATGTGAGCATTCATCTCATAAAATTAAACATTTCTTTTGATTCAGCAGGTTGTAATGACTCTTTTTGTAGTATCTGTGAAGGGACATTTGGGAGACCATTGAGACCTATGGCAAAAAAAGCGAATTTCCCCAGATAAAAACTACAAGGAAGTTAATTGTGAAACTGCTTTGTGATGTGTGGATTAATCTCACAGAGTTAAACCTTTCTTTTGATTCAGCTTCTTGGAAACACACTTTTTGTAGAATCTGCAAAGGGACATTTGGGAGCCAATTGAGGCCTATGGGGAAAACAAAATATCTCCAGATAAAAACTAGAAAGAAGATATCTCTGATACTGTTTTGTGATATGTGGAGCACCTCACACAGTTTAACCTTTCTTTTGCTCCAGCAGCTGGGAAACACTCTTTCTGGAGAATCTGAGAAGGGACAATTGGGAGCCCATTGAGGCCCAAAGGGAAAAACTGAATATCCCCAGACAAAAACGAGAATGAAATTATCAGTGAAACTGATCTGTGATATGTGGATTCATCTCATAGAGTGAAAACTTTCTTTTGATTCAGTAGGCCAGAAATACTCTTTGTAGAATCATCAAAGGGGCACTTGAGAGCCCATCAAGGCTTTTGAGGAAAAAGTGAATAAACTCAGATAAAAACTAGAAATAAGCTATCTGTGAAACTCCTTTGTGATGTTGGGGTTCCTCTCATAAAGCTAAATATTTCCCTGGATTCAGCAGATTGGAAACCCTCTTTTTGTAAAAACTGTGAAGGGAGATTTGGGAGCCCAGACACGCCTAGCGGAAAAACTGAATATCCCAAGATAAAAACCAGAAAGAACCTATCTGTGAAAATGCTTTGCAATGCGTGGATTCATCACACAGAGTTTAATTTGTTCTTTGATTCAGCAGGTTGGAAACACTATTTTGCAGAAATCATGAGAGGACACTTTGCCAGTCAAAGAGGCCTATGGGAAAAATCAAATATCCCAAGATAAAAACTAGAAAAAAGCTTTCTCTGAAACTGCTTTCTAATGTTTGGATACATCTCACAAAGTTAAACATTTCTTTAGATTCAACAGGTGAGAAACAGTTTTTTGAAGAATCTGCAAATGGACATTTGAGAGCCCATTAAGGCCTATGGGGAAAAATAAAATATCCCCAGATACAAACTAGAAAGAAGCTCTCTGTGAAACTGCTTTGTGATGTGTGGATTCATCTCACAGACTTAAACCTTTAAAATTTTTTGATTCATAAGGTTGAAACACTCTTTTCATAGAATCTGCAAAGGGACAATAAAGAGCCCATTGGAACCTGAGGACAAAAAACAGACTATCCCCAGATAAAAACTAGAAAGCAACTGTCTGTGAGACTGCTTTGTGATGTGTGCATTCATCTCACAGATTGAAACTTTCTTTTGATTCAGCAGGTTGGAAACTCTTTTCGGGGAATTTGTGAAGAAACATTTGGGAGCTTATTGAGGCCTATGGAAAAACAATGGCTATCTCCAGATAAACACTAGAAAGAAGCTATCAGTGAAATTGTATTGTAATATGTGGATTCATCTTACCAAGTTATATCATTGTTTTGATTCAGCAGGTTGCAGAAACTTTTTTAAAAGAACCTGTGAAGGACCTTTTGAGAGCCCAATGAGAACTGTGGGGAAAACCTCATATCCCCGGATAAAATCTAGAAAGAAGCTATCTGTGAAACTGCTTTGTAATGTGTGGATTCATCTCACAGAGATAAACCTTTATTTTGATTGAGCAGGTTAGAACCACACTTTTTGGAGAATCAGTGTGGGGGCATTTTGGAGTCATTGAGGCCTATCAGGAAATACAAAATATCCCCAGATAAAAATTAGAGAAAAGCTATCTGTGAAACTGCTTTGTGATGTGTGGATTTATATCACAGAGTTGAACCCTTCTTTTGATTCAGCTCTTTGAAACAACTCTTTTGGAGAATATGCAGAGGGATATTTGGGAGCCAATTGTGGCCCATGGGGAAAAACTGAATATTCCCAGATTAAAACTAGAAAGAAGCTTTCTGTGAAACTACTTTGTGATGTGTGGATTCATCTTACTGAGTTAAACATTTCCTTTGATTCAGCTGGTTGGAGCCACTATTTTAGGAGAATCTGTGAAGGGACGTTTAGGAGCCCATTGAGGTCTATGGGGAGAAACAAAATATCCCCAGATAAAAACTGAAAACAATCTATCTGTGAAACTGTTCTGTTATGTGTGGATTCAAATCACAGAGGTACACCTATTTTTGATTCAGCTGGTTGGAAACATTCTCTTTGGAGAATGTGGGAAAGGATATTTGGGAGCCGACTGTGACCTACAGGGAAAAACTGAATATCCCCAGATTAAATTGAAAAACAAGCTATCTGTGAAACTGCTTTGTGATGTGTGGATTCATCTCACATAGGTAAAACTTTATTTTGATTCAAGAGGTTGGAACCTCTTTTTTTGTAGAAACTGTGAAGGGACATTTGGGAACACATTGACGCCTATGTGGAAAAAGTGAACATCCCCAGATAATAAGTAGAAAGGAGCTACCTGTGACACTGCTTTGCGATGTGTGGGTTCTTCTCACAGAGTTAAACAGTTCTTTGGATTCAGCACGCTGAAAGCACCATTTTTGGATTATCTGGGAAAGGACATTTGGAAGTCCATTGAGGCCCATGGGAAAAATAGAATATCCTGATAAAAACTTCAAAGAAGTTATCTGTGAAACTGCTTTTAAGGTGTCAATTCATTTCACTGAGTTGAATCTTTCTTTTGACACAGCAGGTTGGGTAGCCTCTGATTGGAGAATCTGTGAAGGGACATTTGGGAACCCATTGAGACCTATGGGGAAAAACAAAATAACCCCAAATAAAAACTAGAAATAAGCTATCTGTGAAATGGCTTTGTTATGGGTGGATTCATCTCACAGAGTTAAACCTTTCTTTTGATTCAGCAGGTTGGAGACACTCTTTTTAAAGAATCAGCAAAAAGATATTTTGGAGCCCTTTTGAAGCATTTGGGGAAAACAAAATATCCCCAGATAAAAACTAGAAAGAAGCTACTTGTGAAACTGCTTTGTGTTGTGTGGATTCATATCACAATGTTAAACCTTTCAATTCAGCAGGTTAGAAACACTTATTGGGGAATCTGTGAAGGGACATTTGGGAACCTCTTGAGGCCTATGGGAAAAAAACAAATATCGTTAGATAAATTCTAGAAAGAATGTGTCTGTGAAACTGCTTTGTTAAGAGTGGATTCATCTCACAGTGTTAAACCTTTCTTTTGATTCAGAAGGTTGGAAAAACTCTCATTGGATAATCTGCACAGGGACATTTTGTAGCCCATTGAGGCCTACAGTGGAAAACAGAATATTCCCAGCTAAAAACTAGAAAGAAGCTGTCTGTGAAACTGCTTTTTAAATTGTGGATTCATCTCACAGTGTTAAACCTTTCTTTTGATTCAGCAGGATGGAAACACTCTTTGGAAAATCTGCGAAGGGATATTTCAGAGCCTATTGATGTCTACAGGGAAAAACGAATATCTCCAGATACAAACTAGAAAGAACCCATTTTGCAGAGATTTATCCCTGCTTTATGAGATAGGGATTCATTTAACAGTGTAAACTTTTCTTTTGATCTAGCTGGTAGGAAACACTCTTTTTGGTTAATCTGTGAAGGGATATTTAGAAGTCCATTGTGGGCTATGGGGAAAAACTGAATATACCCAGATAAAAACTAGACAGAACCTAGCTCTGAAACTGCTTTGTGATATGTGGATTCATCTCACAAAATTAAACTTTTCTTCAGACACAGCTTGTTGAAAACACTTTTTGAAGAATCTGCCTAGGAACATTTGGGAACCCCTGAAGGCCTAAGGAAAAAAACAGAATATTCCCAGATAAGAACTAGAAAGAACCTATCTCTGAAACTGCATTGTGATGTGTGGATTCATCTCATGAACTTAAGCATTTCTTTTGATTCAGGAGTTTGGAAACATTCTTTTTGCACAATCTGTAAAGGGACATTTGAGAGCTCCTGGAGGCCTATGAGGAAAAACAAAATGTCCCTACATAAAAACTGGATAGAAGCTAACTGTCAAAATACTTTGTGATAAGTGGATTCACCTTACAAAGTTAAACATTTCTTTTGATTAATCAGGTTGGAAACATGCTTTTTGGAGACTATGTGAAGGGACATTTGGGGGCCCATTAGGGCTTATATGGCAAAACCAAATATCCCCAGTTAAAAACTAGAAAGAACTTATCGGTTAAACTGCTTGTGAAGTGTGGATTCATTCCACAGAGTTAAACTGTTCTATGATTCAGCAGACTGGGAACCCTTTTTTGCAGAATGTGCAAAAAGACCTTTTGGAGACCATTAAGGCCTAAGGGGCAAAACCGAATATCCCAAGAAAAAACTAGAAGGAAGCAATCTGTGAAACTGCTTTCTGATGTGTGGATTCATCTCACAGAGTTAAAACTTTCTTTTGATTTAGAAGGCTGGAAACACTTTTTTTTAAAAATCATGTGAAGGGACTGTTTGGAGCCCATTGAGTCCTAGGGGGAAAAATCTGAATACCCCAGAAAAAAATAGAAAGAAATTATCAGTGAATCTGCTTTGTTATGTGTGGATTCATCTTACAGAGTTAAGCCTTTCTATTGATTCAGCCGCTTGGAAACACATTTTCCTTTTTAAGAATCTGTGAAGGGATATTTGGGAGCCCATTGAGCCCATTGAGGTAAAACTGAATATCTCCAGATAAAAACTTGAAAGCAGCTGTCTCTGAAATTGCTTTGAGATGTGTGGATACATCTCACAGAGTTAAACCTTTTTTTTTTTTTTTGATTCAGCAGGTTGGAAAACCTCTTTTTAGAGAATCTGCAAAAAGACATTTGGGAGCATATTAAGGCCTAAGGGGAAAAACTGAGTATTCCAAGTTAAAAACTACAAAGAAATTATCTGTGAAACTGCTTTTGATGTGTGGATTCATATCAGAAACTTGAACTTTTCTTTTGATTCTGCAGATTGGAAGCACTCTTTTTGGAGAATCTGCGAAGAGACATTTGGGAGCCCTTCGAGGCCTATGGAGAAAAATTGAATACCCCCAGATAAAAACTAGCAAAAAGCTCTTTGAAACTGCTTGGTGATGTGTGGATTTATCTCACAGACATAAACTTGTTTTTTTGATTCAGTGTTTTGGAAAAACTCTTTTTGGAGAATCTGTGAAGGGACATTCTGAGGCCTATGGAAATAAGCAAAATATCCCAGAAAACAAATAGAAACTAGCCATCTAGTGAAACTGCTTCGTGATATGTGGATTCATTGCACAGAGTAAAACCTCTCTTTTCATTCAGCAGGTTGGAAACACTTTTTTGGAGAATCTGCAAAGGGACACTTTGAAGCCCATTGAAATCTACAGCGAAAAACTGAATATCTCCAATAAAAGTTAGAAAAAAGCTTTCTGAGAAACAGTTTGTGATGTGTGGATTCATCATAAACAGCTAAAACTTTCTTTTCATTCAGAAGGTTGAAAACACTCTTTTTGGGGAATCTGTGAAAGGACATTTGGGAGCCCATTGAGGTCTATGGAGAAAAACCAAATATCCCCAGATAAAATTAGAAAGAAGCTATCTGTGAAATTACTTTGTGATGTATGGATTCATCTTCCAAAGTTAAAACTGTATTTTGATTAAGCAGGTTGGAAACACTCTTTTGGAGGATATGTGAGGTGATATTTGGGAGCGCTTTGAGGATCACAGGAAAAACCAAATATTCCTATATAAAAACTAGAAAGAATCTATCTATGAAACTGCTTTGTGATGTGCAGATCCATCTCACAGAGGTAAACCTTTCTTTTGATTCAGCAGGTTTTAAACAGTAGTTTTGGAGTGTCTGCAAAGAGACATTTGGAAGCTTTTGGGGGCCTATAAAAAATTGAATTTCCCCACATAAAAACTACAAAAAAGCTATCTGTGAAACTACTTTGTGATGTGTGGATTCATCTCACAGAGATAAACATTTCCTCTCATTCAGCAGGTTGGAAACACTCTTTTCAAAGTATCTGCAAAATGATATTTCAAAACCCATTGAGGCCTTGGGGGAAAAACAGAATGTCCCCAGATAAAAACTACAAAGAAGCTATCTGTGAAACTGCTTTGTGATGTGTGGATTCTTTGCACAGATTTAAATTTTTGTCTTGATTCAGCAGCATGGAAACATTTCTTTTGGAGAATCAGCAAAGGGACATTTGAGAGCTTATTGAGGCCTAGGTGGTAAATTGAATATCCCCCAATAAAAACTAGAAGCAATCTGTGAAACTGCATTGGGATGTCTGGAGTCATCTCACAGAGTTAAATCTTTGTTTTGATTCAGCAGGTTTGAAACACTCTTTTTGCAGTATCTGAGAAGGGACATTTTGAAGCCCTTAGAGGCCTATGGTGTAAAACAGAATAGTCCATGAATAAAACTAGAAGAAGCTATTTGAGCAACTGCTTCATAATGAGTGGATTCATCTCACAAAGTTAAACTTTTTTTTGATTCAGCAGATTGGAAACACTCTTTTCAGAAAATCTGTGAGCCCACAAGGGCCTGAGGGGAAAAATCAAATATCCCCAGATACAAAGCGGAAAGAAACTATCTGTGAAACTGCTTTTTGATGTGTTGATTCCTCTCACAGAATTAAACTTTTCTTTTTATTTAGCATGGTGGAAACACTCTTTTTGGGGACTCTGGGAATGCACATTTGGGAGCCCATTGAAGCCCATGGGAAGAAAATGAGTATCCCCAGAAAAAATAAATTAGAAAAAAGCTAGCTGCAAAACTGCTTTGTAATGTGTGGATTCATCTCACAGAGTTAAATCATCCTTTTTATTCAGCAGGTTATAAACACTCGTTTTGGAGAATCTGCAAAGGGACATTTGTGAGCCAGTTGAGGCCTACAGAAAAAATCCAAATATCCCCAGAAAAAAAGTAGAAAGAATCTTTGTGAAACTGGTTTTTGATGTGTGGACTCTACTCACAGAGTTAAATTATTCTTTTGATTCAGCATGTTGGAAAATCTTTTTGGAGAATTTGCAAAGCAACATTTTGAAGCCAATTGAGGCAGAAAGGGAAAAACCAAATATCCATAGATAAAAACCAGAAAGAAGGTATCCGTGAAACTGTTTTATTATGTGTGGATTTATCTCACAAAGATAAACCTTTCTCTTGATTCTGCAGGTTGGAAACACTCTTTTTGTAAAATCTAAGAAAAGACATTTGGGAACCCATTGAGGTCTAAGGTGTAAAAGAGAATAACCCCAGATAAAAACTAGAGAGAAGTTATTTTTGAAATTGCTTTGTGATGCGTGGATTCATCTCACAGAGTTAAAGGTTTTTTTTTCAGCAGGTTGGAAACGCTCTTTTTAGACAATCTGCAAGAGGACATTTTGTAGCCCATTGTGGCCTATGAAGAAAAATTGAATATCCCAGATAAAAATTAGGAAGATTCTATCTGTGAAAATGGTTTGTGAGGTTTGGATTCATCTCACAGAGTTGAAACTTTCTTTTAATCCATAAGTTTGAGAACACTCTTTTTTTAGGATATGTGAAAGGACATTTGTGACACCTTTGAGGCTTATAAGGAAAAACTTAATATATCCAGATAAAAACTATAAAGAAGCTATCAGTGAAATGCTTTATGAGGTGTAGATTCATCTCACAGAGCTAAATCTTTCTTTTCAGGCAGTATGTTGGAAAAATTCTTTTTGTAGGATCTGCAAAAAGACATTTTGGAGCTCATTGAGGCCTATGGGAAAAAAATTAATATACCAGACATAAACTAGAGAGACGTTAACTGTGAAGTTGTCTTGTGATATGTGGATTCATCCCACAGAGTTAAACATTTCTGTTGATTCAGCCAGTTGGAAACACTCTTTTTGGAGAATCTGTTATGGGACATTTGGGAGCCCATAAGGCCTATGGGGAAAAACCGAATATCCCCAGATAAAAACTAGAAAGGAGCTATCTGTGAAATTTTTTTTCATCTAAATTCATCTCACAGAGTTAATCCTTGCTTTTGATTCAGCTGGTTGGAAGTACTCTTTTTGGTGAATCTGCAAAGGGACATTTCGGAGCCCATTGAGGCCTATGGGGAAAAAAACGAATATCTGCAGATAAAAACTAAAAAAAAAAAAAAGCTATCTGTGAAACTGTTTTGTGATTTGTGAATTTATCTCACAGAGATAAACTGTTTTCTTGATTCAGCAGGTTGAAAACCCTCCTTTTGGAGAATCTTCAAGGGGACAACTGAGAGATTATTGATGACTTAAAAAATGTATATCCCCAGATAAAAACTAGAAATAAGCTATCTGTGAAACTGCTTTGTGACGCGTGGATTCATCTTACAGAGTTAAACTTTTCTCTTGATTCTGCAGGTTTCAAACACTCTAGAATCTCTGATGAAACATTTGGGACCTTTTTGGGGCCTATAAGGGAAAACTGAATATCCCAAAATAAAAACTAGAAAGAACATCTCTGTGAAACTGCTTTGTAATGCATGGATTTATCTCATAGAGTTAAGCCTTTCCTTTGATTCAGCAGGTTGGAAAAACACTTTTTGTAGAATCTGTGAGGGAACATTTTTGAGCATATAGAGGCCTAGAGGAAGAAAAGAATATCCTCAGATGAAAACTAGAAAAAAACAATGTGTAAAACTGCTTTGAGATGTGTGGATTCATCTCACAGAGCTAAACCTGCATTTGATTCTGCATATTGGAAACACTTTTTTTGAAGGATCTGCAAAGGGACATTTGGGAGCCCTTTGAGGCCTATGAAGCAAAACTGAATATCCTTAGATAAAAAGAACAAAGAAGCTATCTGTGAAACTGCTTTGTGGTGTGTGGAACACATCTGGGAGCACATTGAGGCATATGGGGAAAAACTGAATATGCCCATATAAAAACTAGAAAGAAGTTATCTGTGATCTACTTTGGGATGTGTGGATTTATCTCACAGAGTTCAATTTTTCTTTTGTCTTAGCAGGTTGGAAACACTCCTTTTGGAGAATCTGCAAAGAGATATTTGGGAGCCCTTTATAACCTATGGGTGAAAATCTAATATCCCAAGAAAAAAACGAAAATAAGTCTATCTGTGAAACTGCTTTTTGATGTGTGGATTCATCTCACAGAGTTAAAACTTTCTCTTGATTCAGCAGGTTGGAAAAGCTCCTTTTGGAGAATCTGCAAAGGAACAATTTAGAACCCATTGAGGCCTACAGGGAAAAATCCAATATCCTCAGATATAAACTAGAAAGAAGCAATTTGTGAAAATGCTATGTGATGTGTGGATTCATCTCGCAGAGTTACAGCTTTATTTCGATTGAGCAAGTTGGAAAAACTCTTTTTGGAGAAACTGCAAAGAGACATTTGGGAGCCCATGGAGCCCTATAAGGAAAAACAGAATATCCAAAGATAAAAACTAGAAAGAATGTATCTTTGAAACTTCTTTGTGATGTGTGGACTCATTTCACACAGGTAAAGCTTTCTTTTGATTCAGCATGTTGGAAACACACTTTTTGTGGAATCTGCCAATGGACATTTTGGAGCCCAATAAGGCCTATGGGGAAAAATTGAATAACTCCAGATAAAATCTAGAAATAAGCTATCTGTGAAACTGCTTTTGGAGTGTGGGTTCATCACACAGAGTTAAACCTCTCTTTTGATTCACCAGTTTGGAAACACTGTTTTTGTAGTATTTGCGAAGGGACATTTTGGAGTCCAGTTGAGGCCTAGGCAGAAAAATGAAATACCCACAGGTAAAAACTAGAAAGAAGCTATCTGTGAAACTGCTTTGTGATGTGTGGATTTATCTCACAGAGTTAAAACGTTCTTTTTATTCAGCAGGTTGAAAACACTTTTTTTGTAGAATCTATGAAGGGACATTTGGTAGCCAATGGAGGCCTATGGGGAAAAACAATATCCCCAGATAAAAGCTAGAAAAAAAGCTATCTTTGAAACTGCTTTTTGAGGTGTGGATTCATCTCACAGAGTTAAACCTTTCATTTTATTCAAAAGGTTTGAAATACTCTTTTGGGAAAATCTACAAAGGGACATTTAGGAGCCCATTGAAATCTAGTGGAAAAGTCAAATATCCCCAGATATAAACTAGAAAGAAGCTATCTGTGAAACAGTTTTGTCATGTGTGGATTCATCTTACAAAGTTAAATCTTTCTTTTCTACAGTAGGTTGGAAACACTCTTTGTAGAATCTGCAAAGAGACATTTAGGAGCTCATTGAGGTCTATGGGGAGAAAACTAATATCCAGATAAAAACTAGAAAGAAGCTATCTTTGAAACTCCTTTGTGATGTGTGGATTCATCTCACAGTGTTAAACCTTTGTTTTGATTCAGAAGATTGGAAATACTATTTTTGTAGGGTCTGCAAAGTGAAATTTGAAGCCCATTTTCATCTAAGGGGAAAAAGCAAATATCGACAGATAAAAACTAGAAAGAAGCTATCTATGAAACTCCTTTGTGAGGTATGAATTCATCTCACAGTGTTAAACCTTTCTTTTGATTCAGCAGATCAGAAACACTTTTTTTGTAGTATCTGTGAAGGGACATTTCAGAGCCCATTGAGGCCTATGGGGAAAAACAGAATGTCCGCAGATAAAAACTAGAAAGAAGCTATCTGTGAAACTGCTTTGTCATGTGTGGATTCGCCTCACAGAGTAAAACCTTTCCTTTAATTCAGTAGGTTAAAAACCCTATTTTTGGAGAATCTGCGAAGGGACATTTGGTAGTCAATTGATGTGAATGGGGAACAACTGAATATCATCAGATAAAATCAAGAAAGAAGATATCACTTCCTTGTGATGTGTGGATTCAACTCACGGAGTTAAGCCTTTGTTTTTAATCAGCAGGTTGGAAACACTGTTTTTGGAGAATCTGCAACATGATGTTTTGAGGCCCATTTAGGCCTTGTGGAAAAATCGAATATCCCCACATAAAAACTAGATAGAAGGTATATGTGAAACTGCTTTTTGATGGGTAGATTCATCCAAGTGATTTAAATATTTCTTTTGATTCAACGGATTGGAAACACTGAAACGTTTGGGAGCCCTTTGAAGCCTATGTGGAAACATCAAATTTCTTCACATAAACACTAGAAAGAAGCTATCTCTGAAACTGCTTTGGGATATGTGGATTCATCTCCCAGAGTTAAAACTTTCTTTTGATTCAGCAGGTTGGAAAAACTCTTTTTGGGGAATCTGTGAAGGGACATTTGTGAGCCATTTTAGGCCAAAGGCAAAAAAAAAAAATCCACAGATTAAAACTAGAAAGAAGCTATCTGTGAAACTGCTTTGTCATGTGAGGACTCATCTCACCAAATAAAACCTTTGTTTTGATTCAGCAGGTTTGAAACACTCTTTTTGTAAGATCTTAAGGGACATTTGGGAGCCCACTGAAGTCTATGTGAAATAAGCAAATATCCCCAGAAAAAAAAAAAAAAAAAAACAGAAAAAGGCTATCTTTGAAACTGCCTTGTAATATGTGGTTTTATCTTACAGTGTTAAACGTTTATTTTGATTCAGTAGGTTGGAAACACTGTTACTGCAGAACCTGCAATAGGCCATTTAGGAGCCCAATAAGGCTGATGTGTCAAAATTGAATATCCCCAAACAAAAAAAGAAGAGAAGCTATTTGTGAAACTGCTTTTTGATGCATGGATTTATCACACAGAACTAAACATTTCTGTTGGTCCAACAGGTTGGCAACAGTCTTTGTGGAGAATCTGTGAAGGGATATTTTGTAGCCCATTGTGGCCTCTTGGGTGAAACAGAATATCTCCAGATAAAAAGAACAAAGACAAATTCTTTGAAACAGCTTTCTGGTGTGTGGATTCATCTCACAGAGTCAAACCTTTATTTTGATTCAGCATGTTGTAAACACTCTTTTTGGAGAACCTGGGAAGGGAGGTTTGGAAGCCTAAAGAGGCCTATGGGGAAAAACGGAATATCCAAAGATAAAAACTAGAAAGAAGCTATCTGATAAGCTGCTTTGTAATGTGTGGATTTATCTCACAGAGTTAAAAGTTTGTTTTGAGTCAGCAAGTTGGAACCACTGTTTTTGGAAATCTATGAAGGGACATTTGGGAGCCCTTTGAGGCCTATGGAGAAAAATCAAATATCCTCAGATAAAAACTAGAAAGAAGCTATCTCTGAAACTGCTTCATGATGTGTGGATTCAGCTCCCAGAGTTAAACCTTCCTTTTGAATCAGCAGGTTTCAAACACTCTTTTTGGAAAATCTGTGAAGGGAAATTTGGGAGCACATTGAGGCCTATGATGAAAAACTGAATATGGCCAGATAAAAACTAGAAAGAAGCTATCTGTGAAACTGATTTTGGATGTGTGGCTTCATCTCAGAGAGTTAAACTTTTCTTTTGATTCAGCAGGTTGGAAACACTCTTTTTGAAGCATCTGTGAAGGGATATTTGGAATCCAATTGAGGACTATGGGGAAAAAACAAATATCCCCAGATCAAAACAAGAAAGAAGCTTTCTGTGAACCTACTCGTGATGGGTGGATGCAACTCACAGACTTAAATTTTCTTAGGATTCAGTAGGTTGAAAACACTCTTTCTGAGAATCTGCAAAGGGATGTTTAAAAGCCCTTTGAGGCCTATGGTAAAAACAGAAAATCTCCAGATAAAAACTAGAAGGAAGCTATCTGTGAAACTGGCTTGTGATATGTGCATTCAAGTCACAGAGTTAAACCTTTCTTTTGATTCAGCAGGTTGGAAACACATTATTGGAGAATCTGCAAAGGGATATTTGGGAGCTGATTAAGTCTATGTGGAAAAATTGAATGTCCCCAGGAAAACAACGGAAATGAGCTATCTCTGAAACCGCTTTGTGATGTGTAGATTTGTCTCACAAAGTTAGATATTTCTTTTGATTCAGCAAGTTGGAAACACTTTCTGGAGATTCTGCAAAGGGACATAAGGGAGCCCAATGAGGCCTCTGGGGAAAAAGTGATAATCCCCAATGAAAACTAGAAAGAAGCTATCTGTGAAACTGCTTTGTGATATGTGGATTCAGCACAGAGTTAAACGTTTTTTTTTTTCCTCACCCTGTTGGAAACACTGTTTTTGGAGAATCTGTGAAGGGACATTTGAGGAGTATGGGGAAAAACAGAGTATTTCCAGATTAAAAACTAGAAAGAAGCTATCTGTGAAACTGCTTTACAATATGTGGATTCATCTCACAGAGATAAGCTTTTCTTTTTTTTTTCTTATACTTTAAGTCTTAGGGTACATGTGCACAATGTGCAGGTTAGTTACATATGTACACATGTGCCATGTTGGTGTGCTGCACCCATTAATTCGTCATTTAACATTAGGTATATCTCCTAATGCTATCCCTCCCCCCTACCCCCACCTCACAATAGGCCCCTGTGTGTGATATTCCCCTTCCTGTGTCCATGTGTTCTTGTTGTTCAATTCTCACCTGTGAGTGAGAACATGTGGTGGTTGGTTTTTTGTCCTTGTGATAGTTTGCTGAGAATGGTGGTTTCCAGCTTCATCCATGTCCCTGCAAAGGAGAATGAACTTATCATTTTTTATGGCTGCATAGTATTCCATGGTGTATATGTGCCACATTTTCTTAATCCAGTCTATCATTATTGGACATTGGGCTTGGTTCCAAGTCTTTGCTATTGTGAACAGTGTCGCAATAAACATACGTGTGCATGTGTCTTTATAGCAGCATGATTTATAATCCTTTGGGTATATACCCAGTAATGGGATGGCTGGGTCAAATGGTATTTCTAGTTCTAGATCCCTGAGGAATCGCCACACTGACTTCCACAATGGTTGAAATCGTTTGCAGTCCCTCCAACAGTGTAAAAGTGTTCCTATTTCTCCACAACCTCTCCAGCATCTGTTGTTTCCCGACTTTTTAATGATTGCCATTCTAACTGGTGTGAGATGGTATCTCATTGTGGTTTTGATTTGCATTTCTCTGATGGCCAGTGATGATGAGCATTTTTCATGTGTCTTTTGGCTGCATACATGTCTTCTTTTGAGAAGTGTCTGTTCATATCCTTCACCCACTTGTTAATGGGGTTTGTTTTTTTCTTGTAAATTTGTTTAAGTTCATTGTAGATTCTGGATATTAGCCCTTTGTCAGATGAGTAGATTGCAAAAATTTTCTCCCATTCTGTAGGTTGCCTGTTCACTCTAATGGTAGTTTCTTTTGCTGTGCAGAAGCTCTTTAGTTTAATTAGATCCCATTTGTCAGTTTTGGCTTTTGTTGTCATTGCTTTTATTGTTTTAGACATGAAGTCCTTGCCCATGCCTATATCCTGAATGGTATTGCCTAGGTTTTCTTCTAGGGTTTTTATGGTTTTAGGTCTAACAATTGCTTCACAGAGAATAAAATACCTAGGAATCTAACTTACAAGGGATTTGAAGGAACTCTTCAAGGAGAACTACAAACTACTGCTCAATGAAATAAGAGAGGATACAAACAAATGGAAGAACATTCCATGCTTATGGGTGGGAAGAATCAATATTTTGAAAATGGCCATACTGCTGAAGGTAATTTATAGATTCAGTGCCAACCCCATCAAGCTACCAATGACATTCTTCACGGAATTGGAAAAAACTACTTTAAAGTTCACATGGAACCAATAAAGAGCCCACATTGCCAAGTCAATCCATAGCCAAAAGAACAAAGCTGGAGGCATCATGCAACCTGACTTCAAACTATACTACAAGGCTACAGTAACCAGAACAGCATGGTACTGGTACCAAAACAGAGATATAGACCAATGGAGCAGAACAGAGCCCTGAGAAATAATGTCGCATATGTACAACCATCTGATCTTTGACAAACCTGACAAAAACAAGAAATGGGGAAGGGATTCCCTATTTAATAAATGGTGCTGGGAAAACTGGCTAGCCATATGTAGAAAGCTGAAACAGGATCCCTTCCTTACACCTTATGAAAAATAAATTTAAGAAGGATTAAAGACTTAAATGTTAGAGATAAGCTTTGTTTTTCATACTGCATATTGGAAACACAATTTTGGAGAATCTGTGATGGTACATTTGGGAGCTAACTGTGGCCTAAGGATGAAAACGGATATCCCCAGAAAAAAACTAGAAAGAATCTATTGGTGAAACTCCTTTGTGATGTGTGGATTCATCTCACAGAGTTAAACTTTCGTTTTGATTCAGCAGGTTGAAAACACTCTGGTTTACAAATCTGCAAAGGGACATTTCAGAGCCCATTGAGTCCTATGGGAAAAATGGAATATCCCCAGATGAAAAATGGAATCTGTCTGTGACACTGCTTTGTGATGTGTGAATTCATCTAAAATTTTTGAAACTTTCTTTTGACACAGCAGTTTGGAAACACTCTTTTTGGAGAATCTATGAAGGGTCATTAGGGAGCCTATTGAGTCCTAGGGAAAAAATTGAATATCCCCAGATAAGAACAAGAAAGAAACCTATCTGTGAAACCGTTTTGGGATTTGTGGATTCGTCTAACAGAGTTAAGCCACTCTTTTGATTCAGTAGGTTGGAAACACTTTTTTTGATAATCAGTAAAGGGATATTAGTAAGTCTATTGAGGCCTATGGGGAAAGAAATGAATATTGTTAGATAAAAACAAGAAAGAAGCCATCTTTAAAACTGCTTTGTGGTGAGTGGATTCATCTCACAGAATTAAACCTTTCTTTTGATTCAGAAAGTTCTAAACACTTTTTTTGGAGAATCTGTGAATTGACATTTTAGAGCCCATTGAGGCCTATGGGGAAAAACTGAAAATCCCCAGAGAAAAACAAGAAAGGATCAATCGGTGAAACTGTGTTGTAATGTGTGGATTTATCTCACAGAGTTAAACATTTCTGTTGATTCAGCAGGTGGAAAATACTCTTTTGGAGGATCTACAAAGGGACATTTGGGAGCCCACTGAGGCCTATGGGGAAAAACCCAATACCCCAAGATAAGAACTAGAAAGAAGCTGTCTGTGGATATGCTGTGTGATGTGTGGATGAATCTCATAGAATTGTACCTTTCTGTTGATTGAGTGTGCTGGAAACACTCTTTCTGTAGAATCTGTGAAGGGACAACTGAAAGTCCATTGAGGCCTATGAATCAAAACCGAATATCTTCAGATAAAAAATAGAAAAGAGCTATTTCTAAAACAGCTTTGTAATCTGTGGATTCATCTCACAGACTTAAACCTTTCTTTTGTTTCAACAATTTGGAAACACTCCTCTTTGGAGAATGTGCAAAGGGACAATTGAAAGCCCATCATGGCCTAAGGGGAATAACAGAATATGCCCATATAAAAACTAGAAAGAAGTTTTCTGTGAAACTGCTGTCTGATGTGTGGATTCATCTCATGGAGAAAAACATTTCTTTTGATTCAACAGGTTGGAAACACTCTTTTTGGAGAAGTTGTAAAGGGGGTATTTGGAAGCCAAATAAGGCCTATGGTGCAAAAATATGTTCAGATAAAAACTACAAATAATCTTTCCAAGAAACCGCTTAGTGATATGTGCATTCATGTTACATAGTTAAACCGTTCTTTTGATTCAAAAGTTTGGAAACACTGTTTTTTTTTCCATCTGTGAATGGGCATTTGGGAGCTCATTGAGGCCAATGAAAAAAAACAAATGTCCAAGGATAAAAACTTGAAGGAAGCTATCTGAGAAACTGCTTTATGATAAGTGCATTCATCTCTCAGAGGTAAACCCTTCTTCTGGCTTAGCAGTTTGGAAACAATGTTTTTGTCCATTCTGCTCATTGATATTTGGCAGTGCTTTGAGGCCTATGGTGAAAAAGAAAATATCTTCTGATAAAAATTACTAAGAAGCTTTCTGAGAAACTCCTTTGTGATGTGCTCATTCATCTCACAGTGTTAAACCTTTCTTTTAATTCAGCAGTTTGGAAACAATGTTTTTGTCCATTCTGTGAATTGACATTCAGGAGCTCATTGAGACCAATGGCAAAAAAGCAAGTATCTCAGAATTAAAACTAAAATGAAGCTATCTGAGAAACCTTTTTGTGATGTGTGCATTTGTCTCATCGAGTTAAACCTTTCTTTAGATTCAGCATTTTGGAAGAACTGATTTTGTAGTATGTGCAAATGGACATTTGGGAACTTATGAGGCCTATGGTGAAAAAGAAAATATCTTTTGATTAAAACTAGAGAGAACTTTGAAAGAAATTGCTTTCTAATGTGTGCATTTATCTCACATAGGTAAATATTTCTTCTCATTCATCATTTTAGAAACACTGTTTTTGTAGAATCTGTAAAGGGATATTTGGGAGTGCAGTGAGGCCTTTGATGAAAATGAAAATATCTTCTGATAAAAACTAGAAAGAAGCTTTCTGAAAACTTGCTTTGTTCTGTGTGCATTCATCTGACTGAGTTAAACTTTTCTTTTGATTCAGCAGTTTTGAAGCAACGTTTTTGTCCATTCTGTGAAAGGATATTTGGGAGCTTATTGAGACCAATGGTGTAAAAGTGAATATCCCAGGATTAAAAAATGCAAGGAAGCTATCAGAGAAACCACTTTGTCATATGTGCATTCATCTCCCAGAGTTAAACCCTTCTTTTGATTCTGGAGTTTGGAAACACTGTTTTTGTCCATTCTGTAAATGGACATTTGGGAGTGCATTGAGGCCTATGGTGATAAAGAAAATATCTTCCGATTAAAACTAGAAAGATTCTTTCTGAGAAATTGCATGTTATGTGTGCATTCAAATCACATAGGTAAACCTTTCTTTATTCTGTAGTTTGGAAACCTTCCTTTTGTAGAATCTGTGGAGGGACATTTTGGAGTGCATTGAGGCGTGTGCTGAAAAAGAACATATCTTCAGATAAAAACTAGAATGAAGTTTTCTGAGAAACTTCTTTGTGATGTGTACATTCATCTCATAGAGTTAAAGCTTTCATTTGATTCAGCAATTTGGAAACACTGTTTTTGCCCATTGTACGAATGGACATTTGGGAGCTCATTGAGGCCAATGATGAAAAAGCAAATGTCCCAGTATAAAAACTAGAAGTAAGCTATGTGAGAAACTGCTTTGTCATGTGTGCATTCATCTCACCGAGTTAAACCTTTCTTTTCATTCAGCAGTTTGGAAACACTGTTTTTGTAGAATCTGTGATGGGATAATGTGGGAGCTCATTGTGGCCAAAAGCGAAAAAGAGAAAATCCCGAGACACAAACTAGAAGGATGCTGTCTGAGAAACTGCTTTGTGAAGTGTGCCTTCATTTTGCAGAATTAAACTTTTCTTTTGATTCAGCAATTTGGAAACACTGTTTCTGTCCATTCTGTGAATGAATATTTGGGAGCTCATTGTGGCCATTGGTGAAAAAGGGAATATCCCTAGAGTAAAAGTAAAAGGAAGCTATCTGAGAAACTACTTTGTGATGTGCACATTCATCTCACTGAGTTAAACCCTTCTTGTGGTTCAGCAATTTGGAAACACTGTTTTTGTACATTCTGCAAATGGACATTTCGGAGTGTATTGAGGCCTGCGGTGAAAAATGAAATATGGTTAGCTAAAAACTAGGAAGAAACTTGATGAGAAACCAATTTGTGATCTGTGCATTCATCTCGAAGAGTTAAACATTTCTTTTGATTCAGCAGTTTGGAAACACTGTTTTTGTACATTCTGCAAATGGACATTTGGGAGCTCATTGAGACCAATGTTGAAAAGGGAATGTCCCATGATAAAAACTAGAAGGAAGCTATCTGAGAAACTGCTTTGTGATGTGTACGTTCACTTCACAGAGTTAAGCCTTTCCTTTGATTCAGAAGTTTGGAAACTTTTTTTTGTACATTTAGCAAATAGACATTATGGAGTGCTTTGAGGCCTATTGTGAAAAAGAAAATATCTTCTGATAAAAACTAGAAACAAGCTCTCTGAGTCACTGCTTTGAGATGTGTGCATTCACCTCACGTAATTAAACCTTCAATTTTATTCAGCAGTGTGGAAACACTGTTTTTATAGAATCTGCAAAAGGATATTTGGGAGTGCTTTGAGGCCTGTGGTGATAAAGAAAATATCTTCAGATAAAAACTAGAAAGAAGTTTCTGAGAAACTGCTGTGTGCTGTATGCCTCCATCTCACAGAGTTAAACCTTTCTTTTGATTCAGCAGTTTGGAAGCACTGTTTTTCTCCAGTCTGAGAATGGACATTTGGGAGCTCATTGAGGCCAAAGGCAAAAAAGTGGATATCCCAGAAATAAAACTGGATGGAAGCTATCTGAGAAACAGTTTTGTGATGTGTGCATTTATCTGGCAGAGTTAAACCTTTCTTTTCATTCAGCAGTTTGGAATCCCTGTAATTGTGGAATCTCTGAAGGGATATTTGGGAGCGAATTGAGGCATATGATGAAAAAGAAAATACCATCCGATAACTAGAAAGAAGCTCTCTGAGAAACTTCTTTATTTTGTGTGCATACATCTCACTGAGTTAAACCTTTCTTTTGATTCAGCAGTTTAGAAACACTGTTTCTGTCCATTCTGCGAATGGAGATTTTTAAGTGCATTGAGGTCTATGGTGAAAAAGAAAATAGCTTTTGATAAAAATTAGAAAGAAGGTTTCTGAAAAACTGATATTTGATGTGTGCATTCACTTCATATAGTTAAACCTTTCTTTGTATTCAGCAGTTTGAAAACACTGTTTTTGTAGAATCTACGAAGGGATATTTGGGAGTGCATTGAGGTCTATGGTGAAAATGAAAATATCTTCAGATAAAAAATAGAAAGAAGGTTTCTGATAACCTGCTTTGTGATGTGTGCATTCATCTCACAGACTTAAAACTTTCTTTTGTTTCTGCAGTTTGGAAACACTGTTTTTGTTCATTCTGCAACTGGACATTTCAGAGTTCATTGAGGCCAAAGGTGAAAAAGCATATATCCCAGCATAAAAGCTAGAAGAAAGCTATCTGAGAAACTGCTTTGTGATGTGTGCATTCATCTCACAGTGTTAAACTTTTGTTTGAATCAGCATAATGGAAACAATGCTTTTGTCCATTGTGCGAATGGATTTTTGGGAGCTCTTTGAGGCCATTGGTGGAAAAGTGACTATCCCAAGAGAAAAACTAAAAGGAAACTATCTGAGAAACCGCTTTGTGATTTTTGCATTCATCTCACAGAATTAAGCCTTTCTCTTGATTCAGCAGTTTGGAAACATTGTTTTTTGCACGATCTGTGTATGGACATTTTGTAGTGCATTGAGGCCTATGGTGTAAAAGAAAATATCTTCTGATAAAAAATAGAAATAAGCTTTCTGAGAAACTGCTTTTTGATGTATGCATTCATCTCACAGATTTAAACTTTTTTTTTTTGTTTCAGCAGTCTGGAAACACTGTTTTTGTCCAGTCTGCAAATGGACATTTGGGAGCTCATTAAGATCAAAGGTGAAAAAGTGAATATCCCAGGATAAAAACTA